>NC_000003.12:93154543-93470261 GCF_000001405.40 Homo sapiens | reverse complement strand
TCCGTCTAATTATTATACGAAGGTATTTCCTTTTCTATCATGGGCCTCAAAGCGCTTGATACCTCCACCTGAAAATTCCACAAAAAGAGTGTTTCCAATCTACTCTGTCTAAAGGAACGTTCAACTCTGTGAGTTGAATACACACACACAGAAAGAATTCACTGAGAATTCTTCTGTCTGGCATTACATGAAGAAATCCCGTTTCCAACGAAGGCCTCAAAGAGGTCCAAATATCCACTTGCAGATTCTGCAAAAAGAGTGTTTCAAAACCGCTCCATTAAAAGGAATGTTGAACTCTGTGAGTTGAATGCAAACATCACAACTCAGTTTCTGAGAATGCTTCTGACTAGATTTTATGGTAAGATATTTCCTTTTCTACCGTAGGCTTCAATGCCCTGTAAACACACCCTTGCAAATTCTACAAAGAGACTGCTTCATAACTGCTCTATAGGAGGAAAGGTTCAACTCTGTGAGTTGAATGCAGAGATCACAACGTGGTTTCTGCGAATGATTCTTTGTAGTTTTTACATGAAGATATTTCGTTGTCTACCGTAGGCTTCAAAGCACTCAAAGTATTCACTTGGAACTTTCACAAAAAGAGTGTTAGAAAACTGCTCTTTCCAAAGTAAGGTTCAACTCTGTGAGTTGAATGCACACATAACAAACAAGAAGTTTCTGAGAATTCTTCTGTCCTGGTTTATATGAAGAAATCCCGTTTCCAACGAAGGCCTCAAAGACGTTTAAATATCCACTTGCAGACTTCACAAACAGAGTGTTTCCAAACTGCTCTATGAAAAGAAAGGGTAAACACTCTGAGTTGAACGCACACATCACAAAGTAGTTTCTGAGAATGATACTGTCTAGTTTTTATACGAAGATATTTCCTTTTGTACCATTGGCCTCATACTGCTAGAATTTTCCACTTGCAAATTCCACAAAAAGAGTGTTTCCAATCTGCTCTGTCTAAAGGAAGGTTCAACTCTGTGAGTTGAGTACACACACACAAAGAAGCTACTGAGAATTCTTTTGTCAAGAATTATAAGAAGAAATCCCGTTTCCAACCAAGGCCTCAAAGAGTTCCAAATATCCACTTGCACACTGCACAAACTAAGTCTTTCCATACTGCTCTATGCAAAGAAATGTTCAACTCTGTGAGTTTAATACACACATCACAAAGCAGTTTCTGAGAATGATACTGTCTAGTTTTTATACGAAGATATTTCCTTTTGTACCATTGGCCTCATACTGCTAGAATTTTCCACTTGCAAATTCCACAAAAAGAGTGTTTCCAATCCGCTCTGTCTAAAGGAAGGTTCAACTCTCTGATTTGAATACATACATCCCAAAAGAAGTTACTGAGAATTCTTCTGTCTAGCATTATGTGAAGAAATCCCGTTTCCAACGAAAGCCTCAAAGAGGTCCAAATATCCAGTTGCAGAATTTACAAACTGACTGTTTCCAAACTCATCTATGAAAAGAAAGGTTAAACTCTGGGAGTTGAATGCACATATCACAAAGTAGTTCCTGAGAATGATTCTGTCTAGTTTTTATACGAAGATATTTCCTTTTCCACCAATGGCCTCAAAGTGCTTGAAATCTCCCCTTGCAAATTCCACAGACAAGTGTCTCAAATCTGCACTGTCTAAAGAAAGGTTCAACCCTGTGAGTTGAATACACACACACAGAAAAAAATTCACTGAGAATTCTATTGTCTATCATTACACGAAGAAATCCCGTTTACTACGAAGGCCTCAAAGAGGTCCAAATATCCAGCTGCAGACATTACAACCTGAGTGTTTCCAAAGTGCTCTATGAAAAGAAGTGTTAAACACTGTGAGTTCAATGCACACATCCCAAAGCAGTTTCTGAGAATGATTCCGTCTATTTTTTCTACGAAGATATTTCCTTTTCTACCGTTGGCCTCAAAGCGCTTGAAATCTCCACTTGCAAATTCCACAAAAAGAGAGTTTCAAATCTGCTCTGTCTAAAGGAAGGTTCAACTCTGTGAGTTGAATACACACCACAAAAAGAAGTTACTGAGAATTCTTCTGTCTAGCATTATATGAAAAATCCCGTTTCCAACGAAGGCCACAAAGAGGTCCAAATATCCACTTGCAGATTCTGCAAAAAGAGTGTTTCCAAACTGCTCTATGAAAAGAAACGTTAAACTCTGTGAGTTGAACGCAAACATCACAAAGTAGTTTCTGAGAATGACTCCGTCTAGTTTTTATACGAAGATATTTCCTTTCCTACCATTCACTTCAAAGCGCTTGAAGTCTCCCCCTGAAAATTCCACAAAAAGTGTTTCCAATCTGCTCCGCCTAAAGGAAGCTTCAACTCTGTGACTTGAATACCCACAACCCAAAGAAGTTACTGAGAATTCTTCTGTCTAGCATTATATGAAGAAATCCCGTTTCCAACGAAGGCCTCAAATACATCCAAATATCCAGTTGCTGACTTTACAAACTGAGTGTTTCCAAACTGCTCTATGAAAAGAAAGGTTAAACACTGTGAGTTGAACACACACGTACCAAAGTAGTTTCTGAGAATGATTCTGTCTAGTTTGCATACGAAGATATTTCCTTTTCTACCATTGGCCTCAAAGCTCTGAAATCTCCACTTGCAAATTCCACAAAAAGAGAGTTTCAAATCTGCTGTTTCTAAAGGAAAGTTCAACTCTGAGAGTTGAATACACACCAGAAAAAGCAGTTACTGAGAAGTCTTCTGTCTAGCATTATATGAAGAAATCCCATTTCCAACGAAGACTTCAAAGAGGTCCAAATATCCACTTGCAGATTCTGCAAAAAGAGTGTTTCGAAACAACTGTATGAAAAGAAAGGTTAAACACTGTGAGTTGAACGCACACATTGCAAAGCGGTTTCTGAGAATGATTCCGTCTAATTATTATACGAAGGTATTTCCTTTTCTATCATTGGCCTCAAAGCGCTTGATACCTCCACCTGAAAATTCCACAAAAAGAGTGTTTCCAATCTACTCTGTCTAAAGGAACGTTCAACTCTGTGAGTTGAATACACACACACAGAAAGAATTCACTGAGAATTCTTCTATCTGGCATTACATGAAGAAATCCCGTTTCCAACGAAGGCCTCAAAGAGGTCCAAATATCCACTTGCAGATTCTGCAAAAAGAGTGTTTCAAAACCGCTCCATTAAAAGGAATGTTGAACTCTGTGAGTTGAATGCAAACATCACAACTCAGTTTCTGAGAATGCTTCTGACTAGATTTTATGGTAAGATATTTCCTTTTCTACCGTAGGCTTCAATGCCCTCTAAATACACCCTTGCAAATTCTACAAAGAGACTGTTTCATAACTGCTCTATAGGAAGAAAGGTTGAACTCTGTGAGTTGAATGCAGAGATCACAACGTGGTTTCTGCGAATGATTCTTTGTAGTTTTTACATGAAAATATTTCGTTGTCAACCGTAGGCTTCAAAGCACTCAAAGTATTCACTTGGAACTTTTACAAAAAGAGTATTAGAAAACTGCTCTTTCCAAAGTAAGGTTCAACTCTGTGAGTTGAATGCACACATAACAATCAAGACGTTTCTGAGAATTCTTCTGTCCTGGTTTATATGAAAAAATCCCGTTTCCAACGAAGGCCTCAAAGACGTTTAAATATCCACTTGCAGACTTCACAAACAGAGGGTTTCCAAACTGCTCTATGAAAAGAAAGGTTAAACTCTGTGAGTTGAACGCACACATCACAAAGTAGCTTCTGAGAATGATACTGTCTAGTTTTTATACGAAGATATTTCCTTTCTACCATTGGCGTCAAAGCGCTAGAATTCTCCACTTGCAAATTCCACAAAAAGAGTGTTTCCAATCTGCTCTGTCTAAAGGAAGGTTCAACTCTGTGAGTTGAATACACACACACAAAGAAGCTACTGAGAATTCTTTTGTCAAGAATTATAAGAAGAAATCCCGTTTCCAACGAAGGCCTCAAAGAGTTCCAAATATCCACTTGCACACTGCACAAACTAAGTCTTTCCAAACTGCTCTATGCAAAGAAATGTTCAACTCTGTGAGTTTAATACACACATCACAAAGCAGTTTCTGAGAATGATACTGTCTAGTTTTTATACGAAGATATTTCCTTTTGTACCATTGGCCTCATACTGCTAGAATTTTCCACTTGCAAATTCCACAAAAAGAGTGTTTCCAATCCGCTCTGTCTAAAGGAAGGTTCAACTCTCTGATTTGAATACATACATCCCAAAAGAAGTTACTGAGAATTCTTCTGTCTAGCATTATGTGAAGAAATCCCGTTTCCAACGAACGCCTCAAAGAGGTCCTAATATCCAGTTGCAGAATTTACAAACTGACTGTTTCCAAACTCATCTATGAAAAGAAAGGTTAAACCCTGTGAGTTGAATGCACGTATCACAAAGTAGTTCCTGAGAATGATTCTGTCTAGTTTTTATACGAAGATATTTCCTTTTCCACCAATGGCCTCAAAGTGCTTGAAATCTCCCCTTGCAAATTCCACAGACAAGTGTCTCAAATCTGCACTGTCTAAAGGAAGGTTCAACCCTGTGAGTTGAATACACACACACAGAAAAAAATTCACTGAGAATTCTATTGTCTATCATTACACGAAGAAATCCCGTTTACTACGAAGGCCTCAAAGAGGTCCAAATATCCAGCTGCAGACATTACAACCTGAGTGTTTCCAAAGTGCTCTATGAAAAGAAGTGTTAAACACTGTGAGTTCAATGCACACATCCCAAAGCAGTTTCTGAGAATGATTCCGTCTATTTTTTCTACGAAGATATTTCCTTTTCTGCCGTTGGCCTCAAAGCGCTTGAAATCTCCACTTGCAAATTCCACAAAAAGAGAGTTTCAAATCTGCTCTGTCTAAAGGAAGGTTCAACTCTGTGAGTTGAATACACACCACAAAAAGAAGTTACTGAGAATTCTTCTGTCTAGCATTATATGAAAAATCCCGTTTCCAACGAAGGCCTCAAAGAGGTCCAAATATCCACTTGCAGATTCTGCAAAAAGAGTGTTTCCAAAATGCTCTATGAAAAGAAACGTTAAACTCTGTGAGTTGAACGCAAACATCACAAAGTAGTTTCTGAGAATGACTCCGTCTAGTTTTTATACGAAGATATTTCCTTTCCTACCATTCACTTCAAAGCGCTTGAAGTCTCCCCCTGAAAATTCCACAAAAAGTGTTTCCAATCTGCTCCGCCTAAAGGAAGCTTCAACTCTGTGACTTGAATACCCACAACCCGAAGAAGTTACTGAGAATTCTTCTGTCTAGCATTACATGAAGAAATCCCGTTTCCAACGAAGGCCTCAAATACATCCAAATATCCAGTTGCTGACTTTACAAACTGAGTGTTTCCAAACTGCTCTATGAAAGGAAAGGTTAAACACTGTGAGTTGAACACACACGTACCAAAGTGGTTTCTGAGAATGATTCTGTCTCGTTTGCATACGAAGATATTTCCTTTTCTACCATTGGCCTCAAAGCTTTGAAATCTCCACTTGCAAATTCCACAAAATGAGAGTTTCAAATCTGCTGTTTCTAAAGGAAAGTTCAACTCTGAGAGTTGAATACACACCAGAAAAAGCAGTTACTGAGAAGTCTTCTGTCTAGCATTATATGAAGAAATCCCATTTCCAACGAAGACTTCAAAGAGGTCCAAATATCCACTTGCAGATTCTGCAAAAAGAGTGTTTCGAAACAACTGTATGAAAAGAAAGGTTAAACACTGTGAGTTGAACGCACACATTGCAAAGCAGTTTCTGAGAATGATTCCGTCTAATTATTATACGAAGGTATTTCCTTTTCTATCATTGGCCTCAAAGCGCTTGATACCTCCACCTGAAAATTCCACAAAAAGAGTGTTTCCAATCTACTCTGTCTAAAGGAACGTTCAACTCCGTGAGTTGAATACACACACACAGAAAGAATTCACTGAGAATTCTTCTGTCTGGCATTACATGAAGAAATCCCGTTTCCAACGAAGGCCTCAAAGAGGTCCAAATATCCACTTGCAGATTCTGCAAAAAGAGTGTTTCAAAACCGCTCCATTAAAAGGAATGTTGAACTCTGTGAGTTGAATGCAAACATCACAACTCAGTTTCTGAGAATGCTTCTGACTAGATTTTATGGTCAGATATTTCCTTTTCTACCGTAGGCCTCAATGCCCTCTAAATACACCCTTGCAAATTCTACAAAGGGACTGTTTAATAACTGCTCTATAGGAAGAAAGGTTGAACTCTGTGAGTTGCATGCAGAGATCACAACGTGGTTTCGGCGAATGATTCTTTGTAGTTTTTACATGAAGATATTTCGTTGTCTACCGTAGGCTTCAAAGCACTCAAAGTATTCACTTGGAACTTTTACAAAAAGAGTGTTAGAAAACTGCTCTTTCCAAAGTAAGGTTCAACTCTGTGAGTTGAATGCACACATAACAAACAAGAAGTTTCTGAGAATTCTTCTGTCCTGGTTTATAGGAAAAAATCCCGTTTCCAACGAAGGCCTCAAAGACGTTTAAATATCCACTTGCAGACTTCACAAACAGAGTGTTTCCAAACTGCTCTATGAAAAGAAAGGTTAAACTCTGTGAGTTGAACGCACACATCACAAAGTAGTTTCTGAGAATGATACTGTCTAGTTTTTATACGAAGATATTTCCTTTCTACCATTGGCGTCAAAGCGCTAGAATTCTCCACTTGCAAATTCCACAAAAAGAGTGTTTCCAATCTGCTCTGTCTCAAGGAAGGTTCAACTCTGTGAGTTGAATACACACACACAAAGAAGCTACTGAGAATTCTTTTGTCAAGAATTATAAGAAGAAATCCCGTTTCCAACGAAGGCCTCAAAGAGTTCCAAATATCCACTTGCACACTGCACAAACTAAGTCTTTCCAAACTGCTCTATGCAAAGAAATGTTCAACTCTGTGAGTTTAATACACACATCACGAAGCAGTTTCTGAGAATGATACTGTCTAGTTTTTATACGAAGATATTTCCTTTTGTACCATTGGCCTCATACTGCTAGAATTTTCCACTTGCAAATTCCACAAAAAGAGTGTTTCCAATCCGCTCTGTCTAAAGGAAGGTTCAACTCTCTGATTTGAATACATACATCCCAAAAGAAGTTACTGAGAATTCTTCTGTCTAGCATTATGTGAAGAAATCCCGTTTCCAACGAAAGCCTCAAAGAGGTCCAAATATCCAGTTGCAGAATTTACAAACTGACTGTTTCCAAACTCATCTATGAAAAGAAAGGTTAAACTCTGTGAGTTGAATGCACATATCACAAAGTAGTTCCTGAGAATGATTCTGTCTAGTTTTTATACGAAGATATTTCCTTTTCCACCAATGGCCTCAAAGTGCTTGAAATCTCCCCTTGCAAATTCCACAGACAAGTGTTTCAAATCTGCACTGTCTAAAGGAAGGTTCAACCCTGTGAGTTGAATACACACACACAGAAAAAAATTCACTGAGAATTACATTGTCTATCATTACACGAAGAAATCCCGTTTACTACGAAGGCCTCAAAGAGGTCCAAATATCTAGCTGCAGACATTACAAACTGAGTGTTTCCAAAGTGCTCTATGAAAAGAAGTGTTAAACACTGTGAGTTCAATGCACACATCCCAAAGCAGTTTCTGAGAATGATTCCGTCTATTTTTTCTACGAAGATATTTCCTTTTCTACCGTTGGCCTCAAAGCGCTTGAAATCTCCACTTGCAAATTCCACGAAAAGAGAGTTTCAAATCTGCTCTGTCTAAAGGAAGGTTCAACTCTGTGAGTTGAATACACACCACAAAAAGAAGTTACTGAGAATTTTTCTGTCTAGCATTATATGAAAAATCCCGTTTCCAACGAAGGCCACAAAGAGGTCCAAATATCCACTTGCAGATTCTGCAAAAAGAGTGTTTCCAAACTGCTCTATGAAAAGAAACGTTAAACTCTGTGAGTTGAACGCAAACATCACAAAGTAGTTTCTGAGAATGACTCCGTCTAGTTTTTATACGAAGATATTTCCTTTCCTACCATTCACTTCAAAGCGCTTGAAGTCTCCCCCTGAAAATTCCACAAAAAGTGTTTCCAATCTGCTCCGCCTAAAGGAAGCTTCAACTCTGTGACTTGAATACCCACAACCCAAAGAAGTTACTGAGAATTCTTCTGTCTAGCATTATATGAAGAAATCCCGTTTCCAACGAAGGCCTCAAATACATCCAAATATCCAGTTGCTGACTTTACAAACTGAGTGTTTCCAAACTGCTCTATGAAAAGAAAGGTTAAACACTGTGAGTTGAACACACACGTACCAAAGTAGTTTCTGAGAATGATTCTGTCTAGTTTGCATACGAAGATATTTCCTTTTCTACCATTGGCCTCAAAGCTCTGAAATCTCCACTTGCAAATTCCACAAAAAGAGAGTTTCAAATCTGCTGTTTCTAAAGGAAAGTTCAACTCTGAGAGTTGAATACACACCAGAAAAAGCAGTTACTGAGAAGTCTTCTGTCTAGCATTATATGAAGAAATCCCATTTCCAACGAAGACTTCAAAGAGGTCCAAATATCCACTTGCAGATTCTGCAAAAAGAGTGTTTCGAAACAACTGTATGAAAAGAAAGGTTAAACACTGTGAGTTGAACGCACACATTGCAAAGCGGTTTCTGAGAATGATTCCGTCTAATTATTATACGAAGGTATTTCCTTTTCTATCATTGGCCTCAAAGCGCTTGATACCTCCACCTGAAAATTCCACAAAAAGAGTGTTTCCAATCTACTCTGTCTAA
This sequence comes from Homo sapiens, assembly GCF_000001405.40. Lineage (NCBI taxonomy): Eukaryota > Metazoa > Chordata > Mammalia > Primates > Hominidae > Homo > Homo sapiens. The sequence goes on along the minus strand of NC_000003.12, from coordinate 93,461,475 downwards.
AGGAACGTTCAACTCTGTGAGTTGAATACACACACACAGAAAGAATTCACTGAGAATTCTTCTGTCTGGCATTACATGAAGAAATCCCGTTTCCAACGAAGGCCTCAAAGAGGTCCAAATATCCACTTGCAGATTCTGCAAAAAGAGTGTTTCAAAACCGCTCCATTAAAAGGAATGTTGAACTCTGTGAGTTGAATGCAAACATCACAACTCAGTTTCTGAGAATGCTTCTGACTAGATTTTATGGTAAGATATTTCCTTTTCTACCGTAGGCTTCAATGCCCTGTAAATACACCCTTGCAAATTCTACAAAGAGACTGTTTCATAACTGCTCTATAGGAGGAAAGGTTCAACTCTGTGAGTTGAATGCAGAGATCACAACGTGGTTTCTGTGAATGATTCTTTGTAGTTTTTACATGAAGATATTTCGTTGTCTACCGTAGGCTTCAAAGCACTCAAAGTATTCACTTGGAACTTTTACAAAAAGAGTGTTAGAAAACTGCTCTTTCCAAAGTAAGGTTCAACTCTGTGAGTTGAATGCACACATAACAAACAAGAAGTTTCTGAGAATTCTTCTGTCCTGGTTTATATGAAGAAATCCCGTTTCCAACGAAGGCCTCAAAGACGTTTAAATATCCACTTGCAGACTTCACAAACAGAGTGTTTCCAAACTGCTCTATGAAAAGAAAGGGTAAACACTGTGAGTTGAACGCACACCTCACAAAGTAGTTTCTGAGAATGATACTGTCTAGTTTTTATACGAAGATATTTCCTTTCTACCATTGGCGTCAAAGCGCTAGAATTCTCCACTTGCAAATTCCACAAAAAGAGTGTTTCCAATCTGCTCTGTCTAAAGGAAGGTTCAACTCTGTGAGTTGAATACACACACACAAAGAAGCTACTGAGAATTCTTTTGTCAAGAATTATAAGAAGAAATCCCGTTTCCAACGAAGGCCTCAAAGAGTTCCAAATATCCACTTGCACACTGCACAAACTAAGTCTTTCCAAACTGCTCTATGCAAAGAAATGTTCAACTCTGTGAGTTTAATTCACACATCACAAAGCAGTTTCTGAGAACGATACTGTCTAGTTTTTATACGAAGATATTTCCTTTTGTACCATTGGCCTCATACTGCTAGAATTTTCCACTTGCAAATTCCACAAAAAGAGTGTTTCCAATCCGCTCTGTCTAAAGGAAGGTTCAACTCTCTGATTTGAATACATACATCCCAAAAGAAGTTACTGAGAATTCTTCTGTCTAGCATTATGTGAAGAAATCCCGTTTCCAACGAAAGCCTCAAAGAGGTCCAAATATCCAGTTGCAGAATTTACAAACTGACTGTTTCCAAACTCATCTATGAAAAGAAAGGTTAAACTCTGGGAGTTGAATGCACATATCACAAAGTAGTTCCTGAGAATGATTCTGTCTAGTTTTTATACGAAGATATTTCCTTTTCCACCAATGGCCTCAAAGTGCTTGAAATCTCCCCTTGCAAATTCCACAGACAAGTGTTTCAAATCTGCACTGTCTAAAGGAAGGTTCAACCCTGTGAGTTGAATACACACACACAGAAAAAAATTCACTGAGAATTCTATTGTCTATCATTACACGAAGAAATCCCGTTTACTACGAAGGCCTCAAAGAGGTCCAAATATCCAGCTGCAGACATTACAAACTGAGTGTTTCCAAAGTGCTCTATGAAAAGAAGTGTTAAACACTGTGAGTTCAATGCACACATCCCAAAGCAGTTTCTGAGAATGATTCCGTCTATTTTTTCTACGAAGATATTTCCTTTTCTACCGTTGGCCTCAAAGTGCTTGAAATCTACACTTGCAAATTCCACAAAAAGAGAGTTTCAAATCTGCTCTGTCTAAAGGAAGGTTCAACTCTGTGAGTTGAATACACACCACAAAAAGAAGTTACTGAGAATTCTTCTGTCTAGCATTATATGAAAAATCCCGTTCCCAACGAAGGCCACAAAGAGGTCCAAATATCCACTTGCAGATTCTGCAAAAAGAGTGTTTCCAAACTGCTCTATGAAAAGAAACTGTTAAACTCTGTGAGTTGAACGCAAACATCACAAAGTAGTTTCTGAGAATGACTCCGTCTAGTTTTTATACGAAGATATTTCCTTTCCTACCATTCACTTCAAAGCGCTTGAAGTCTCCCCCTGAAAATTCCACAAAAAGTGTTTCCAATCTGCTCCGCCTAAAGGAAGCTTCAACTCTGTGACTTGAATACCCACAACCCAAAGAAGTTACTGAGAATTCTTCTGTCTAGCATTATATGAAGAAATCCCGTTTCCAACGAAGGCCTCAAATACATCCAAATATCCAGTTGCTGACTTTACAAACTGAGTGTTTCCAAACTGCTCTATGAAAAGAAAGGTTAAACACTGTGAGTTGAACACACACGTACCAAAGTAGTTTCTGAGAATGATTCTGTCTAGTTTGCATACGAAGATATTTCCTTTTCTACCATTGGCCTCAAAGCTCTGAAATCTCCACTTGCAAATTCCACAAAAAGAGAGTTTCAAATCTGCTGTTTCTAAAGGAAAGTTCAACTCTGAGAGTTGAATACACACCAGAAAAAGCAGTTACTGAGAAGTCTTCTGTCTAGCATTATATGAAGAAATCCCATTTCCAACGAAGACTTCAAAGAGGTCCAAATATCCACTTGCAGATTCTGCAAAAAGAGTGTTTCGAAACAACTGTATGAAAAGAAAGGTTAAACACTGTGAGTTGAACGCACACATTGCAAAGCGGTTTCTGAGAATGATTCCATCTAATTATTATACGAAGGTATTTCCTTTTCTATCATGGGCCTCAAAGCGCTTGATACCTCCACGTGAACATTCCACAAAAAGAGTGTTTCCAATCTACTCTGTCTAAGGGAACGTTCAACTCTGTGAGTTGAGTACACACACACAGAAAGAATTCACTGAGAGTTCTTCTGTCTGGCATTACATGAAGAAATCCCGTTTCCAACGAAGGCCTCAAAGAGGTCCAAATATCCACTTGCAGATTCTGCAAAAAGAGTGTTTCAAAACCGCTCCATTAAAAGGAATGTTGAACTCTGTGAGTTGAATGCAAACATCACAACTCAGTTGCTGAGAATGCTTCTGACTAGATTTTATGGTAAGATATTTCCTTTTCTACCGTAGGCTTCAATGCCCTCTAAATACACCCTTGCAAATTCTACAAAGAGACTGTTTCATAACTGCTCTATAGGAGGAAAGGTTCAACTCTGTGAGTTGAATGCAGAGATCACAACGTGGTTTCTGCGAATGATTCTTTGTAGTTTTTACATGAAGATATTTCGTTGTCTACCGTAGGCTTCAAAGCACTCAAAGTATTCACTTGGAACTTTTACAAAAAGAGTGTTAGAAAACTGCTCTTTCCAAAGTAAGGTTCAACTCTGTGAGTTGAATGCACACATAACAAACAAGAAGTTTCTGAGAATTCTTCTGTCCTGGTTTATATGAAGAAATCCCGTTTCCAACGAAGGCCTCAAAGACGTTTAAATATCCACTTGCAGACTTCACAAACAGAGTGTTTCCAAACTGCTCTATGAAAAGAAAGGGTAAACACTGTGAGTTGAACGCACACCTCACAAAGTAGTTTCTGAGAATGATACTGTCTAGTTTTTATACGAAGATATTTCCTTTTGTACCATTGGCCTCATACTGCTAGAATTTTCCACTTGCAAATTCCACAAAAAGAGTGTTTCCAATCTGCTCTGTCTAAAGGAAGGTTCAACTCTGTGAGTTGAGTACACACACACAAAGAAGCTACTGAGAATTCTTTTGTCAAGAATTATAAGAAGAAATCCCGTTTCCAACGAAGGCCTCAAAGAGTTCCAAATATCCACTTGCACACTGCACAAACTAAGTCTTTCCAAACTGCTCTATGCAAAGAAATGTTCAACTCTGTGAGTTTAATACACACATCACAAAGCAGTTTCTGAGAATGATACTGTCTAGTTTTTATACGAAGATATTTCCTTTTGTACCATTGGCCTCATACTGCTAGAATTTTCCACTTGCAAATTCCACAAAAAGAGTGTTTCCAATCCGCTCTGTCTAAAGGAAGGTTCAACTCTCTGATTTGAATACATACATCCCAAAAGAAGTTACTGAGAATTCTTCTGTCTAGCATTATGTGAAGAAATCCCGTTTCCAACGAAAGCCTCAAAGAGGTCCAAATATCCAGTTGCAGAATTTACAAACTGACTGTTTCCAAACTCATCTATGAAAAGAAAGGTTAAACTCTGGGAGTTGAATGCACATATCACAAAGTAGTTCCTGAGAATGATTCTGTCTAGTTTTTATACGAAGATATTTCCTTTTCCACCAATGGCCTCAAAGTGCTTGAAATCTCCCCTTGCAAATTCCACAGACAAGTGTTTCAAATCTGCACTGTCTAAAGGAAGGTTCAACACTGTGAGTTGAATACACACACACAGAAAAAAATTCACTGAGAATTCTATTGTCTATCATTACACGAAGAAATCCCGTTTACTACGAAGGCCTCAAAGAGGTCCAAATATCCAGCTGCAGACATTACAAACTGAGTGTTTCCAAAGTGCTCTATGAAAAGAAGTGTTAAACACTGTGAGTTCAATGCACACATCCCAAAGCAGTTTCTGAGAATGATTCCGTCTATTTTTTCTACGAAGATATTTCCTTTTCTGCCGTTGGCCTCAAAGCGCTTGAAATCTCCACTTGCAAATTCCACAAAAAGAGAGTTTCAAATCTGCTCTGTCTAAAGGAAGGTTCAACTCTGTGAGTTGAATACACACCACAAAAAGAAGTTACTGAGAATTCTTCTGTCTAGCATTATATGAAAAATCCCGTTTCCAACGAAGGCCACAAAGAGGTCCAAATATCCACTTGCAGATTCTGCAAAAAGAGTGTTTCCAAACTGCTCTATGAAAAGAAACGTTAAACTCTGTGAGTTGAACGCAAACATCACAAAGTAGTTTCTGAGAATGACTCCGTCTAGTTTTTATACGAAGATATTTCCTTTCCTACCATTCACTTCAAAGCGCTTGAAGTCTCCCCCTGAAAATTCCACAAAAAGTGTTTCCAATCTGCTCCGCCTAAAGGAAGCTTCAACTCTGTGAGTTGAATACCCACAACCCAAAGAAGTTACTGAGAATTCTTCTGTCTAGCACTATATGAAGAAATCCCGTTTCCAACGAAGGCCTCAAATACATCCAAATATCCAGTTGCTGACTTTACAAACTGAGTGTTTCCAAACTGCTCTATGAAAAGAAAGGTTAAACACTGTGAGTTGAACACACACGTACCAAAGTAGTTTCTGAGAATGATTCTGTCTAGTTTGCATACGAAGATATTTCCTTTTCTACCATTGGCCTCAAAGCTTTGAAATCTCCACTTGCAAATTCCACAAAAAGAGAGTTTCAACTCTGCTGTTTCTAAAGGAAAGTTCAACTCTGAGAGTTGAATACACACCAGAAAAAGCAGTTACTGAGAAGTCTCTGTCTAGCATTATATGAAGAAATCCCATTTCCAACGAAGACTTCAAAGTAGGTCCAAATATCCACTTGCAGATTCTGCAAAAAGAGTGTTTCGAAACAACTGTATGAAAAGAAAGGTTAAACACTGTGAGTTGAACGCACACATTGCAAAGCGGTTTCTGAGAATGATTCCGTCTAATTATTATACGAAGGTATTTCCTTTTCTATCATTGGCCTCAAAGCGCTTGATACCTCCACCTGAAAATTCCACAAAAAGAGTGTTTCCAATCTACTCTGTCTAAAGGAACGTTCAACTCTGTGAGTTGAATACACACACACAGAAAGAATTCACTGAGAATTCTTCTGTCTGGCATTACATGAAGAAATCCCGTTTCCAACGAAGGCCTCAAAGAGGTCCAAATATCCACTTGCAGATTCTGCAAAAAGAGTGTTTCAAAACCGCTCCATGAAAAGGAATGTTGAACTCTGTGAGTTGAATGCAAACATCACAACTCAGTTGCTGAGAATGCTTCTGACTAGATTTTATGGTAAGATATTTCCTTTTCTACCGTAGGCTTCAATGCCCTCTAAATACACCCTTGCAAATTCTACAAAGAGACTGTTTCATAACTGCTCTATAGGAAGAAAGGTTGAACTCTGTGAGTTGACTGCAGAGATCACAACGTGGTTTCTGCGAATGATTCTTTGTAGTTTTTACATGAAGATATTTCGTTGTCAACCGTAGGCTTCAAAGCACTCAAAGTATTCACTTGGAACTTTTACAAAAAGAGTGTTAGAAAACTGCTCTTTCCAAAGTAAGGTTCAACTCTGTGAGTTGAATGCACACATAACAATCAAGAAGTTTCTGAGAATTCTTCTGTCCTGGTTTATATGAAAAAATCCCGTTTCCAACGAAGGCCTCAAAGACGTTTAAATATCCACTTGCAGACTTCACAAACAGAGGGTTTCCAAACTGCTCTATGAAAAGAAAGGTTAAACTCTGTGAGTTGAACGCACACATCACAAAGTAGCTTCTGAGAATGATACTGTCTAGTTTTTATACGAAGATATTTCCTTTCTACCATTGGCGTCAAAGCGCTAGAATTCTCCACTTGCAAATTCCACAAAAAGAGTGTTTCCAATCTGCTCTGTCTAAAGGAAGGTTCAACTCTGTGAGTTGAATACACACACACAAAGAAGCTACTGAGAATTCTTTTGTCAAGAATTATAAGAAGAAATCCCGTTTCCAACGAAGGCCTCAAAGAGTTCCAAATATCCACTTGCACACTGCACAAACTAAGTCTTTCCAAACTGCTCTATGCAAAGAAATGTTCAACTCTGTGAGTTTAATACACACATCACAAAGCAGTTTCTGAGAATGATTCCGTCTAGTTTTTATACGAAGATAGCCGTTTCTACCATTGGCCTCAAGGCTCTTGAAATCTCCACCTGAAAATTCTGCAAAAAGCGTGTTTCCAATCTGCTCTGTCTAATGGAAGGTTCAACTCTCTGAGTTAAATACACACAACCCATAAGAAGTTACTGAGAATTCTTCTGTCTAGCATTATGTGAAGAAATCCCGTTTCCAACGAAAGCCTCAAAGAGGTCCAAATATCCAGTTGCAGAATTTACAAACTGACTGTTTCCAAACTCATCTATGAAAAGAAAGGTTAAACTGTGAGTTGAATGCACATATCACAAAGTAGTTCCTGAGAATGATTCTGTCTAGTTTTTATACGAATATATTTCCTTTTCCACCACTGCCCTCAAGGTGCTTGAAATTTCCCCTTGCAAATTCCACAAAAGTGTTTCAAATCTGCACTGTCTAAAGGAAGGTTCAAACCTGTGAGTTGAATACACACACACAAAAAAAATTCACTGAGAATTCTACTGTCTATCATTACGCGAAGAAATCCCGTTTACTACGAATGCCTCAAAGAGGTCCAAATATCCAGTTGCAGACAATACAAACTGAGTGTTTCCAAAGTGCTCTATGAAAAGAAGTGTTAAACACTGTGAGTTCAATGCACACATCACAAAGCAGTTTCTGAGAATGATTCCGTCTATTTTTTCTACGAAGATATTTCCTTTTCTACCGTTGGCCTCAAAGCACTTGAATTCTCCACTTGCAAATACCACAAAAAGAGAGTTTCAAATCTGCTCTGTCTAAAGGAAGGTTCAACTCTGTGAGTTGAATACACACCAGAAAAAGCAGTTACTGAGAATTCTTCTGTCTAGCATTATATGAAAAATCCCGTTTCCAACGAAGGCCACAAAGAGGTCCAAATATCCACTTGCAGATTCTGCAAAAAGAGTGTTTCCAAACTGCTCTATGAAAAGAAACGTTAAACTCTGTGAGTTGAACGCAAACATCACAAAGTAGTTTCTGAGAATGACTCCGTCTAGTTTTTATACGAAGATATTTCCTTTTCTACCGTTGGCCTCAAAGCGCTTGAAGTCTCCCCCTGAAAATTCCACAAAAAGTGTTTCCAATCTGCTCCGCCTAAAGGAAGCTTCAACTCTGTGAGTTGAATACCCACAACACAAAGAAGTTACTGAGAATTCTTCTGTCTCGCATTATAGGAAGAAATCCCGTTTCCAACGAAGGCCTCAAATACATCCACATATCCAGTTGCTGACTTTACAAACTGAGTGTTTCCAAACTGCTCTATGAAAAGAAAGGTTAAACACTGTGAGTTGAACACACACGGTACCAAAGTAGTTTCTGAGAATGATTCTGTCTAGTTTGCATACGAAGATATTTCCTTTTCTACCATTGGCCTCAAAGCTCTGAAATCTCCACTTGCAAATTCCACAAAAAGAGAGTTTCAAATCTGCTGTTTCTAAAGGAAAGTTCAACTCTGAGAGTTGAATACACACCAGAAAAAGCAGTTACTGAGAAGTCTTCTGTCTAGCATTATATGAAGAAATCCCATTTCCAACGAAGACTTCAAAGAGGTCCAAATATCCACTTGCAGATTCTGCAAAAAGAGTGTTTCGAAACAACTGTATGAAAAGAAAGGTTAAACACTGTGAGTTGAACGCACACATTGCAAAGCAGTTTCTGAGAATGATTCCGTCTAATTATTATACGAAGGTATTTCCTTTTCTATCATTGGCCTCAAAGCGCTTGATACCTCCACCTGAAAATTCCACAAAAAGAGTGTTTCCAATCTACTCTGTCTAAAGGAACGTTCAACTCTGTGAGTTGAATACACACACACAGAAAGAATTCACTGAGAATTCTTCTGTCTGGCATTACATGAAGAAATCCCGTTTTCAACGAAGGCCTCAAAGAGGTCCAAATATCCACTTGCAGATTCTGCAAAAAGAGTGTTTCAAAACCGCTCCATGAAAAGGAATGTTGAACTCTGTGAGTTGAATGCAAACATCACAACTCAGTTTCTGAGAATGCTTCTGACTAGATTTTATGGTAAGATATTTCCTTTTCTACCGTAGGCTTCAATGCCCTCTAAATACACCCTTGCAAATTCTACAAAGAGACTGTTTCATAACTGCTCTATAGGAAGAAAGGTTCAACTCTGTGAGTTGAATGCAGAGATCACAACGTGGTTTCTGCAAATGATTCTTTGTAGTTTTTACATGAAGATATTTCGTTGTCAACCGTAGGCTTCAAAGCACTCAAAGTATTCACTTGGAACTTTTACAAAAAGAGTGTTAGAAAACTGCTCTTTCCAAAGTAAGGTTCAACTCTGTGAGTTGAATGCACACATAACAATCAAGAAGTTTCTGAGAATTCTTCTGTCCTGGTTTATATGAAAAAATCCCGTTTCCAACGAAGGCCTCAAAGACGTTTAAATATCCACTTGCAGACTTCACAAACAGAGGGTTTCCAAACCGCTCTATGAAAAGAAAGGTTAAACTCTGTGAGTTGAACGCACACATCACAAAGTAGCTTCTGAGAATGATACTGTCTAGTTTTTATACGAAGATATTTCCTTTCTACCATTGGCGTCAAAGCGCTAGAATTCTCCACTTGCAAATTCCACAAAAAGAGTGTTTCCAATCTGCTCTGTCTAAAGGAAGGTTCAACTCTGTGAGTTGAATACACACACACAAAGAAGCTACTGAGAATTCTTTTGTCAAGAATTATAAGAAGAAATCCCGTTTCCAACGAAGGCCTCAAAGAGTTCCAAATATCCACTTGCACACTGTACAAACTAAGTCTTTCCAAACTGCTCTATGCAAAGAAATGTTCAACTCTGTGAGTTTAATGCACACATCACAAAGCAGTTTCTGAGAATGATTCCGTCTAGTTTTTATACGAAGATAGCCTTTTCTACCATTGGCCTCAAGGCTCTTGAAATCTCCACCTGAAAATTCCGCAAAAAGCGTGTTTCCAATCCGCTCTGTCTAAAGGAAGGTTCAACTCTCTGAGTTGAATACATACATCCCAAAAGAAGTTACTGCGAATTCTTCTGTCTAGCATTATGTGAAGAAATCCCGTTTCCAACGAAAGCCTCAAAGAGGTCCAAATATCCAGTTGCAGAATTTACAAACTGACTGTTTCCAAACTCATCTATGAAAAGAAAGGTTAAACTCTGTGAGTTGAATGCACATATCACAAAGTAGTTCCTGAGAATGATTCTGTCTAGTTTTCATACGAAGATATTTCCTTTTCCACCAATGGCCTCAAAGTGCTTGAAATCTCCCCTTGCAAATTCCACAGACAAGTGTTTCAAATCTGCACTGTCTAAAGGAAGGTTCAACCCTGTGAGTTGAATACACACACACAGAAAAAAATTCACTGAGAATTCTATTGTCTATCATTACACGAAGAAATCCCGTTTACTACGAAGGCCTCAAAGAGGTCCAAATATCCAGCTGCAGACATTACAAACTGAGTGTTTCCAAAGTGCTCTATGAAAAGAAGTGTTAAACACTGTGAGTTCAATGCACACATCCCAAAGCAGTTTCTGAGAATGATTCCGTCTATTTTTTCTACGAAGATATTTCCTTTTCTGCCGTTGGCCTCAAAGCGCTTGAAATCTCCACTTGCAAATTCCACAAAAAGAGAGTTTCAAATCTGCTCTGTCTAAAGGAAGGTTCAACTTTGTGAGTTGAATACACACCACAAAAAGAAGTTACTGAGAATTCTTCTGTCTAGCATTATATGAAAAATCCCGTTTCCAACGAAGGCCACAAAGAGGTCCAAATATCCACTTGCAGATTCTGCAAAAAGAGTGTTTCCAAACTGCTCTATGAAAAGAAACGTTAAACTCTGTGAGTTGAACGCAAACATCACAAAGTAGTTTCTGAGAATGACTCCGTCTAGTTTTTATACGAAGATATTTCCTTTCCTACCATTCACTTCAAAGCGCTTGAAGTCTCCCCCTGAAAATTCCACAAAAAGTGTTTCCAATCTGCTCCGCCTAAAGGAAGCTTCAACTCTGTGAGTTGAATACCCACAACCCAAAGAAGTTACTGAGAATTCTTCTGTCTAGCACTATATGAAGAAATCCCGTTTCCAACGAAGGCCTCAAATACATCCAAATATCCAGTTGCTGACTTTACAAACTGAGTGTTTCCAAACTGCTCTATGAAAAGAAAGGTTAAACACTGTGAGTTGAACACACACGTACCAAAGTAGTTTCTGAGAATGATTCTGTCTAGTTTGCATACGAAGATATTTCCTTTTCTACCATTGGCCTCAAAGCTCTGAAATCTCCACTTGCAAATTCCACAAAAAGAGAGTTTCAAATCTGCTGTTTCTAAAGGAAAGTTCAACTCTGAGAGTTGAATACACACCAGAAAAAGCAGTTACTGAGAAGTCTTCTGTCTAGCATTATATGAAGAAATCCCATTTCCAACGAAGACTTCAAAGAGGTCCAAATATCCACTTGCAGATTCTGCAAAAAGAGTGTTTCGAAACAACTGTATGAAAAGAAAGGTTAAACACTGTGAGTTGAACGCACACATTGCAAAGCAGTTTCTGAGAATGATTCCGTCTAATTATTATACGAAGGTATTTCCTTTTCTATCATTGGCCTCAAAGCGCTTGATACCTCCACCTGAAAATTCCACAAAAAGAGTGTTTCCAATCTACTCTGTCTAAAGGAACGTTCAACTCTGTGAGTTGAATACACACACACAGAAAGAATTCACTGAGAATTCTTCTGTCTGGCATTACATGAAGAAATCCCGTTTCCAACGAAGGCCTCAAAGAGGTCCAAATATCCACTTGCAGATTCTGCAAAAAGAGTGTTTCAAAACCGCTCCATTAAAAGGAATGTTGAACTCTGTGAGTTGAATGGAAACATCACAACTCAGTTGCTGAGAATGCTTCTGACTAGATTTTATGGTAAGATATTTCCTTTTCTACCGTAGGCTTCAATGCCCTCTAAATACACCCTTGCAAATTCTACAAAGAGACTGTTTCATAACTGCTCTATAGGAAGAAAGGTTCAACTCTGTGAGTTGAATGCAGAGATCACAACGTGGTTTCTGCGAATGATTCTTTGTAGTTTTTACATGAAGATATTTCGTTGTCAACCGTAGGCTTCAAAGCACTCAAAGTATTCACTTGGAACTTTTACAAAAAGAGTGTTAGAAAACTGCTCTTTCCAAAGTAAGGTTCAACTCTGTGAGTTGAATGCACACATAACAATCAAGAAGTTTCTGAGAATTCTTCTGTCCTGGTTTATATGAAAAAATCCCGTTTCCAACGAAGGCCTCAAAGACGTTTAAATATCCACTTGCAGACTTCACAAACAGAGGGTTTCCAAACTGCTCTATGAAAAGAAAGGTTAAACTCTGTGAGTTTAATACACACATCACAAAGCAGTTTCTGAGAATGATACTGTCTAGTTTTTATACGAAGATATTTCCTTTCTACCATTGGCGTCAAAGCGCTAGAATTCTCCACTTGCAAATTCCACAAAAAGAGTGTTTCCAATCTGCTCTGTCTAAAGGAAGGTTCAACTCTGTGAGTTGAATACACATACACAAAGAAGCTACTGAGAATTCTTTTGTCAAGAATTATAAGAAGAAATCCCGTTTCCAACGAAGGCCTCAAAGAGTTCCAAATATCCACTTGCACACTGCACAAACTAAGTCTTTCCAAACTGCTTTATGCAAAGAAATGTTCAACTCTGTGAGTTTAATACACACATCACAAAGCAGTTTCTGAGAATGATACTGTCTAGTTTTTATACGAAGATATTTCCTTTTGTACCATTGGCCTCATACTGCTAGAATTTTCCACTTGCAAATTCCACAAAAAGAGTGTTTCCAATCCGCTCTGTCTAAAGGAAGGTTCAACTCTCTGATTTGAATACATACATCCCAAAAGAATTTACTGAGAATTCTTCTGTCTAGCATTATGTGAAGAAATCCCGTTTCCAACGAAAGCCTCAAAGAGGTCCAAATATCCAGTTGCAGAATTTACAAACTGACTGTTTCCAAACTCATCTATGAAAAGAAAGGTTAAACTACTGGGAGTTGAATGCACATATCACAAAGTAGTTCCTGAGAATGATTCTGTCTAGTTTTCATACGAAGATATTTCCTTTTCCACCAATGGCCTCAAAGTGCTTGAAATCTCCCCTTGCAAATTCCACAGACAAGTGTTTCAAATCTGCACTGTCTAAAGGATGGTTCAACCCTGTGAGTTGAATACACACACACAGAAAAAAATTCACTGAGAATTCTATTGTCTATCATTACACGAAGAAATCCCGTTTACTACGAAGGCCTCAAAGAGGTCCAAATATCCAGCTGCAGACATTACAAACTGAGTGTTTCCAAAGTGCTCTATGAAAAGAAGTGTTAAACACTGTGAGTTCAATGCACACATCCCAAAGCAGTTTCTGAGAATGATTCCGTCTATTTTTTCTACGAAGATATTTCCTTTTCTGCCGTTGGCCTCAAAGCGCTTGAAATCTCCACTTGCAAATTCCACAAAAAGAGAGTTTCAAATCTGCTCTGTCTAAAGGAAGGTTCAACTCTGTGAGTTGAATACACACCACAAAAAGAAGTTACTGAGAATTCTTCTGTCTAGCATTATATGAAAAATCCCGTTTCCAACGAAGGCCACAAAGAGGTCCAAATATCCACTTGCAGATTCTGCAAAAAGAGTGTTTCCAAACTGCTCTATGAAAAGAAACGTTAAACTCTGTGAGTTGAACGCAAACATCACAAAGTAGTTTCTGAGAATGACTCCGTTTAGTTTTTATACGAAGATATTTCCTTTTCTACCGTTGGCCTCAAAGCGCTTGAAGTCTCCCCCTGAAAATTCCACAAAAAGTGTTTCCAATCTGCTCCGCCTAAAGGAAGTTTCAACTCTGTGAGTTGAATACCCACAACTCAAAGAAGTTACTGAGAATTCTTCTGTCTAGCATTATATGAAGAAATCCCGTTTCCAACGAAGGCCTCAAATACATCCAAATATCCAGTGGCTGACTTTACAAACTGAGTGTTTCCAAACTGCTCTATGAAAGGAAAGGTTAAACACTGTGAGTTGAACACACACGTACCAAAGTAGTTTCTGAGAATGATTCTGTCTAGTTGGCATACGAAGATATTTCCTTTTCTACCATTGGCCTCAAAGCTTTGAAATCTCCACTTGCAAATTCCACAAAAAGAGAGTTTCAAATCTGCTGTTTCTAAAGGAAAGTTCAACTCTGAGAGTTGAATACACACCAGAAAAAGCAGTTATTGAGAATTCTTCTGTCTAGCATTATATGAAGAAATCCCATTTCCAACGAAGACTTCAAAGAGGTCCAAATATCCACTTGCAGATTCTGCAAAAAGAGTGTTTCAAAACAACTGTATGAAAAGAAAGGTTAAACGCTGTGAGTTGAAGGCACACATTGCAAAGCAGTTTCTGAGAATGATTCCATCTAATTATTATACGAAGGTATTTCCTTTTCTATCATTGGTCTCAAAGCGCTTGATACCTCCACCTGAAAATTCCACAAAAAGAGTGTTTCCAATCTACTCTGTCTAAAGGAACGTTCAACTCTGTGAGTTGAATACACACACACAGAAAGAATTCACTGAGAATTCTTCTGTCTGGCATTACATGAAGAAATCCCGTTTCCAACGAAGGCCTCAAAGAGGTCCAAATATCCACTTGCAGATTCTGCAAAAAGAGTGTTTCAAAACCGCTCCATTAAAAGGAATGTTGAACTCTGTGAGTTGAATGCAAACATCACAACTCAGTTGCTGAGAATGCTTCTGACTAGATTTTATGGTAAGATATTTCCTTTTCTACCGTAGGCTTCAATGCCCTCTAAATACACCCTTGCAAATTCTACAAAGAGACTGTTTCATAACTGCTCTATAGGAAGAAAGGTTCAACTCTGTGAGTTGAATGCAGAGATCACAACGTGGTTTCTGCGAATGATTCTTTGTAGTTTTTACATGAAGATATTTCGTTGTCAACCGTAGGCTTCAAAGCACTCAAAGTATTCACTTGGAACTTTTACAAAAAGAGTGTTAGAAAACTGCTCTTTCCAAAGTAAGGTTCAACTCTGTGAGTTGAATGCACACATAACAATCAAGAAGTTTCTGAGAATTCTTCTGTCCTGGTTTATATGAAAAAATCCCGTTTCCAACGAAGGCCTCAAAGACGTTTAAATATCCACTTGCAGACTTCACAAACAGAGGGTTTCCAAACTGCATTATGAAAAGAAAGGTTAAACTGCTGTGAGTTGAACACACACATCACAAAGTAGCTTCTGAGAATGATACTGTCTAGTTTGCATACGAAGATATTTCCTTTCTACCATTGGCGTCAAAGCGCTAGAATTCTCCACTTGCAAATTCCACAAAAAGAGTGTTTCCAATCTGCTCTGTCTAAAGGAAGGTTCAACTCTGTGAGTTGAATACACACACACAAAGAAGCTACTGAGAATTCTTTTGTCAAGAATTATAAGAAGAAATCCCGTTTCCAACGAAGGCCTCAAAGAGTTCCAAATATCCACTTGCACACTGCACAAACTAAGTCTTTCCAAACTGCTCTATGCAAAGAAATGTTCAACTCTGTGAGTTTAATACACACATCACAAAGCAGTTTCTGAGAATGATACTGTCTAGTTTTTATACGAAGATATTTCCTTTTGTACCATTGGCCTCATACTGCTAGAATTTTCCACTTGCAAATTCCACAAAAAGAGTGTTTCCAATCCGCTCTGTCTAAAGGAAGGTTCAACTCTCTGATTTGAATACATACATCCCAAAAGAAGTTACTGAGAATTCTTCTGTCTAGCATTATGTGAAGAAATCCCGTTTCCAACGAAAGCCTCAAAGAGGTCCAAATATCCAGTTGCAGAATTTACAAACTGACTGTTTCCAAACTCATCTATGAAAAGAAAGGTTAAACTCTGGGAGTTGAATGCACATATCACAAAGTAGTTCCTGAGAATGATTCTGTCTAGTTTTTATACGAAGATATTTCCTTTTCCACCAATGGCCTCAAAGTGCTTGAAATCTCCCCTTGCAAATTCCACAGACAAGTGTCTCAAATCTGCACTGTCTAAAGGAAGGTTCAACCCTGTGAGTTGAATACACACACACAGAAAAAAATTCACTGAGAATTCTATTGTCTATCATTACACGAAGAAATCCCGTTTACCACGAAGGCCTCAAAGAGGTCCAAATATCCAGCTGCAGACATTACAAACTGAGTGTTTCCAAAGTGCTCTATGAAAAGAAGTGTTAAACACTGTGAGTTCAATGCACACATCCCAAAGCAGTTTCTGAGAATGATTCCGTCTATTTTTTCTACGAAGATATTTCCTTTTCTGCCGTTGGCCTCAAAGCGCTTGAAATCTCCACTTGCAAATTCCACAAAGAGAGAGTTTCAAATCTGCTCTGTCTAAAGGAAGGTTCAACTCTGTGAGTTGAATACACACCACAAAAAGAAGTTACTGAGAATTCTTCTGTCTAGCATTATATGAAAAATCCCGTTTCCAACGAAGGCCACAAAGAGGTCCAAATATCCACTTGCAGATTCTGCAAAAAGAGTGTTTCCAAACTGCTCTATGAAAAGAAACGTTAAACTCTGTGAGTTGAACGCAAACATCACAAAGTAGTTTCTGAGAATGACTCCTGTCTAGTTTATATACGAAGATATTTCCTTTTCTACCATTCACTTCAAAGCGCTTGAAGTCTCCCCCTGAAAATTCCACAAAAAGTGTTTCCAATCTGCTCCGCCTAAAGGAAGCTTCAACTCTGTGAGTTGAATACCCACAACCCAAAGAAGTTACTGAGAATTCTTCTGTCTAGCACTATATGAAGAAATCCCGTTTCCAACGAAGGCCTCAAATACATCCAAATATCCAGTTGCTGACTTTACAAACTGAGTGTTTCCAAACTGCTCTATGAAAAGAAAGGTTAAACACTGTGAGTTGAACACACACGTACCAAAGTAGTTTCTGAGAATGATTCTGTCTAGTTTGCATACGAAGATATTTCCTTTTCTACCATTGGCCTCAAAGCTCTGAAATCTCCACTTGCAAATTCCACAAAAAGAGAGTTTCAACTCTGCTGTTTCTAAAGGAAAGTTCAACTCTGAGAGTTGAATACACACCAGAAAAAGCAGTTACTGAGAAGTCTTCTGTCTAGCATTATATGAAGAAATCCCATTTCCAACGAAGACTTCAAAGAGGTCCAAATATCCACTTGCAGATTCTGCAAAAAGAGTGTTTCGAAACAACTGTATGAAAAGAAAGGTTAAACACTGTGAGTTGAACGCACACATTGCAAAGCGGTTTCTGAGAATGATTCCGTCTAATTATTATACGAAGGTATTTCCTTTTCTATCATTGGCCTCAAAGCGCTTGATACCTCCACCTGAAAATTCCACAAAAAGAGTGTTTCCAATCTACTCTGTCTAAAGGAACGTTCAACTCTGTGAGTTGAATACACACACACAGAAAGAATTCACTGAGAATTCTTCTGTCTGGCATTACATGAAGAAATCCCGTTTCCAACGAAGGCCTCAAAGAGGTCCAAATATCCACTTGCAGATTCTGCAAAAAGAGTGTTTCAAAACCGCTCCATTAAAAGGAATGTTGAACTCTGTGAGTTGAATGCAAACATCACAACTCAGTTTCTGAGAATGCTTCTGACTAGATTTTATGGTAAGATATTTCCTTTTCTACCGTAGGCTTCAATGCCCTCTAAATACACCCTTGCAAATTCTACAAAGAGACTGTTTCATAACTGCTCTATAGGAAGAAAGGTTGAACTCTGTGAGTTGACTGCAGAGATCACAACGTGGTTTCTGCGAATGATTCTTTGTAGTTTTTACATGAAGATATTTCGTTGTCAACCGTAGGCTTCAAAGCACTCAAAGTATTCACTTGGAACTTTTACAAAAAGAGTGTTAGAAAACTGCTCTTTCCAAAGTAAGGTTCAACTCTGTGAGTTGAATGCACACATAACAATCAAGAAGTTTCTGAGAATTCTTCTGTCCTGGTTTATATGAAAAAATCCCGTTTACAACGAAGGCCTCAAAGACGTTTAAATATCCACTTGCAGACTTCACAAACAGAGGGTTTCCAAACTGCTCTATGAAAAGAAAGGTTAAACTCTGTGAGTTGAACGCACACATCACAAAGTAGCTTCTGAGAATGATACTGTCTAGTTTTTATACGAAGATATTTCCTTTCTACCATTGGCGTCAAAGCGCTAGAATTCTCCACTTGCAAATTCCACAAAAAGAGTGTTTCCAATCTGCTCTGTCTAAAGGAAGGTTCAACTCTGTGAGTTGAATACACACACACAAAGAAGCTACTGAGAATTCTTTTGTCAAGAATTATAAGAAGAAATCCCGTTTCCAACGAAGGCCTCAAAGAGTTCCAAATATCCACTTGCACACTGCACAAACTAAGTCTTTCCAAACTGCTCTATGCAAAGAAATGTTCAACTCTGTGAGTTTAATACACACATCACAAAGCAGTTTCTGAGAATGATACTGTCTAGTTTTTATACGAAGATATTTCCTTTTGTACCATTGGCCTCATACTGCTAGAATTTTCCACTTGCAAATTCCACAAAAAGAGTGTTTCCAATCCGCTCTGTCTAAAGGAAGGTTCAACTCTCTGATTTGAATACATACATCCCAAAAGAAGTTACTGAGAATTCTTCTGTCTAGCATTATGTGAAGAAATCCCGTTTCCAACGAAAGCCTCAAAGAGGTCCAAATATCCAGTTGCAGAATTTACAAACTGACTGTTTCCAAACTCATCTATGAAAAGAAAGGTTAAACTCTGGGAGTTGAATGCACATATCACAAAGTAGTTCCTGAGAATGATTCTGTCTAGTTTTTATACGAAGATATTTCCTTTTCCACCAATGGCCTCAAAGTGCTTGAAATCTCCCCTTGCAAATTCCACAGACAAGTGTTTCAAATCTGCACTGTCTAAAGGAAGGTTCAACCCTGTGAGTTGAATACACACACACAGAAACAAATTCACTGAGAATTCTATTGTCTATCATTACACGAAGAAATCCCGTTTACTACGAAGGCCTCAAAGAGGTCCAAATATCCAGCTGCAGACATTACAAACTGAGTGTTTCCAAAGTGCTCTATGAAAAGAAGTGTTAAACACTGTGAGTTCAATGCACACATCCCAAAGCAGTTTCTGAGAATGATTCCGTCTATTTTTTCTACGAAGATATTTCCTTTTCTACCGTTGGCCTCAAAGCGCTTGAAATCTCCACTTGCAAATTCCACAAAAAGAGAGTTTCAAATCTGCTCTGTCTAAAGGAAGGTTCAACTCTGTGAGTTGAATACACACCACAAAAAGAAGTTACTGAGAATTCTTCTGTCTAGCATTATATGAAAAATCCCGTTTGCAACGAAGGCCACAAAGAAGTCCAAATATCCACTTGCAGATTCTGCAAAAAGAGTGTTTCCAAACTGCTCTATGAAAAGAAACGTTAAACTCTGTGAGTTGAACGCAAACATCACAAAGTAGTTTCTGAGAATGACTCCGTCTAGTTTTTATACGAAGATATTTCCTTTCCTACCATTCACTTCAAAGCGCTTGAAGTCTCCCCCTGAAAATTCCACAAAAAGTGTTTCCAATCTGCTCCGCCTAAAGGAAGCTTCAACTCTGTGACTTGAATACCCACAACCCAAAGAAGTTACTGAGAATTCTTCTGTCTAGCATTATATGAAGAAATCCCGTTTCCAACGAAGGCCTCAAATACATCCAAGTATCCAGTTGCTGACTTTACAAACTGAGTGTTTCCAAACTGCTCTATGAAAAGAAAGGTTAAACACTGTGAGTTGAACACACACGTACCAAAGTAGTTTCTGAGAATGATTCTGTCTAGTTTGCATACGAAGATATTTCCTTTTCTACCATTGGCCTCAAAGCTCTGAAATCTCCACTTGCAAATTCCACAAAAAGAGAGTTTCAAATCTGCTGTTTCTAAAGGAAAGTTCAACTCTGAGAGTTGAATACACACCAGAAAAAGCAGTTACTGAGAAGTCTTCTGTCTAGCATTATATGAAGAAATCCCATTTCCAACGAAGACTTCAAAGAGGTCCAAATATCCACTTGCAGATTCTGCAAAAAGAGTGTTTCGAAACAACTGTATGAAAAGAAAGGTTAAACACTGTGAGTTGAACGCACACATTGCAAAGCAGTTTCTGAGAATGATTCCGTCTAATTATTATACGAAGGTATTTCCTTTTCTATCATTGGCCTCAAAGCGCATGATACCTCCACCTGAAAATTCCACAAAAAGAGTGTTTCCAATCTACTCTGTCTAAAGGAACGTTCAACTCCGTGAGTTGAATACACACACACAGAAAGAATTCACTGAGAATTCTTCTGTCTGGCATTACATGAAGAAATCCCGTTTCCAACGAAGGCCTCAAAGAGGTCCAAATATCCACTTGCAGATTCTGCAAAAAGAGTGTTTCAAAACCGCTCCATTAAAAGGAATGTTGAACTCTGTGAGTTGAATGCAAACATCACAACTCAGTTTCTGAGAATGCTTCTGACTAGATTTTATGGTAAGATATTTCCTTTTCTACCGTAGGCTTCAATGCCCTCTAAATACACCCTTGCAAATTCTACAAAGAGACTGTTTCATAACTGCTCTATAGGAAGAAAGGTTCAACTCTGTGAGTTGAATGCAGAGATCACAACGTGGTTTCTGCGAATGATTCTTTGTAGTTTTTACAGGAAGATATTTCGTTGTCAACCGTAGGCTTCAAAGCACTCAAAGTATTCACTTGGAACTTTTACAAAAAGAGTGTTAGAAAACTGCTCTTTCCAAAGTAAGGTTCAACTCTGTGAGTTGAATGCACACATAACAATCAAGAAGTTTCTGAGAATTCTTCTGTCCTGGTTTATATGAAAAAATCCCGTTTCCAACGAAGGCCTCAAAGACGTTTAAATATCCACTTGCAGACTTCACAAACAGAGGGTTTCCAAACTGCTCTATGAAAAGAAAGGTTAAACTCTGTGAGTTTAATACACACATCACAAAGGAGTTTCTAAGAATGATACTGTCTAGTTTTTATACGAAGATATTTCCTTTCTACCATTGGCGTCAAAGCGCTAGAATTCTCCACTTGCAAATTCCACAAAAAGAGTGTTTCCAATCCGCTCTGTCTAAAGGAAAGTTCAACTCTCTGATTTGAATACATACATCCCAAAAGAAGTTACTGAGAATTCTTCTGTCTAGCATTATGTGAAGAAATCCCGTTTCCAACGAAAGCCTCAAAGAGGTCCAAATATCCAGTTGCAGAATTTACAAACTGACTGTTTCCAAACTCATCTATGAAAAGAAAGGTTAAACTCTGTGAGTTGAATGCACATATCACAAAGTAGTTCCTGAGAATGATTCTGTCTAGTTTTTATACGAAGATATTTCCTTTTCCACCAATGGCCTCAAAGTGCTTGAAATCTCCCCTTGCAAATTCCACAGACAAGTGTTTCAAATCTGCACTGTCTAAAGGAAGGTTCAACCCTGTGAGTTGAATACACACACACAGAAAAAAATTCACTGAGAATTCTATTGTCTATCATTACACGAAGAAATCCCGTTTACTACGAAGGCCTCAAAGAGGTCCAAATATCCAGCTGCAGACATTACAAACTGAGTGTTTCCAAAGTGCTCTATGAAAAGTAGTGTTAAACACTGTGAGTTCAATGCACACATCCCAAAGCAGTTTCTGAGAATGATGCCGTCTATTTTTTCTACGAAGATATTTCCTTTTCTGCCGTTGGCCTCAAAGCGCTTGAAATCTCCACTTGCAAATTCCACAAAAAGAGAGTTTCAAATCTGCTCTGTCTAAAGGAAGGTTCAACTCTGTGAGTTGAATACACACCACAAAAAGAAGTTACTGAGAATTCTTCTGTCTAGCATTATATGAAAAATCCCGTTTCCAACGAAGGCCACAAAGAGGTCCAAATATCCACTTGCAGATTCTGCAAAAAGAGTGTTTCCAAACTGCTCTATGAAAAGAAACGTTAAACTCTGTGAGTTGAACGCAAACATCACAAAGTAGTTTCTGAGAATGACTCCGTCTAGTTTTTATACGAAGATATTTCCTTTTCTACCATTCACTTCAAAGCGCTTGAAGTCTCCCCCTGAAAATTCCACAAAAAGTGTTTCCAATCTGCTCCGCCTAAAGGAAGCTTCAACTCTGTGAGTTGAATACCCACAACCCTAAGAAGTTACTGAGAATTCTTCTGTCTAGCACTATATGAAGAAATCCCGTTTCCAACGAAGGCCTCAAATACATCCAAATATCCAGTTGCTGACTTTACAAACTGAGTGTTTCCAAACTGCTCTATGAAAAGAAAGGTTAAACACTGTGAGTTGAACACACACGTACCAAAGTAGTTTCTGAGAATGATTCTGTCTAGTTTGCATACGAAGATATTTCCTTTTCTACCATTGGCCTCAAAGCTCTGAAATCTCCACTTGCAAATTCCACAAAAAGAGAGTTTCAAATCTGCTGTTTCTAAAGGAAAGTTCAACTCTGAGAGTTGAATACACACCAGAAAAAGCAGTTACTGAGAAGTCTTCTGTCTAGCATTATATGAAGAAATCCCATTTCCAACGAAGACTTCAAAGAGGTCCAAATATCCACTTGCAGATTCTGCAAAAAGAGTGTTTCGAAACAACTGTATGAAAAGAAAGGTTAAACACTGTGAGTTGAACGCACACATTGCAAAGCAGTTTCTGAGAATGATTCCGTCTAATTATTATACGAAGGTATTTCCTTTTCTATCATTGGCCTCAAAGCGCTTGATACCTCCACCTGAAAATTCCACAAAAAGAGTGTTTCCAATCTACTCTGTCTAAAGGAACGTTCAACTCTGTGAGTTGAATACACACACACAGAAAGAATTCACTGAGAATTCTTCTGTCTGGCATTACATGAAGAAATCCCGTTTCCAACGAAGGCCTCAAAGAGGTCCAAATATCCACTTGCAGATTCTGCAAAAAGAGTGTTTCAAAACCGCTCCATTAAAAGGAATGTTGAACTCTGTGAGTTGAATGGAAACATCACAACTCAGTTGCTGAGAATGCTTCTGACTAGATTTTATGGTAAGATATTTCCTTTTCTACCGTAGGCTTCAATGCCCTCTAAATACACCCTTGCAAATTCTACAAAGAGACTGTTTCATAACTGCTCTATAGGAAGAAAGGTTGAACTCTGTGAGTTGACTGCAGAGATCACAACGTGGTTTCTGCGAATGATTCTTTGTAGTTTTTACATGAAGATATTTCGTTGTCTACCGTAGGCTTCAAAGCACTCAAAGTATTCACTTGGAACTTTCACAAAAAGAGTGTTAGAAAACTGCTCTTTCCAAAGTAAGGTTCAACTCTGTGAGTTGAATGCACACATAACAAACAAGAAGTTTCTGAGAATTCTTCTGTCCTGGTTTATATGAACAAATCCCGTTTCCAACGAAGGCCTCAAAGCACGTTTAAATATATACCTGCAGACTTCACAAACAGAGTGTTTCCAAACTGCTCTATGAAAAGAAAGGTTAAACTCTGTGAGTTGAACGCACACATCACAAAGTAGTTTCTGAGAATGATAACTGTCTAGTTTTTATACGAAGATATTTCCTTTCTACCATTGGCGTCAAAGCGCTAGAATTCTCCACTTGCAAATTCCACAAAAAGAGTGTTTCCAATCTGCTCTGTCTCAAGGAAGGTTCAACTCTGTGAGTTGAATACACACACACAAAGAAGCTACTGAGAATTCTTTTGTCAAGAATTATAAGAAGAAATCCCGTTTCCAACGAAGGCCTCAAAGAGTTCCAAATATCCACTTGCACACTGCACAAACTAAGTCTTTCCAAACTGCTCTATGCAAAGAAATGTTCAACTCTGTGAGTTTAATACACACATCACAAAGCAGATTCTGAGAATGATACTGTCTAGTTTTTATACGAAGATATTTCCTTTTGTACCATTGGCCTCATACTGCTAGAATTTTCCACTTGCAAATTCCACAAAAAGAGTGTTTCCAATCCGCTCTGTCTAAAGGAAGGTTCAACTCTCTGATTTGAATACATACATCCCAAAAGAAGTTACTGAGAATTCTTCTGTCTAGCATTATGTGAAGAAATCCCGTTTCCAACGAAAGCCTCAAAGAGGTCCAAATATCCAGTTGCAGAATTTACAAACTGACTGTTTCCAAACTCATCTATGAAAAGAAAGGTTAAACTCTGGGAGTTGAATGCACATATCACAAAGTAGTTCCTGAGAATGATTCTGTCTAGTTTTTATACGAAGATATTTCCTTTTCCACCAATGGCCTCAAAGTGCTTGAAATCTCCCCTTGCAAATTCCACAGACAAGTGTCTCAAATCTGCACTGTCTAAAGGAAGGTTCAACCCTGTGAGTTGAATACACACACACAGAAAAAAATTCACTGAGAATTCTATTGTCTATCATTACACGAAGAAATCCCGTTTACTACGAAGGCCTCAAAGAGGTCCAAATATCCAGCTGCAGACATTACAAACTGAGTGTTTCCAAAGTGCTCTATGAAAAGAAGTGTTAAACACTGTGAGTTCAATGCACACATCCCAAAGCAGTTTCTGAGAATGATTCCGTCTATTTTTTCTACGAAGATATTTCCTTTTCTGCCGTTGGCCTCAAAGCGCTTGAAATCTCCACTTGCAAATTCCACAAAAAGAGAGTTTCAAATCTGCTCTGTCTAAAGGAAGGTTCAACTCTGTGAGTTGAATACACACCACAAAAAGAAGTTACTGAGAATTCTTCTGTCTAGCATTATATGAAAAATCCCGTTTCCAACGAAGGCCACAAAGAGGTCCAAATATCCACTTGCAGATTCTGCAAAAAGAGTGTTTCCAAACTGCTCTATGAAAAGAAACGTTAAACTCTGTGAGTTGAACGCAAACATCACAAAGTAGTTTCTGAGAATGACTCCGTCTAGTTTTTATACGAAGATATTTCCTTTCCTACCATTCACTTCAAAGCGCTTGAAGTCTCCCCCTGAAAATTCCACAAAAAGTGTTTCCAATCTGCTCCGCCTAAAGGAAGCTTCAACTCTGTGAGTTGAATACCCACAACCCAAAGAAGTTACTGAGAATTCTTCTGTCTAGCATTATATGAAGAAATCCCGTTTCCAACGAAGGCCTCAAATACATCCAAATATCCAGTTGCTGACTTTACAAACTGAGTGTTTCCAAACTGCTCTATGAAAAGAAAGGTTAAACACTGTGAGTTGAACACACACGTACCAAAGTAGTTTCTGAGAATGATTCTGTCTAGTTTGCATACGAAGATATTTCCTTTTCTACCATTGGCCTCAAAGTTCTGAAATCTCCACTTGCAAATTCCACAAAAAGAGAGTTTCAAATCTGCTGTTTCTAAAGGAAAGTTCAACTCTGAGAGTTGAATACACACCAGAAAAAGCAGTTACTGAGAAGTCTTCTGTCTAGCATTATATGAAGAAATCCCATTTCCAACGAAGACTTCAAAGAGGTCCAAATATCCACTTGCAGATTCTGCAAAAAGAGTGTTTCGAAACAACTGTATGAAAAGAAAGGTTAAACACTGTGAGTTGAACGCACACATTGCAAAGCAGTTTCTGAGAATGATTCCGTCTAATTATTATACGAAGGTATTTCCTTTTCTATCATTGGCCTCAAAGCGCTTGATACCTCCACCTGAAAATTCCACAAAAAGAGTGTTTCCAATCTACTCTGTCTAAAGGAACGTTCAACTCTGTGAGTTGAATACACACACACAGAAAGAATTCACTGAGAATTCTTCTGTCTGGCATTACATGAAGAAATCCCGTTTCCAACGAAGGCCTCAAAGAGGTCCAAATATCCACTTGCAGATTCTGCAAAAAGAGTGTTTCAAAACCGCTCCATTAAAAGGAATGTTGAACTCTGTGAGTTGAATGCAAACATCACAACTCAGTTACTGAGAATGCTTCTGACTAGATTTTATGGTAAGATATTTCCTTTTCTACCGTAGGCTTCAATGCCCTCTAAATACACCCTTGCAAATTCTACAAAGAGACTGTTTCATAACTGCTCTATAGGAAGAAAGGTTGAACTCTGTGAGTTGACTGCAGAGATCACAACGTGGTTTCTGCGAATGATTCTTTGTAGTTTTTACATGAAGATATTTCGTTGTCAACCGTAGGCTTCAAAGCACTCAAAGTATTCACTTGGAACTTTTACAAAAAGAGTGTTAGAAAACTGCTCTTTCCAAAGTAAGGTTCAACTCTGTGAGTTGAATGCACACATAACAATCAAGAAGTTTCTGAGAATTCTTCTGTCCTGGTTTATATGAAAAAATCCCGTTTCCAACGAAGGCCTCAAAGACGTTTAAATATCCACTTGCAGACTTCACAAACAGAGGGTTTCCAAACTGCTCTATGAAAAGAAAGGTTAAACTCTGTGAGTTGAACGCACACATCACAAAGTAGCTTCTGAGAATGATACTGTCTAGTTTTTATACGGAGATATTTCCTTTCCTACCATTGGCGTCAAAGCGCTAGAATTCTCCACTTGCAAATTCCACAAAAAGTGGGTTTCCAATCTGCTCTGCCTAAAGGCAGGTTCAACTCTGTGAGTTGAATACACACACACAAAGAAGCTACTGAGAATTCTTTTGTCAAGAATTATAAGAAGAAATCCCGTTTCCAACGAAGGCCTCAAAGAGTTCCAAATATCCACTTGCACACTGCACAAACTAAGTCTTTCCAAACTGCTCTATGCAAAGAAATGTTCAACTCTGTGAGTTTAATACACACATCACAAAGCAGTTTCTGAGAATGATACTGTCTAGTTTTTATACGAAGATATTTCCTTTTGTACCATTGGCCTCATACTGCTAGAATTTTCCACTTGCAAATTCCACAAAAAGAGTGTTTCCAATCCGCTCTGTCTAAAGGAAGGTTCAACTCTCTGATTTGAATACATACATCCCAAAAGAAGTTACTGAGAATTCTTCTGTCTAGCATTATGTGAAGAAATCCCGTTTCCAACGAAAGCCTCAAAGGAGGTCCAAATATCCAGTTGCAGAATTTACAAACTGACTGTTTCCAAACTCATCTATGAAAAGAAAGGTTAAACCCTGTGAGTTGAATGCACATATCACAAAGTACTTCCTGAGAATGATTCTGTCTAGTTTTTATACGAAGATATTTCCTTTTCCACCAATGGCCTCAAAGTGCTTGAAATCTCCCCTTGCAAATTCCACAGAAAAGTGTTTCAAATCTGCACTGCCTGAAGGAAGGTTCAACCCTGTGAGTTGAATACACACACACAGAAAAAAATTCACTGAGAATTCTATTGTCTATCATTACACGAAGAAATCCCGTTTACTACGAAGGCCTCAAAGAGGTCCAAATATCCAGCTGCAGACATTACAAACTGAGTGTTTCCAAAGTGCTCTATGAAAAGAAGTGTTAAACACTGTGAGTTCAATGCACACATCCCAAAGCAGTTTCTGAGAATGATTCCGTCTATTTTTTCTACGAAGATATTTCCTTTTCTACCGTTGGCCTCAAAGCGCTTGAAATCTCCACTTGCAAATTCCACAAAAAGAGAGTTTCAAATCTGCTCTGTCTAAAGGAAGGTTCAACTCTGTGAGTTGAATACACACCACAAAAAGAAGTTACTGAGAATTCTTCTGTCTAGCATTATATGAAAAATCCCGTTTCCAACGAAGGCCACAAAGAGGTCCAAATATCCACTTGCAGATTCTGCAAAAAGAGTGTTTCCAAACTGCTCTATGAAAAGAAACGTTAAACTCTGTGAGTTGAACGCAAACATCACAAAGTAGTTTCTGAGAATGACTCCGTCTAGTTTTTATACGACGATATTTCCTTTCCTACCATTCACTTCAAAGCGCTTGAAGTCTCCCCCTGAAAATTCCACAAAAAGTGTTTCCAATCTGCTCCGCCTAAAGGAAGCTTCAACTCTGTGACTTGAATACCCACAACCCAAAGAAGTTACTGAGAATTCTTCTGTCTAGCATTATATGAAGAAATCCCGTTTCCAACGAAGGCCTCAAATACATCCAAATATCCAGTTGCTGACTTTACAAACTGAGTGTTTCCAAACTGCTCTATGAAAAGAAAGGTTAAACACTGTGAGTTGAACACACACGTACCAAAGTAGTTTCTGAGAATGATTCTGTCTAGTTTGCATACGAAGATATTTCCTTTTCTACCATTGGCCTCAAAGCTCTGAAATCTCCCCTTGCAAATTCCACAAAAAGAGAGTTTCAAATCTGCTGTTTCTAAAGGAAAGTTCAACTCTGAGAGTTGAATACACACCAGAAAAAGCAGTTACTGAGAAGTCTTCTGTCTAGCATTATATGAAGAAATCCCATTTCCAACGAAGACTTCAAAGAGGTCCAAATATCCACTTGCAGATTCTGCAAAAAGAGTGTTTCGAAACAACTGTATGAAAAGAAAGGTTAAACACTGTGAGTTGAACGCACACATTGCAAAGCAGTTTCTGAGAATGATTCCGTCTAATTATTATACGAAGGTATTTCCTTTTCTATCATTGGCCTCAAAGCGCTTGATACCTCCACCTGAAAATTCCACAAAAAGAGTGTTTCCAATCTACTCTGTCTAAAGGAACGTTCAACTCTGTGAGTTGAATACACACACACAGAAAGAATTCACTGAGAATTCTTCTGTCTGGCATTACATGAAGAAATCCCGTTTCCAACGAAGGCCTCAAAGAGGTCCAAATATCCACTTGCAGATTCTGCAAAAAGAGTGTTTCAAAACCGCTCCATTAAAAGGAATGTTGAACTCTGTGAGTTGAATGGAAACATCACAACTCAGTTGCTGAGAATGCTTCTGACTAGATTTTATGGTAAGATATTTCCTTTTCTACCGTAGGCTTCAATGCCCTCTAAATACACCCTTGCAAATTCTACAAAGAGACTGTTTCATAACTGCTCTATAGGAAGAAAGGTTCAACTCTGTGAGTTGAATGCAGAGATCACAACGTGGTTTCTGCGAATGATTCTTTGTAGTTTTTACAGGAAGATATTTCGTTGTCAACCGTAGGCTTCAAAGCACTCAAAGTATTCACTTGGAACTTTTACAAAAAGAGTGTTAGAAAACTGCTCTTTCCAAAGTAAGGTTCAACTCTGTGAGTTGAATGCACACATAACAATCAAGAAGTTTCTGAGAATTCTTCTGTCCTGGTTTATATGAAAAAATCCCGTTTCCAACGAAGGCCTCAAAGACGTTTAAATATCCACTTGCAGACTTCACAAACAGAGGGTTTCCAAACTGCTCTATGAAAAGAAAGGTTAAACTCTGTGAGTTTAATACACACATCACAAAGCAGTTTCTGAGAATGATACTGTCTAGTTTTTATACGAAGATATTTCCTTTTGTACCATTGGCCTCATACTGCTAGAATTTTCCACTTGCAAATTCCACAAAAAGAGTGTTTCCAATCCGCTCTGTCTAAAGGAAGGTTCAACTCTCTGATTTGAATACATACATCCCAAAAGAAGTTACTGAGAATTCTTCTGTCTAGCATTATGTGAAGAAATCCCGTTTCCAACGAAAGCCTCAAAGAGGTCCAAATATCCAGTTGCAGAATTTACAAACTGACTGTTTCCAAACTCATCTATGAAAAGAAAGGTTAAACTCTGTGAGTTGAATGCACATATCACAAAGTAGTTCCTGAGAATGATTCTGTCTAGTTTTCATACGAAGATATTTCCTTTTCCACCAATGGCCTCAAAGTGCTTGAAATCTCCCCTTGCAAATTCCACAGACAAGTGTTTCAAATCTGCACTGTCTAAAGGAAGGTTCAACCCTGTGAGTTGAATACACACACACAGAAAAAAATTCACTGAGAATTCTATTGTCTATCATTACACGAAGAAATCCCGTTTACTACGAAGGCCTCAAAGAGGTCCAAATATCCAGCTGCAGACATTACAAACTGAGTGTTTCCAAAGTGCTCTATGAAAAGAAGTGTTAAACACTGTGAGTTCAATGCACACATCCCAAAGCAGTTTCTGAGAATGATTCCGTCTATTTTTTCTACGAAGATATTTCCTTTTCTACCGTTGGCCTCAAAGCGCTTGAAATCTCCACTTGCAAATTCCACAAAAAGAGAGTTTCAAATCTGCTCTGTCTAAAGGAAGGTTCAACTCTGTGAGTTGAATACACACCACAAAAAGAAGTTACTGAGAATTCTTCTGTCTAGCATTATATGAAAAATCCCGTTTCCAACGAAGGCCACAAAGAGGTCCAAATATCCACTTGCAGATTCTGCAAAAAGAGTGTTTCCAAACTGCTCTATGAAAAGAAACGTTAAACTCTGTGAGTTGAACGCAAACATCACAAAGTAGTTTCTGAGAATGACTCCGTCTAGTTTTTATACGAAGATATTTCCTTTCCTACCATTCACTTCAAAGCGCTTGAAGTCTCCCCCTGAAAATTCCACAAAAAGTGTTTCCAATCTGCTCCGCCTAAAGGAAGCTTCAACTCTGTGACTTGAATACCCACAACCCAAAGAAGTTACTGAGAATTCTTCTGTCTAGCATTATATGAAGAAATCCCGTTTCCAACGAAGGCCTCAAATACATCCAAATATCCAGTTGCTGACTTTACAAACTGAGTGTTTCCAAACTGCTCTATGAAAAGAAAGGTTAAACACTTGTGAGTTGAACACACACGTACCAAAGTAGTTTCTGAGAATGATTCTGTCTAGTTTGCATACGAAGATATTTCCTTTTCTACCATTGGCCTCAAAGCTTTGAAATCTCCACTTGCAAATTCCACAAAAAGAGAGTTTCAACTCTGCTGTTTCTAAAGGAAAGTTCAACTCTGAGAGTTGAATACACACCAGAAAAAGCAGTTACTGAGAAGTCTTCTGTCTAGCATTATATGAAGAAATCCCATTTCCAACGAAGACTTCAAAGAGGTCCAAATATCCACTTGCAGATTCTGCAAAAAGAGTGTTTCGAAACAACTGTATGAAAAGAAAGGTTAAACACTGTGAGTTGAACGCACACATTGCAAAGCAGTTTCTGAGAATGATTCCGTCTAATTATTATACGAAGGTATTTCCTTTTCTATCATTGGTCTCAAAGCGCTTGATACCTCCACCTGAAAATTCCACAAAAAGAGTGTTTCCAATCTACTCTGTCTAAAGGAACGTTCAACTCTGTGAGTTGAATACACACACACAGAAAGAATTCACTGAGAATTCTTCTGTCTGGCATTACATGAAGAAATCCCGTTTCCAACGAAGGCCTCAAAGAGGTCCAAATATCCACTTGCAGATTCTGCAAAAAGAGTGTTTCAAAACCGCTCCATGAAAAGGAATGTTGAACTCTGTGAGTTGAATGCAAACATCACAACTCAGTTGCTGAGAATGCTTCTGACTAGATTTTATGGTAAGATATTTCCTTTTCTACCGTAGGCTTCAATGCCCTCTAAATACACCCTTGCAAATTCTACAAAGAGACTGTTTCATAACTGCTCTATAGGAAGAAAGGTTGAACTCTGTGAGTTGACTGCAGAGATCACAACGTGGTTTCTGCGAATGATTCTTTGTAGTTTTTACATGAAGATATTTCGTTGTCAACCGTAGGCTTCAAAGCACTCAAAGTATTCACTTGGAACTTTTACAAAAAGAGTGTTAGAAAACTGCTCTTTCCAAAGTAAGGTTCAACTCTGTGAGTTGAATGCACACATAACAATCAAGAAGTTTCTGAGAATTCTTCTGTCCTGGTTTATATGAAGAAATCCCGTTTCCAACGAAGGCCTCAAAGACGTTTAAATATCCACTTGCAGACTTCACAAACAGAGTGTTTCCAAACTGCTCTATGAAAAGAAAGGTTAAACTCTGTGAGTTGAACGCACACATCACAAAGTAGCTTCTGAGAATGATACTGTCTAGTTTTTATACGAAGATATTTCCTTTCTACCATTGGCGTCAAAGCGCTAGAATTCTCCACTTGCAAATTCCACAAAAAGAGTGTTTCCAATCTGCTCTGTCTAAAGGAAGGTTCAACTCTGTGAGTTGAATACACACACACAAAGAAGCTACTGAGAATTCTTTTGTCAAGAATTATAAGAAGAAATCCCGTTTCCAACGAAGGCCTCAAAGAGTTCCAAATATCCACTTGCACACTGCACAAACTAAGTCTTTCCAAACTGCTCTATGCAAAGAAATGTTCAACTCTGTGAGTTTAATACACACATCACAAAGCAGTTTTCTGAGAATGATACTGTCTAGTTTTTATACGAAGATATTTCCTTTTGTACCATTGGCCTCATACTGCTAGAATTTTCCACTTGCAAATTCCACAAAAAGAGTGTTTCCAATCCGCTCTGTCTAAAGGAAGGTTCAACTCTCTGATTTGAATACATACATCCCAAAAGAAGTTACTGAGAATTCTTCTGTCTAGCATTATGTGAAGAAATCCCGTTTCCAACGAAAGCCTCAAAGAGGTCCAAATATCCAGTTGCAGAATTTACAAACTGACTGTTTCCAAACTCATCTATGAAAAGAAAGGTTAAACTCTGGGAGTTGAATGCACATATCACAAAGTAGTTCCTGAGAATGATTCTGTCTAGTTTTCATACGAAGATATTTCCTTTTCCACCAATGGCCTCAAAGTGCTTGAAATCTCCCCTTGCAAATTCCACAGACAAGTGTTTCAAATCTGCACTGTCTAAAGGAAGGTTCAACCCTGTGAGTTGAATACACACACACAGAAAAAAATTCACTGAGAATTCTATTGTCTATCATTACACGAAGAAATCCCGTTTACTACGAAGGCCTCAAAGAGGTCCAAATATCCAGCTGCAGACATTACAAACTGAGTGTTTCCAAAGTGCTCTATGAAAAGAAGTGTTAAACACTGTGAGTTCAATGCACACATCCCAAAGCAGTTTCTGAGAATGATTCCGTCTATTTTTTCTACGAAGATATTTCCTTTTCTGCCGTTGGCCTCAAAGCGCTTGAAATCTCCACTTGCAAATTCCACAAAAAGAGAGTTTCAAATCTGCTCTGTCTAAAGGAAGGTTCAACTCTGTGAGTTGAATACACACCACAAAAAGAAGTTACTGAGAATTCTTCTGTCTAGCATTATATGAAAAATCCCGTTTCCAACGAAGGCCACAAAGAGGTCCAAATATCCACTTGCAGATTCTGCAAAAAGAGTGTTTCCAAACTGCTCTATGAAAAGAAACGTTAAACTCTGTGAGTTGAACGCAAACATCACAAAGTAGTTTCTGAGAATGACTCCGTCTAGTTTTTATACGAAGATATTTCCTTTTCTACCATTCACTTCAAAGCGCTTGAAGTCTCCCCCTGAAAATTCCACAAAAAGTGTTTCCAATCTGCTCCGCCTAAAGGAAGCTTCAACTCTGTGAGTTGAATACCCACAACCCAAAGAAGTTACTGAGAATTCTTCTGTCTAGCATTATATGAAGAAATCCCGTTTCCAACGAAGGCCTCAAATACATCCAAATATCCAGTTGCTGACTTTACAAACTGAGTGTTTCCAAACTGCTCTATGAAAAGAAAGGTTAAACACTGTGAGTTGAACACACACGTACCAAAGTAGTTTCTGAGAATGATTCTGTCTAGTTTGCATACGAAGATATTTCCTTTTCTACCATTGGCCTCAAAGCTCTGAAATCTCCACTTGCAAATTCCACAAAAAGAGAGTTTCAAATCTGCTGTTTCTAAAGGAAAGTTCAACTCTGAGAGTTGAATACACACCAGAAAAAGCAGTTACTGAGAAGTCTTCTGTCTAGCATTATATGAAGAAATCCCATTTCCAACGAAGACTTCAAAGAGGTCCAAATATCCACTTGCAGATTCTGCAAAAAGAGTGTTTCGAAACAACTGTATGAAAAGAAAGGTTAAACACTGTGAGTTGAACGCACACATTGCAAAGCAGTTTCTGAGAATGATTCCGTCTAATTATTATACGAAGGTATTTCCTTTTCTATCATTGGCCTCAAAGCGCTTGATACCTCCACCTGAAAATTCCACAAAAAGAGTGTTTCCAATCTACTCTGTCTAAAGGAACGTTCAACTCTGTGAGTTGAATACACACACACAGAAAGAATTCACTGAGAATTCTTCTGTCTGGCATTACATGAAGAAATCCCGTTTTCAACGAAGGCCTCAAAGAGGTCCAAATATCCACTTGCAGATTCTGCAAAAAGAGTGTTTCAAAACCGCTCCATGAAAAGGAATGTTGAACTCTGTGAGTTGAATGCAAACATCACAACTCAGTTTCTGAGAATGCTTCTGACTAGATTTTATGGTAAGATATTTCCTTTTCTACCGTAGGCTTCAATGCCCTCTAAATACACCCTTGCAAATTCTACAAAGAGACTGTTTCATAACTGCTCTATAGGAAGAAAGGTTCAACACTGTGAGTTGAATGCAGAGATCACAACGTGGTTTCTGCGAATGATTCTTTGTAGTTTTTACATGAAGATATTTCGTTGTCAACCGTAGGCTTCAAAGCACTCAAAGTATTCACTTGGAACTTTTACAAAAAGAGTGTTAGAAAACTGCTCTTTCCAAAGTAAGGTTCAACTCTGTGAGTTGAATGCACACATAACAATCAAGAAGTTTCTGAGAATTCTTCTGTCCTGGTTTATATGAAAAAATCCCGTTTCCAACGAAGGCCTCAAAGACGTTTAAATATCCACTTGCAGACTTCACAAACAGAGTGTTTCCAAACTGCTCTATGAAAAGAAAGTTTAAACTCTGTGAGTTTAACGCACACATCACAAAGTAGCTTCTGAGAATGATACTGTCTAGTTTTTATACGGAGATATTTCCTTTCCTTCCATTGGCGTCAAAGCGCTAGAATTCTCCACTTGCAAATTCCACAAAAAGAGTGTTTCCAATCTGCTCTGTCTAAAGGAAGGTTCAACTCTGTGAGTTGAATACACACACACAAAGAAGCTACTGAGAATTCTTTTGTCAAGAATTATAAGAAGAAATCCCGTTTCCAACGAAGGCCTCAAAGAGTTCCAAATATCCACTTGCACACTGCACAAACTAAGTCTTTCCAAACTGCTCTATGCAAAGAAATGTTCAACTCTGTGAGTTTAATACACACATCACAAAGCAGTTTCTGAGAATGATACTGTCTAGTTTTTATACGAAGATATTTCCTTTTGTACCATTGGCCTCATACTGCTAGAATTTTCCACTTGCAAATTCCACAAAAAGAGTGTTTCCAATCCGCTCTGTCTAAAGGAAGGTTCAACTCTCTGATTTGAATACATACATCCCAAAAGAAGTTACTGAGAATTCTTCTGTCTAGCATTATGTGAAGAAATCCCGTTTCCAACGAAAGCCTCAAAGAGGTCCAAATATCCAGTTGCAGAATTTACAAACTGACTGTTTCCAAACTCATCTATGAAAAGAAAGGTTAAACTCTGTGAGTTGAATGCACATATCACAAAGTAGTTCCTGAGAATGATTCTGTCTAGTTTTTATACGAAGATATTTCCTTTTCCACCAATGGCCTCAAAGTGCTTGAAATCTCCCCTTGCAAATTCCACAGACAAGTGTCTCAAATCTGCACTGTCTAAAGGAAGGTTCAACCCTGTGAGTTGAATACACACACACAGAAAAAAATTCACTGAGAATTCTATTGTCTATCATTACCCGAAGAAATCCCGTTTACTACGAAGGCCTCAAAGAGGTCCAAATATCCAGCTGCAGACATTCCAAACTGACTGTTTCCAAAGTGCTCTATGAAAAGAAGTGTTAAACACTGTGAGTTCAATGCACACATCCCAAAGCAGTTTCTGAGAATGATTCCGTCTATTTTTTCTACGAAGATATTTCCTTTTCTGCCGTTGGCCTCAAAGCGCTTGAAATCTCCACTTGCAAATTCCACAAAAAGAGAGTTTCAAATCTGCTCTGTCTAAAGGAAGGTTCAACTCTGTGAGTTGAATACACACCACAAAAAGAAGTTACTGAGAATTCTTCTGTCTAGCATTATATGAAAAATCCCGTTTCCAACGAAGGCCACAAAGAGGTCCAAATATCCACTTGCAGATTCTGCAAAAAGAGTGTTTCCAAACTGCTCTATGAAAAGAAACGTTAAACTCTGTGAGTTGAACGCAAACATCACAAAGTAGTTTCTGAGAATGACTCCGTCTAGTTTTTATACCGAAGATATTTCCTTTTCTACCATTCACTTCAAAGCGCTTGAAGTCTCCCCCTGAAAATTCCACAAAAAGTGTTTCCAATCTGCTCCGCCTAAAGGAAGCTTCAACTCTGTGAGTTGAATACCCACAACCCAAAGAAGTTACTGAGAATTCTTCTGTCTAGCATTATATGAAGAAATCCCGTTTCCAACGAAGGCCTCAAATACATCCAAATATCCAGTTGCTGACTTTACAAACTGAGTGTTTCCAAACTGCTCTATGAAAAGAAAGGTTAAACACTGTGAGTTGAACACACACGTACCAAAGTAGTTTCTGAGAATGATTACTGTCTAGTTTTTATACGAAGCATATTTCCTTTCTACCATTGGCGTCAAAGCGCTAGAATTCTCCACTTGCAAATTCCACAAAAAGAGTGTTTCCAATCTGCTCTGTCTAAAGGAAGGTTCAACTCTGTGAGTTGAATACACACACACAAAGAAGCTACTGAGAATTCTTTTTTCAAGAAATTATAAGAAGAAATCCCGTTTCCAACGAAGGCCTCAAAGAGTTCCAAATATCCACTTGCACACTGCACAAACTAAGTCTTTCCAAACTGCTCTATGCAAAGAAATGTTCAACTCTGTGAGTTTAATACACACATCACAAAGCAGTTTCTGAGAATGATACTGTCTAGTTTTTATACGAAGATATTTCCTTTTGTACCATTGGCCTCATACTGCTAGAATTTTCCACTTGCAAATTCCACAAAAAGAGTGTTTCCAATCCGCTCTGTCTAAAGGAAGGTTCAACTCTCTGATTTGAATACATACATCCCAAAAGAAGTTACTGAGAATTCTTCTGTCTAGCATTATGTGAAGAAATCCCGTTTCCAACGAAAGCCTCAAAGAGGTCCAAATATCCAGTTGCAGAATTTACAAACTGACTGTTTCCAAACTCATCTATGAAAAGAAAGGTTAAACTCTGTGAGTTGAATGCACATATCACAAAGTAGTTCCTGAGAATGATTCTGTCTAGTTTTTATACGAAGATATTTCCTTTTCCACCAATGGCCTCAAAGTGCTTGAAATCTCCCCTTGCAAATTCCACAGACAAGTGTTTCAAATCTGCACTGTCTAAAGGAAGGTTCAACCCTGTGAGTTGAATACACACACACAGAAAAAAATTCACTGAGAATTCTATTGTCTATCATTACACGAAGAAATCCCGTTTACTACGAAGGCCTCAAAGAGGTCCACATATCCAGCTGCAGACATTACAAACTGAGTGTTTCCAAAGTGCTCTATGAAAAGAAGTGTTAAACACTGTGAGTTCAATGCACACATCCCAAAGCAGTTTCTGAGAATGATTTCCGTCTATTTTTTCTACGAAGATATTTCCTTTTCTACCGTTGGCCTCAAAGCGCTTGAAATCTCCACTTGCAAATTCCACAAAAAGAGAGTTTCAAATCTGCTCTGTCTAAAGGAAGGTTCAACTCTGTGAGTTGAATACACACCACAAAAAGAAGTTACTGAGAATTCTTCTGTCTAGCATTATATGAAAAATCCCGTTTCCAACGAAGGCCACAAAGAGGTCCAAATATCCACTTGCAGATTCTGCAAAAAGAGTGTTTCCAAACTGCTCTATGAAAAGAAACGTTAAACTCTGTGAGTTGAACGCAAACATCACAAAGTAGTTTCTGAGAATGACTCCGTCTAGTTTTTATACGAAGATATTTCCTTTCCTACCATTCACTTCAAAGCGCTTGAAGTCTCCCCCTGAAAATTCCACAAAAAGTGTTTCCAATCTGCTCCGCCTAAAGGAAGCTTCAACTCTGTGAGTTGAATACCCACAACCCTAAGAAGTTACTGAGAATTCTTCTGTCTAGCATTATATGAAGAAATCCCGTTTCCAACGAAGGCCTCAAATACATCCAAATATCCAGTTGCTGACTTTACAAACTGAGTGTTTCCAAACTGCTCTATGAAAAGAAAGGTTAAACACTGTGAGTTGAACACACACGTACCAAAGTAGTTTCTGAGAATGATTCTGTCTAGTTTGCATACGAAGATAATTCCTTTTCTACCATTGGCCTCAAAGCTCTGAAATCTCCACTTGCAAATTCCACAAAAAGAGAGTTTCAAATCTGCTGTTTCTAAAGGAAAGTTCAACTCTGAGAGTTGAATACACACCAGAAAAAGCAGTTACTGAGAAGTCTTCTGTCTAGCATTATATGAAGAAATCCCATTTCCAACGAAGACTTCAAAGAGGTCCAAATATCCACTTGCAGATTCTGCAAAAAGAGTGTTTCGAAACAACTGTATGAAAAGAAAGGTTAAACACTGTGAGTTGAACGCACACATTGCAAAGCAGTTTCTGAGAATGATTCCGTCTAATTATTATACGAAGGTATTTCCTTTTCTATCATGGGCCGCAAAGCGCTTGATACCTCCACCTGAAACTTCCAGAAAAAGAGTGTTTCCAATCTGCTCTGTCTAAAGGAACGTTCAACTCTGTAAGTTGAATACACACACACAGAAAGAATTCACTGAGAGTTCTTCTGTCTGGCATTACATGAAGAAATCCCGTTTCCAACGAAGGCCTCAAAGAGGTCCAAATATCCACTTGCAGATTCTGCAAAAAGAGTGTTTCAAAACCGCTCCATTAAAAGGAATGTTGAACTCTGTGAGTTGAATGCAAACATCACAACTCAGTTTCCTGAGAATGCTTCTGACTAGATTTTATGGTAAGATATTTCCTTTTCTACCGTAGGCTTCAATGCCCTCTAAATACACCCTTGCAAATTCTACAAAGAGACTGTTTCATAACTGCTCTATAGGAAGAAAGGTTCAACTCTGTGAGTTGAATGCAGAGATCACAACGTGGTTTCTGCGAATGATTCTTTGTAGTTTTTACATGAAGATATTTCGTTGTCAACCGTAGGCTTCAAAGCACTCAAAGTATTCACTTGGAACTTTTACAAAAAGAGTGTTAGAAAACCGCTCTTTCCAAAGTAAGGTTCAACTCTGTGAGTTGAATGCACCCATAACAATCAAGAAGTTTCTGAGAATTCTTCTGTCCTGGTTTATATGAAAAAATCCCGTTTCCAACGAAGGCCTCAAAGACGTTTAAATATCCACTTGCAGACTTCACAAACAGAGGGTTTCCAAACTGCTCTATGAAAAGAAAGGTTAAACTCTGTGAGTTGAACGCACACATCACAAAGTAGCTTCTGAGAATGATACTGTCTAGTTTTTATACGAAGATATTTCCTTTCTACCATTGGCGTCAAAGCGCTAGAATTCTCCACTTGCAAATTCCACAAAAAGAGTGTTTCCAATCTGCTCTGTCTAAAGGAAGGTTCAACTCTGTGAGTTGAATACACACACACAAAGAAGATACTGAGAATTCCTTTTTCAAGAAATTATAAGAAGAAATCCCGTTTCCAACGAAGGCCTCAAAGAGTTCCAAATATCCACTTGCACACTGCACAAACTAAGTCTTTCCAAACTGCTCTATGCAAAGAAATGTTCAACTCTGTGAGTTTAATACACACATCACAAAGCAGTTTCTGAGAATGATACTGTCTAGTTTTTATACGAAGATATTTCCTTTTGTACCATTGGCCTCATACTGCTAGAATTTTCCACTTGCAAATTCCACAAAAAGAGTGTTTCCAATCCGCTCTGTCTAAAGGAAGGTTCAACTCTCTGATTTGAATACATACATCCCAAAAGAAGTTACTGAGAATTCTTCTGTCTAGCATTATGTGAAGAAATCCCGTTTCCAACGAAAGCCTCCAAGAGGTCCAAATATCCAGTTGCAGAATTTACAAACTGACTGTTTCCAAACTCATCTATGAAAAGAAAGGTTAAACTCTGTGAGTTGAATGCACATATCACAAAGTAGTTCCTGAGAATGATTCTGTCTAGTTTTTATACGAAGATATTTCCTTTTCCACCAATGGCCTCAAAGTGCTTGAAATCTCCCCTTGCAAATTCCACAGACAAGTGTTTCAAATCTGCACTGTCTAAAGGAAGGTTCAACCCTGTGAGTTGAATACACACACACAGAAAAAAATTCACTGAGAATTCTATTGTCTATCATTACACGAAGAAATCCCGTTTACTACGAAGGCCTCAAAGAGGTCCAAATATCCAGCTGCAGACATTACAAACTGAGTGTTTCCAAAGTGCTCTATGAAAAGAAGTGTTAAACACTGTGAGTTCAATGCACACATCCCAAAGCAGTTTCTGAGAATGATTCCGTCTATTTTTTCTACGAAGATATTTCCTTTTCTGCCGTTGGCCTCAAAGCGCTTGAAATCTCCACTTGCAAATTCCACAAAAAGAGAGTTTCAAATCTGCTCTGTCTAAAGGAAGGTTCAACTCTGTGAGTTGAATACACACCACAAAAAGAAGTTACTGAGAATTCTTCTGTCTAGCATTATATGAAAAATCCCGTTTCCAACGAAGGCCACAAAGAGGTCCAAATATCCACTTGCAGATTCTGCAAAAACAGTGTCTCCAAACTGCTCTATGAAAAGAAACGTTAAACTCTGTGAGTTGAACGCAAACATCACAAAGTAGTTTCTGAGAATGACTCCGTCTAGTTTTTATACGAAGGATATTTCCTTTTCTACCGTTGGCCTCAAAGCGCTTGAAGTCTCCCCCTGAAAATTCCACAAAAAGTGTTTCCAATCTGCTCCGCCTAAAGGAAGCTTCAACTCTGTGAGTTGAATACCCACAACCCAAAGAAGTTACTGAGAATTCTTCTGTCTCGCATTATATGAAGAAATCCCGTTTCCAACGAAGGCCTCAAATACATCCAAATATCCAGTGGCTGACTTTACAAACTGAGTGTTTCCAAACTGCTCTATGAAAGGAAAGGTTAAACACTGTGAGTTGAACACACACGTACCAAAGTAGTTTCTGAGAATGATTCTGTCTAGTTTGCATACGAAGATATTTCCTTTTCTACCATTGGCCTCAAAGCTTTGAAATCTCCACTTGCAAATTCCACAAAAAGAGAGTTTCAAATCTGCTGTTTCTAAAGGAAAGTTCAACTCTGAGAGTTGAATACACACCAGAAAAAGCAGTTATTGAGAATTCTTCTGTCTAGCATTATATGAAGAAATCCCATTTCCAACGAAGACTTCAAAGAGGTCCAAATATCCACTTGCAGATTCTGCAAAAAGAGTGTTTCGAAACAACTGTATGAAAAGAAAGGTTAAACGCTGTGAGTTGAAGGCACACATTGCAAAGCAGTTTCTGAGAATGATTCCGTCTAATTATTATACGAAGGTATTTCCTTTTCTATCATGGGCCTCAAAGCGCTTGATACCTCCACCTGAAAATTCCAAAAAAAGAGTGTTTCCAATCTACTCTGTCTAAAGGAACGTTCAACTCTGTGAGTTGAATACACACACACAGAAAGAATTCACTGAGAGTTCTTCTGTCTGGCATTACATGAAGAAATCCCGTTTCCAACGAAGTCCTGAAAGAGGTCCAAATATCCACTTGCAGATTCTGCAAAAAGAGTGTTTCAAAACCGCTCTATGAAAAGGAATGTTGAACTCTGTGAGTTGAATGCAAACATCACAACTCAGTTTCTGAGAATGCTTCTGACTAGATTTTATGGTCAGATATTTCCTTTTCTACCGTAGGCCTCAATGCCCTCTAAATACACCCTTGCAAATTCTACAAAGGGACTGTTTAATAACTGCTCTATAGGAAGAAAGGTTGAACTCTGTGAGTTGCATGCAGAGATCACAACGTGGTTTTGGCGAATGATTCTTTGTAGTTTTTACATGAAGATATTTCGTTGTCTACCGTAGGCTTCAAAGCACTCAAAGTATTCACTTGGAACTTTTACAAAAAGAGTGTTAGAAAACTGCTCTTTCCAAAGTAAGGTTCAACTCTGTGAGTTGAATGCACACATAACAAACAAGAAGTTTCTGAGAATTCTTCTGTCCTGGTTTATACGAAGAAATCGCGTTTCCAACGAAGACCTCAAAGACGTTTAAATATCCACTTGCAGACTTCACAAACAGAGTGTTTCCAAACTGCTCTATGAAAAGAAAGGGTAAACACTGTGAGTTGAACGCACACCTCACAAAGTAGTTTCTGAGAATGATACTGTCTAGTTTTTATACGAAGATATTTCCTTTTGTACCATTGGCCTCATACTGCTAGAATTTTCCACTTGCAAATTCCACAAAAAGAGTGTTTCCAATCTGCTCTGTCTAAAGGAAGGTTCAACTCTGTGAGTTGAGTACACACACACAAAGAAGCTACTGAGAATTCTTTTGTCAAGAATTATAAGAAGAAATCCCGTTTCCAACGAAGGCCTCAAAGAGTTCCAAATATCCACTTGCACACTGCACAAACTAAGTCTTTCCAAACTGCTCTATGCAAAGAAATGTTCAACTCTGTGAGTTTAATACACACATCACAAAGCAGTTTCTGAGAACGATACTGTCTAGTTTTTATACGAAGATATTTCCTTTTGTACCATTGGCCTCATACTGCTAGAATTTTCCACTTGCAAATTCCACAAAAAGAGTGTTTCCAATCCGCTCTGTCTAAAGGAAGGTTCAACTCTCTGATTTGAATACATACATCCCAAAAGAAGTTACTGAGAATTCTTCTGTCTAGCATTATGTGAAGAAATCCCGTTTCCAACGAAAGCCTCAAAGAGGTCCAAATATCCAGTTGCAGAATTTACAAACTGACTGTTTCCAAACTCATCTATGAAAAGAAAGGTTAAACTCTGTGAGTTGAATGCACATATCACAAAGTAGTTCCTGACAATGACTCTGTCTAGTTTTTATACGAAGATATTTCCTTTTCCACCAATGGCCTCAAAGTGCTTGAAATCTCCCCTTGCAAATTCCACAGACAAGTGTCTCAAATCTGCACTGTCTAAAGGAAGGTTCAACCCTGTGAGTTGAATACACACACACAGAAAAAAATTCACTGAGAATTCTATTGTCTATCATTACACGAAGAAATCCCGTTTACTACGAAGGCCTCAAAGAGGTCCAAATATCCAGCTGCAGACATTACAAACTGAGTGTTTCCAAAGTGCTCTATGAAAAGAAGTGTTAAACACTGTGAGTTCAATGCACACATCCCAAAGCAGTTTCTCAGAATGATTCCGTCTATTTTTTCTACGAAGATATTTCCTTTTCTACCGTTGGCCTCAAAGCGTTTGAAATCTCCACTTGCAAATTCCACGAAAAGAGAGTTTCAAATCTGCTCTGTCTAAAGGAAGGTTCAACTCTGTGAGTTGAATACACACCACAAAAGGAAGTTACTGAGAATTCTTCTGTCTAGCATTATATGAAAAATCCCGTTTCCAACGAAGGCCACAAAGAGGTCCAAATATCCACTTGCAGATTCTGCAAAAAGAGTGTTTCCAAACTGCTCTATGAAAAGAAACGTTAAACTCTGTGAGTTGAACGCAAACATCACAAAGTAGTTTCTGAGAATGACTCCGTCTAGTTTTTATACGAAGA
Source organism: Homo sapiens (assembly GCF_000001405.40). NCBI lineage: Eukaryota > Metazoa > Chordata > Mammalia > Primates > Hominidae > Homo > Homo sapiens. The sequence continues at coordinate 93,417,843 of NC_000003.12, read as the reverse complement.
TATTTCCTTTTCTACCGTTGGCCTCAAAGCGCTTGAAGTCTCCCCCTGAAAATTCCACAAAAAGTGTTTCCAATCTGCTCCGCCTAAAGGAAGCTTCAACTCTGTGAGTTGAATACCCACAACCCAAAGAAGTTACTGAGAATTCTTCTGTCTAGCATTACATGAAGAAATCCCGTTTCCAACGAAGGCATCAAATACATCCAGATATCCAGTTGCTGACTTTACAAACAGAGTGTTTCCAAACTGCTCTATGAAAGGAAAGGTTAAACACTGTGAGTTGAACACACACGTACCAAAGTAGTTTCTGAGAAAGATTCTGTCTACTTTACATACGAAGATATTTCCTTTTCTACCATTGGCCTCAAAGCTTTGAAATCTCCACTTGCAAATTCCACAAAAAGAGAGTTTCAAATCTGTTGTTTCTAAAGGAAAGTTCAACTCTGAGGGTTGAATACACACCAGAAAAAGCAGTTACTGAGAAGTCTTCTGTCTAGCATTATATGAAGAAATCCCATTTCCAACGAAGTCTTCAAAGAGGTCCAAATATCCACTTGCAGAATCTGCAAAAAGAGTGTTTCGAAACAACTGTATGAAAAGAAAGGTTAAACGCTGTGAGTTGAAGGCACACATTGCAAAGCAGTTTCTGAGAATGATTCCGTCTAATTATTATACGAAGGTATTTCCTTTTCTATCATTGGCCTCAAAGCGCTTGATACCTCCACCTGAAAATTCCACAAAAAGAGTGTTTCCAATCTACTCTGTCTAAAGGAACGTTCAACTCTGTGAGTTGAATACACACACACAGAAAGAATTCACTGAGAATTCTTCTGTCTGGCATTACATGAAGAAATCCCGTTTCCAACGAAGGCCTCAAAGAGGTCCAAATATCCACTTGCAGATTCTGCAAAAAGAGTGTTTCAAAACCGCTCCATTAAAAGGAATGTTGAACTCTGTGAGTTGAATGCAAACATCACAACTCAGTTTCTGAGAATGCTTCTGACTAGATTTTATGGTAAGATATTTCCTTTTCTACCGTAGGCTTCAATGCCCTGTAAATACACCCTTGCAAATTCAACAAAGAGATTGTTTCATAACTGCTCTATAGGAGGAAAGGTTCAACTCTGTGAGTTGAATGCAGAGATCACAACGTGGTTTCTGCGAATGATTCTTTGTAGTTTTTACATGAAGATATTTCGTTGTCAACCGTAGGCTTCAAAGCACTCAAAGTATTCACTTGGAACTTTTACAAAAAGAGTGTTAGAAAACTGCTCTTTCCAAAGTAAGGTTCAACTCTGTGAGTTGAATGCACACATAACAATCAAGAAGTTTCTGAGAATTCTTCTGTCCTGGTTTATAGGAACAAATCCCGTTTCCAACGAAGGCCTCAAAGACGTTTAAATATCCACTTGCAGACTTCACAAACAGAGGGTTTCCAAACTGCTCTATGAAAAGGAAGGTTAAACTCTGTGAGTTGAACGCACACATCACAAAGTAGCTTCTGAGAATGATACTGTCTAGTTTTTATACGAAGATATTTCCTTTCTACCATTGGCGTCAAAGCGCTAGAATTCTCCACTTGCAAATTCCACAAAAAGAGTGTTTCCAATCTGCTCTGTCTAAAGGAAGGTTCAACTCTGTGAGTTGAATACACACACACAAAGAAGCTACTGAGAATTCTTTTGTCAAGAATTATAAGAAGAAATCCCGTTTCCAACGAAGGCCTCAAAGAGTTCCAAATATCCACTTGCACACTGCACAAACTAAGTCTTTCCAAACTGCTCTATGCAAAGAAATGTTCAACTCTGTGAGTTTAATACACACATCACAAAGCAGTTTCTGAGAATGATACTGTCTAGTTTTTATACGAAGATATTTCCTTTTGTACCATTGGCCTCATACTGCTAGAATTTTCCACTTGCAAATTCCACAAAAAGAGTGTTTCCAATCCGCTCTGTCTAAAGGAAGGTTCAACTCTCTGATTTGAATACATACATCCCAAAAGAAGTTACTGAGAATTCTTGTCTAGCATTATGTGAAGAAATCCCGTTTCCAACGAAAGCCTCAAAGAGGTCCAAATATCCAGTTGCAGAATTTACAAACTGACTGTTTCCAAACTCATCTATGAAAAGAAAGGTTAAACTCTGTGAGTTGAATGCACATATCACAAAGTAGTTCCTGAGAATGATTCTGTCTAGTTTTCATACGAAGATATTTCCTTTTCCACCAATGGCCTCAAAGTGCTTGAAATCTCCCCTTGCAAATTCCACAGACAAGTGTTTCAAATCTGCACTGTCTAAAGGAAGGTTCAACCCTGTGAGTTGAATACACACACACAGAAAAAAATTCACTGAGAATTCTATTGTCTATCATTACACGAAGAAATCCCGTTTACTACGAAGGCCTCAAAGAGGTCCAAATATCCAGCTGCAGACATTACAACCTGAGTGTTTCCAAAGTGCTCTATGAAAAGAAGTGTTAAACACTGTGAGTTCAATGCACACATCCCAAAGCAGTTTCTGAGAATGATTCCGTCTATTTTTTCTACGAAGATATTTCCTTTTCTGCCGTTGGCCTCAAAGCGCTTGAAATCTCCACTTGCAAATTCCACAAAAAGAGAGTTTCAAATCTGCTCTGTCTAAAGGAAGGTTCAACTCTGTGAGTTGAATACACACCACAAAAAGAAGTTACTGAGAATTCTTCTGTCTAGCATTATATGAAAAATCCCGTTTCCAACGAAGGCCACAAAGAGGTCCAAATATCCACTTGCAGATTCTGCAAAAAGAGTGTTTCCAAACTGCTCTATGAAAAGAAACGTTAAACTCTGTGAGTTGAACGCAAACATCACAAAGTAGTTTCTGAGAATGACTCCGTCTAGTTTTTATACGAAGATATTTCCTTTCCTACCATTCACTTCAAAGCGCTTGAAGTCTCCCCCTGAAAATTCCACAAAAAGTGTTTCCAATCTGCTCCGCCTAAAGGAAGCTTCAACTCTGTGACTTGAATACCCACAACCCAAAGAAGTTACTGAGAATTCTTCTGTCTAGCATTATATGAAGAAATCCCGTTTCCAACGAAGGCCTCAAATACATCCAAATATCCAGTTGCTGACTTTACAAACTGAGTGTTTCCAAACTGCTCTATGAAAAGAAAGGTTAAACACTGTGAGTTGAACACACACGTACCAAAGTAGTTTCTGAGAATGATTCTGTCTAGTTTGCATACGAAGATATTTCCTTTTCTACCATTGGCCTCAAAGCTCTGAAACCTCCACTTGCAAATTCCACAAAAAGAGAGTTTCAACTCTGCTGTTTCTAAAGGAAAGTTCAACTCTGAGAGTTGAATACACACCAGAAAAAGCAGTTACTGAGAAGTCTTCTGTCTAGCATTATATGAAGAAATCCCATTTCCAACGAAGACTTCAAAGAGGTCCAAATATCCACTTGCAGATTCTGCAAAAAGAGTGTTTCGAAACAACTGTATGAAAAGAAAGGTTAAACACTGTGAGTTGAACGCACACATTGCAAAGCGGTTTCTGAGAATGATTCCGTCTAATTATTATACGAAGGTATTTCCTTTTCTATCATTGGCCTCAAAGCGCTTGATACCTCCACCTGAAAATTCCACAAAAAGAGTGTTTCCAATCTACTCTGTCTAAAGGAACGTTCAACTCTGTGAGTTGAATACACACACACAGAAAGAATTCACTGAGAATTCTTCTGTCTGGCATTACATGAAGAAATCCCGTTTCCAACGAAGGCCTCAAAGAGGTCCAAATATCCACTTGCAGATTCTGCAAAAAGAGTGTTTCAAAACCGCTCCATTAAAAGGAATGTTGAACTCTGTGAGTTGAATGCAAACATCACAACTCAGTTTCTGAGAATGCTTCTGACTAGATTTTATGGTAAGATATTTCCTTTTCTACCGTAGGCTTCAATGCCCTGTAAATACACCCTTGCAAATTCTACAAAGAGACTGTTTCATAACTGCTCTACAAGAGGAAAGGTTCAACTCTGTGAGTTGAATGCAGAGATCACAACGTGGTTTCTGCGAATGATTCTTTGTAGTTTTTACATGAAGATATTTCGTTGTCTATCGTAGGCTTCAAAGCACTCAAAGTATTCACCTGGAACTTTTACAAAAAGAGTGTTAGAAAACTGCTCTTTCCAAAGTAAGGTTCAACTCTGTGAGTTGAATGCACACATAACAATCAAGAAGTTTCTGAGAATTCTTCTGTCCTGGTTTATATGAAGAAATCCCGTTTCCAACGAAGGCCTCAAAGACGTTTAAATATCCACTTGCAGACTTCACAAACAGAGTGTTTCCAAACTGCTCTATGAAAAGAAAGGTTAAACTCTGTGAGTTGAACGCACACATCACAAAGTAGTTTCTGAGAATGATACTGTCTAGTTTTTATACGAAGATATTTCCTTTCTACCATTGGCGTCAAAGCGCTAGAATTCTCCACTTGCAAATTCCACAAAAAGAGTGTTTCCAATCTGCTCTGTCTAAAGGAAGGTTCAACTCTGTGAGTTGAATACACACACACAAAGAAGCTACTGAGAATTCTTTTGTCAAGAATTATAAGAAGAAATCCCGTTTCCAACGAAGGCCTCAAAGAGTTCCAAATATCCACTTGCACACTGTACAAAATAAGTCTTTCCAAACTGCTCTATGCAAAGAAATGTTCAACCTTGTGAGTTTAATGCACACATCACAAAGCAGTTTCTGAGAATGATTCCCTCTAGTTTTTATAGGAAGATAGCCTTTTCTACCATTGGCCTCAAGGCTCTTGGAATCTCCACCTGAAAATTCCGCAAAAAGCGTGTTTCCAATGCGCTCTGTCTAAAGGAAGGTTCAACTCTCTGAGTTGAATACATACATCCCAAAAGAAGTTACTGCGAATTCTTCTGTCTAGCATTATGTGAAGAAATCCCGTTTCCAACGAAAGCCTCAAAGAGGTCCTAATATCCAGTTGCAGAATTTACAAACTGACTGTTTCCAAACTCATCTATGAAAAGAAAGGTTAAACCCTGTGAGTTGAATGCACATATCACAAAGTAGTTCCTGAGAATGATTCTGTCTAGTTTTTATATGAAGATATTTCCTTTTCCACCAATGGCCTCAAAGTGCTTGAAATCTCCCCTTGCAAATTCCACAGAAAAGTGTTTCAAATCTGCACTGTCTGAAGGAAGGTTCAACCCTGTGAGTTGAATACACACACACAGAAAAAAATTCACTGAGAATTCTATTGTCTCTCATTACACGAAGAAATCCCGTTTACTACGAAGGCCTCAAAGAGGTCCAAATATCCAGCTGCAGACATTACAAACTGAGTGTTTCCAAAGCGCTCTATGAAAAGAAGTGTTAAACACTGTGAGTTCAATGCACACATCCCAAAGCAGTTTCTGAGAATGATTCCGTCTATTTTTTCTACGAAGATATTTCCTTTTCTACCGTTAGCCTGAAAGCGCTTGAAATCTCCACTTGCAAATTCCACGAAAAGAGAGTTTCAAATCTGCTCTGTCTAAAGGAAGGTTCAACTCTGTGAGTTGAATACACACCACAAAAAGAAGTTACTGAGAATTCTTCTGTCTAGCATTATATGAAAAATCCCGTTTCCAACGAAGGCCACAAAGAGGTCCAAATATCCACTTGCAGATTCTGCAAAAAGAGTGTTTCCAAACTGCTCTATGAAAAGAAACGTTAAACTCTGTGAGTTGAACGCAAACATCACAAAGTAGTTTCTGAGAATGACTCCGTCTAGTTTTTATACGAAGATATTTCCTTTCCTACCATTCACTTCAAAGCGCTTGAAGTCTCCCCCTGAAAATTCCACAAAAAGTGTTTCCAATCTGCTCCGCCTAAAGGAAGCTTCAACTCTGTGACTTGAATACCCACAACCCAAAGAAGTTACTGAGAATTCTTCTGTCTAGCATTATATGAAGAAATCCCGTTTCCAACGAAGGCCTCAAATACATCCAAATATCCAGTTGCTGACTTTACAAACTGAGTGTTTCCAAACTGCTCTATGAAAAGAAAGGTTAAACACTGTGAGTTGAACACACACGTACCAAAGTAGTTTCTGAGAATGATTCTGTCTAGTTTGCATACGAAGATATTTCCTTTTCTACCATTGGCCTCAAAGCTCTGAAATCTCCACTTGCAAATTCCACAAAAAGAGAGTTTCAACTCTGCTGTTTCTAAAGGAAAGTTCAACTCTGAGAGTTGAATACACACCAGAAAAAGCAGTTACTGAGAAGTCTTCTGTCTAGCATTATATGAAGAAATCCCATTTCCAACGAAGACTTCAAAGAGGTCCAAATATCCACTTGCAGATTCTGCAAAAAGAGTGTTTCGAAACAACTGTATGAAAAGAAAGGTTAAACACTGTGAGTTGAACGCACACATTGCAAAGCGGTTTCCTGAGAATGATTCCGTCTAATTATTATACGAAGGTATTTCCTTTTCTATCATTGGCCTCAAAGCGCTTGATACCTCCACCTGAAAATTCCACAAAAAGAGTGTTTCCAATCTACTCTGTCTAAAGGAACGTTCAACTCTGTGAGTTGAATACACACACACAGAAAGAATTCACTGAGAATTCTTCTGTCTGGCATTACATGAAGAAATCCCGTTTCCAACGAAGGCCTCAAAGAGGTCCAAATATCCACTTGCAGATTCTGCAAAAAGAGTGTTTCAAAACCGCTCCATTAAAAGGAATGTTGAACTCTGTGAGTTGAATGCAAACATCACAACTCAGTTGCTGAGAATGCTTCTGACTAGATTTTATGGTAAGATATTTCCTTTTCTACCGTAGGCTTCAATGCCCTCTAAATACACCCTTGCAAATTCTACAAAGAGACTGTTTCATAACTGCTCTATAGGAAGAAAGGTTGAACTCTGTGAGTTGACTGCAGAGATCACAACGTGGTTTCTGCGAATGATTCTTTGTAGTTTTTACATGAAGATATTTCGTTGTCAACCGTAGGCTTCAAAGCACTCAAAGTATTCACTTGGAACTTTTACAAAAAGAGTGTTAGAAAACTGCTCTTTCCAAAGTAAGGTTCAACTCTGTGAGTTGAATGCACACATAACAATCAAGAAGTTTCTGAGAATTCTTCTGTCCTGGTTTATATGAAAAAATCCCGTTTCCAACGAAGGCCTCAAAGACGTTTAAATATCCACTTGCAGACTTCACAAACAGAGGGTTTCCAAACCGCTCTATGAAAAGAAAGGTTAAACTCTGTGAGTTGAACGCACACATCACAAAGTAGCTTCTGAGAATGATACTGTCTAGTTTTTATACGAAGATATTTCCTTTCTACCATTGGCGTCAAAGCGCTAGAATTCTCCACTTGCAAATTCCACAAAAAGAGTGTTTCCAATCTGCTCTGTCTAAAGGAAGGTTCAACTCTGTGAGTTGAATACACACACACAAAGAAGCTACTGAGAATTCTTTTGTCAAGAATTATAAGAAGAAATCCCGTTTCCAACGAAGGCCTCAAAGAGTTCCAAATATCCACTTGCACACTGTACAAACTAAGTCTTTCCAAACTGCTCTATGCAAAGAAATGTTCAACTCTGTGAGTTTAATGCACACATCACAAAGCAGTTTTCTGAGAATGATACTGTCTAGTTTTTATACGAAGATATTTCCTTTTGTACCATTGGCCTCATACTGCTAGAATTTTCCACTTGCAAATTCCACAAAAAGAGTGTTTCCAATCCGCTCTGTCTAAAGGAAGGTTCAACTCTCTGATTTGAATACATACATCCCAAAAGAAGTTACTGAGAATTCTTCTGTCTAGCATTATGTGAAGAAATCCCGTTTCCAATGAAAGCCTCAAAGAGGTCCAAATATCCAGTTGCAGAATTTACAAACTGACTGTTTCCAAACTCATCTATGAAAAGAAAAGTTAAACTCTGTGAGTTGAATGCACATATCACAAAGTAGTTCCTGAGAATGATTCTGTCTAGTTTTTATACGAAGATATTTCCTTTTCCACCAATGGCCTCAAAGTGCTTGAAATCTCCCCTTGCAAATTCCACAGACAAGTGTTTCAAATCTGCACTGTCTAAAGGAAGGTTCAACCCTGTGAGTTGAATACACACACACAGAAAAAAATTCACTGAGAATTCTATTGTCTATCATTACACGAAGAAATCCCGTTTACTACGAAGGCCTCAAAGAGGTCCAAATATCCAGCTGCAGACATTACAAACTGAGTGTTTCCAAAGTGCTCTATGAAAAGAAGTGTTAAACACTGTGAGTTCAATGCACACATCCCAAAGCAGTTTCTGAGAATGATTCCGTCTATTTTTTCTACGAAGATATTTCCTTTTCTGCCGTTGGCCTCAAAGCGCTTGAAATCTCCACTTGCAAATTCCACAAAAAGAGAGTTTCAAATCTGCTCTGTCTAAAGGAAGGTTCAACTCTGTGAGTTGAATACACACCACAAAAAGAAGTTACTGAGAATTCTTCTGTCTAGCATTATATGAAAAATCCCGTTTCCAACGAAGGCCACAAAGAGGTCCAAATATCCACTTGCAGATTCTGCAAAAAGAGTGTTTCCAAACTGCTCTATGAAAAGAAACGTTAAACTCTGTGAGTTGAACGCAAACATCACAAAGTAGTTTCTGAGAATGACTCCGTCTAGTTTTTATACGAAGATATTTCCTTTCCTACCATTCACTTCAAAGCGCTTGAAGTCTCCCCCTGAAAATTCCACAAAAAGTGTTTCCAATCTGCTCCGCCTAAAGGAAGCTTCAACTCTGTGACTTGAATACCCACAACCCAAAGAAGTTACTGAGAATTCTTCTGTCTAGCATTATATGAAGAAATCCCGTTTCCAACGAAGGCCTCAAATACATCCAAATATCCAGTTGCTGACTTTACAAACTGAGTGTTTCCAAACTGCTCTATGAAAAGAAAGGTTAAACACTGTGAGTTGAACACACACGTACCAAAGTAGTTTCTGAGAATGATTCTGTCTAGTTTGCATACGAAGATATTTCCTTTTCTACCATTGGCCTCAAAGCTCTGAAATCTCCACTTGCAAATTCCACAAAAAGATAGTTCAAATCTGCTGTTTCTAAAGGAAAGTTCAACTCTGAGAGTTGAATACACACCAGAAAAAGCAGTTACTGAGAAGTCTTCTGTCTAGCATTATATGAAGAAATCCCATTTCCAACGAAGACTTCAAAGAGGTCCAAATATCCACTTGCAGATTCTGCAAAAAGAGTGTTTCGAAACAACTGTATGAAAAGAAAGGTTAAACACTGTGAGTTGAACGCACACATTGCAAAGCGGTTTCTGAGAATGATTCCGTCTAATTATTATACGAAGGTATTTCCTTTTCTATCATTGGCCTCAAAGCGCTTGATACCTCCACCTGAAAATTCCACAAAAAGAGTGTTTCCAATCTACTCTGTCTAAAGGAACGTTCAACTCTGTGAGTTGAATACACACACACAGAAAGAATTCACTGAGAATTCTTCTGTCTGGCATTACATGAAGAAATCCCGTTTTCAACGAAGGCCTCAAAGAGGTCCAAATATCCACTTGCAGATTCTGCAAAAAGAGTGTTTCAAAACCGCTCCATGAAAAGGAATGTTGAACTCTGTGAGTTGAATGCAAACATCACAACTCAGTTTCTGAGAATGCTTCTGACTAGATTTTATGGTAAGATATTTCCTTTTCTACCGTAGGCTTCAATGCCCTGTAAATACACCCTTGCAAATTCAACAAAGAGACTGTTTCATAACTGCTCTATAGGAGGAAAGGTTCAACTCTGTGAGTTGAATGCAGAGATCACAACGTGGTTTCTGCGAATGATTCTTTGTAGTTTTTACATGAAGATATTTCGTTGTCTACCGTAGGCTTCAAAGCACTCAAAGTATTCACTTGGAACTTTTACAAAAAGAGTGTTAGAAAACTGCTCTTTCCAAAGTAAGGTTCAACTCTGTGAGTTGAATGCACACATAACAAACAAGAAGTTTCTGAGAATTCTTCTGTCCTGGTTTATATGAAAAAATCCCGTTTCCAACGAAGGCCTCAAAGACGTTTAAATATCCACTTGCAGACTTCACAAACAGAGTGTTTCCAAACTGCTCTATGAAAAGAAAGGTTAAACTCTGTGAGTTGATCGCACACATCACAAAGTAGTTTCTGAGAATGATACTGTCCAGTTTTTATACGAAGAGATTTCCTTTCCTACCATTGGCGTCAAAGCGCTAGAATTCTCCACTTGCAAATTCCACAAAAAGAGGGTTTCCAATCTGCTCTGTCTAAAGGAAGGTTCAACTCTGTGAGTTGAATACACACACACAAAGAAGCTACTGAGAATTCTTTTTTCAAGAAATTATAAGAAGAAATCCCGTTTCCAACGAAGGCCTCAAAGAGTTCCAAATATCCACTTGCACACTGCACAAACTAAGTCTTTCCAAACTGCTCTATGCAAAGAAATGTTCAACTCTGTGAGTTTAATACACACATCACAAAGCAGTTTCTGAGAATGATACTGTCTAGTTTTTATACGAAGATATTTCCTTTTGTACCATTGGCCTCATACTGCTAGAATTTTCCACTTGCAAATTCCACAAAAAGAGAGTTTCCAATCCGCTCTGTCTAAAGGAAGGTTCAACTCTCTGATTTGAATACATACATCCCAAAAGAAGTTACTGAGAATTCTTCTGTCTAGCATTATGTGAAGAAATCCCGTTTCCAACGAAAGCCTCAAAGAGGTCCAAATATCCAGTTGCAGAATTTACAAACTGACTGTTTCCAAACTCATCTATGAAAAGAAAGGTTAAACTCTGGGAGTTGAATGCACATATCACAAAGTAGTTCCTGAGAATGATTCTGTCTAGTTTTCATACGAAGATATTTCCTTTTCCACCAATGGCCTCAAAGTGCTTGAAATCTCCCCTTGCAAATTCCACAGACAAGTGTTTCAAATCTGCACTGTCTAAAGGAAGGTTCAACCCTGTGAGTTGAATACACACACACAGAAAAAAATTCACTGAGAATTGCTATTGTCTATCATTACACGAAGAAATCCCGTTTACTACGAAGGCCTCAAAGAGGTCCAAATATCCAGCTGCAGACATTACAAACTGAGTGTTTCCAAAGTGCTCTATGAAAAGAAGTGTTAAACACTGTGAGTTCAATGCACACATCCCAAAGCAGTTTCTGAGAATGATTCCGTCTATTTTTTCTACGAAGATATTTCCTTTTCTGCCGTTGGCCTCAAAGCGCTTGAAATCTCCACTTGCAAATTCCACAAAAAGAGAGTTTCAAATCTGCTCTGTCTAAAGGAAGGTTCAACTCTGTGAGTTGAATACACACCACAAAAAGAAGTTACTGAGAATTCTTCTGTCTAGCATTATATGAAAAATCCCGTTTCCAACGAAGGCCACAAAGAGGTCCAAATATCCACTTGCAGATTCTGCAAAAAGAGTGTTTCCAAACTGCTCTATGAAAAGAAACGTTAAACTCTGTGAGTTGAACGCAAACATCACAAAGTAGTTTCTGAGAATGACTCCGTCTAGTTTTTATACGAAGATATTTCCTTTCCTACCATTCACTTCAAAGCGCTTGAAGTCTCCCCCTGAAAATTCCACAAAAAGTGTTTCCAATCTGCTCCGCCTAAAGGAAGCTTCAACTCTGTGAGTTGAATACCCACAACCCAAAGAAGTTACTGAGAATTCTTCTGTCTAGCATTATATGAAGAAATCCCGTTTCCAACGAAGGCCTCAAATACATCCAAATATCCAGTTGCTGACTTTACAAACTGAGTGTTTCCAAACTGCTCTATGAAAAGAAAGGTTACACACTGTGAGTTGAACACACACGTACCAAAGTAGTTTCTGAGAATGATTCTGTCTAGTTTGCATACGAAGATATTTCCTTTTCTACCATTGGCCTCAAAGCTCTGAAATCTCCACTTGCAAATTCCACAAAAAGAGAGTTTCAAATCTGCTGTTTCTAAAGGAAAGTTCAACTCTGAGAGTTGAATACACACCAGAAAAAGCAGTTACTGAGAAGTCTTCTGTCTAGCATTATATGAAGAAATCCCATTTCCAACGAAGACTTCAAAGAGGTCCAAATATCCACTTGCAGATTCTGCAAAAAGAGTGTTTCGAAACAACTGTATGAAAAGAAAGGTTAAACACTGTGAGTTGAACGCACACATTGCAAAGCAGTTTCTGAGAATGATTCCGTCTAATTATTATACGAAGGTATTTCCTTTTCTATCATTGGCCTCAAAGCGCTTGATACCTCCACCTGAAAATTCCACAAAAAGAGTGTTTCCAATCTACTCTGTCTAAAGGAACGTTCAACTCTGTGAGTTGAATACACACACACAGAAAGAATTCACTGAGAATTCTTCTGTCTGGCATTACATGAAGAAATCCCGTTTCCAACGAAGACCTCAAAGAGGTCCAAATATCCACTTGCAGATTCTGCAAAAAGAGTGTTTCAAAACCGCTCCATTAAAAGGAATGTTGAACGCTGTGAGTTGAATGCAAACATCACAACTCAGTTTCCTGAGAATGCTTCTGACTAGATTTTATGGTAAGATATTTCCTTTTCTACCGTAGGCTTCAATGCCCTCTAAATACACCCTTGCAAATTCTACAAAGAGACTGTTTCATAACTGCTCTATAGGAAGAAAGGTTGAACTCTGTGAGTTGAATGCAGAGATCACAACGTGGTTTCTGCGAATGATTCTTTGTAGTTTTTACATGAAGATATTTCGTTGTCAACCGTAGGCTTCAAAGCACTCAAAGTATTCACTTGGAACTTTTACAAAAAGAGTGTTAGAAAACTGCTCTTTCCAAAGTAAGGTTCAACTCTGTGAGTTGAATGCACCCATAACAATCAAGAAGTTTCTGAGAATTCTTCTGTCCTGGTTTATATGAAGAAATCCCGTTTCCAACAAAGGCCTCAAAGACGTTTAAATATCCACTTGCAGACTTCACAAACAGAGGGTTTCCAAACTGCTCTATGAAAAGAAAGGTTAAACTCTGTGAGTTGAACGCACACATCACAAAGTAGCTTCTGAGAATGATACTGTCTAGTTTTTATACGAAGATATTTCCTTTCTACCATTGGCGTCAAAGCGCTAGAATTCTCCACTTGCAAATTCCACAAAAAGAGTGTTTCCAATCTGCTCTGTCTAAAGGAAGGTTCAACTCTGTGAGTTGAATACACACACACAAAGAAGCTACTGAGAATTCTTTTGTCAAGAATTATAAGAAGAAATCCCGTTTCCAACGAAGGCCTCAAAGAGTTCCAAATATCCACTTGCACACTGCACAAACTAAGTCTTTCCAAACTGCTCTATGCAAAGAAATGTTCAACTCTGTGAGTTTAATACACACATCACAAAGCAGTTTCTGAGAATGATACTGTCTAGTTTTTATACGAAGATATTTCCTTTTGTACCATTGGCCTCATACTGCTAGAATTTTCCACTTGCAAATTCCACAAAAAGAGTGTTTCCAATCTGCTCTGTCTAAAGGAAGGTTCAACTCTCTGATTTGAATACATACATCCCAAAAGAAGTTACTGAGAATTCTTCTGTCTAGCATTATGTGAAGAAATCCCGTTTCCAACGAAAGCCTCAAAGAGGTCCAAATATCCAGTTGCAGAATTTACAAACTGACTGTTTCCAAACTCATCTATGAAAAGAAAGGTTAAACTCTGTGAGTTGAATGCACATATCACAAAGTAGTTCCTGAGAATGATTCTGTCTAGTTTTCATACGAAGATATTTCCTTTTCCACCAATGGCCTCAAAGTGCTTGAAATCTCCCCTTGCAAATTCCACAGACAAGTGTTTCAAATCTGCACTGTCTAAAGGATGGTTCAACCCTGTGAGTTGAATACACACACACAGAAAAAAATTCACTGAGAATTCTATTGTCTATCATTACACGAAGAAATCCCGTTTACTACGAAGGCCTCAAAGAGGTCCAAATATCCAGCTGCAGACATTACAAACTGAGTGTTTCCAAAGTGCTCTATGAAAAGAAGTGTTAAACACTGTGAGTTCAATGCACACATCCCAAAGCAGTTTCTGAGAATGATTCCGTCTATTTTTTCTACGAAGATATTTCCTTTTCTGCCGTTGGCCTCAAAGCGCTTGAAATCTCCACTTGCAAATTCCACAAAAAGAGAGTTTCAAATCTGCTCTGTCTAAAGGAAGGTTCAACTCTGTGAGTTGAATACACACCACAAAAAGAAGTTACTGAGAATTCTTCTGTCTAGCATTATATGAAAAATCCCGTTTCCAACGAAGGCCACAAAGAGGTCCAAATATCCACTTGCAGATTCTGCAAAAAGAGTGTTTCCAAACTGCTCTATGAAAAGAAACGTTAAACTCTGTGAGTTGAACGCAAACATCACAAAGTAGTTTCTGAGAATGACTCCGTCTAGTTTTTATACGAAGATATTTCCTTTCCTACCATTCACTTCAAAGCGCTTGAAGTCTCCCCCTGAAAATTCCACAAAAAGTGTTTCCAATCTGCTCCGCCTAAAGGAAGCTTCAACTCTGTGACTTGAATACCCACAACCCAAAGAAGTTACTGAGAATTCTTCTGTCTAGCATTATATGAAGAAATCCCGTTTCCAACGAAGGCCTCAAATACATCCAAATATCCAGTTGCTGACTTTACAAACTGAGTGTTTCCAAACTGCTCTATGAAAAGAAAGGTTAAACACTGTGAGTTGAACACACACGTACCAAAGTAGTTTCTGAGAATGATTCTGTCTAGTTTGCATACAAAGATATTTCCTTTTCTACCACTGGCCTCAAAGCTTTGAAATCTCCACTTGCAAATTCCACAAAAAGAGAGTTTCAAATCTGCTGTTCCTAAAGGAAAGTTCAACTCTGAGAGTTGAATACACACCAGAAAAAGCAGTTACTGAGAAGTCTTCTGTCTAGCATTATATGAAGAAATCCCATTTCCAACGAAGACTTCAAAGAGGTCCAAATATCCACTTGCAGATTCTGCAAAAAGAGTGTTTCGAAACAACTGTATGAAAAGAAAGGTTAAACACTGTGAGTTGAACGCACACATTGCAAAGCGGTTTCTGAGAATGATTCCGTCTAATTATTATACGAAGGTATTTCCTTTTCTATCATTGGCCTCAAAGCGCTTGATACCTCCACCTGAAAATTCCACAAAAAGAGTGTTTCCAATCTACTCTGTCTAAAGGAACGTTCAACTCTGTGAGTTGAATACACACACACAGAAAGAATTCACTGAGAATTCTTCTGTCTGGCATTACATGAAGAAATCCCGTTTCCAACGAAGGCCTCAAAGAGGTCCAAATATCCACTTGCAGATTCTGCAAAAAGAGTGTTTCAAAACCGCTCCATTAAAAGGAATGTTGAACTCTGTGAGTTGAATGCAAACATCACAACTCAGTTTCTGAGAATGCTTCTGACTAGATTTTATGGTAAGATATTTCCTTTTCTACCGTAGGCTTCAATGCCCTCTAAATACACCCTTGCAAATTCTACAAAGAGACTGTTTCACAACTGCTCTATAGGAAGAAAGGTTCAACTCTGTGAGTTGAATGCAGAGATCACAACGTGGTTTCTGCGAATGATTCTTTGTAGTTTTTACATGAAGATATTTCGTTGTCAACCGCAGGCTTCAAAGCACTCAAAGTATTCACTTGGAACTTTTACAAAAAGAGTGTTAGAAAACTGCTCTTTCCAAAGTAAGGTTCAACTCTGTGAGTTGAATGCACACATAACAATGAAGAAGTTTCTGAGAATTCTTCTGTCCTGGTTTATATGAAAAAATCCCGTTTCCAACGAAGGCCTCAAAGACGTTTAAATATCCACTTGCAGACTTCACAAACAGAGTGTTTCCAAACTGCTCTATGAAAAGAAAGGTTAAACTCTGTGAGTTGAACGCACACATCACAAAGTAGCTTCTGAGAATGATACTGTCTAGTTTTTATACGAAGATATTTCCTTTTGTACCATTGGCCTCATACTGCTAGAATTTTCCACTTGCAAATTCCACAAAAAGAGTGTTTCCAATCCGCTCTGTCTAAAGGAAGGTTCAACTCTCTGATTTGAATACATACATCCCAAAAGAAGTTACTGAGAATTCTTCTGTCTAGCATTATGTGAAGAAATCCCGTTTCCAATGAAAGCCTCAAAGAGGTCCAAATATCCAGTTGCAGAATTTACAAACTGACTGTTTCCAAACTCATCTATGAAAAGAAAGGTTAAACTCTGGGAGTTGAATGCACATATCACAAAGTAGTTCCTGAGAATGATTCTGTCTAGTTTTCATACGAAGATATTTCCTTTTCCACCAATGGCCTCAAAGTGCTTGAAATCTCCCCTTGCAAATTCCACAGACAAGTGTTTCAAATCTGCACTGTCTAAAGGAAGGTTCAACACTGTGAGTTGAATACACACACACAGAAAAAAATTCACTGAGAATTGCTATTGTCTATCATTACACGAAGAAATCCCGTTTACTACGAAGGCCTCAAAGAGGTCCAAATATCCAGCTGCAGACATTACAAACTGAGTGTTTCCAAAGTGGTCTATGAAAAGAAGTGTTAAACACTGTGAGTTCAATGCACACATCCCAAAGCAGTTTCTGAGAATGATTCCGTCTATTTTTTCTACGAAGATATTTCCTTTTCTACCGTTGGCCTCAAAGCGCTTGAAATCTCCACTTGCAAATTCCACAAAAAGAGAGTTTCTAATCTGCTCTGTCTAAAGGAAGGTTCAACTCTGTGAGTTGAATACACACCACAAAAAGAAGTTACTGAGAATTCTTCTGTCTAGCATTATATGAAAAATCCCGTTTCCAACGAAGGCCACAAAGAGGTCCAAATATCCACTTGCAGATTCTGCAAAAAGAGTGTTTCCAAACTGCTCTATGAAAAGAAACGTTAAACTCTGTGAGTTGAACGCAAACATCACAAAGTAGTTTCTGAGAATGACTCCGTCTAGTTTTTATACGAAGATATTTCCTTTCCTACCATTCACTTCAAAGCGCTTGAAGTCTCCCCCTGAAAATTCCACAAAAAGTGTTTCCAATCTGCTCCGCCTAAAGGAAGCTTCAACTCTGTGAGTTGAATACCCACAACCCAAAGAAGTTACTGAGAATTCTTCTGTCTAGCATTATATGAAGAAATCCCGTTTCCAACGAAGGCCTCAAATACATCCAAATATCCAGTTGCTGACTTTACAAACTGAGTGTTTCCAAACTGCTCTATGAAAAGAAAGGTTAAACACTGTGAGTTGAACACACACGTACCAAAGTAGTTTCTGAGAATGATTCTGTCTAGTTTGCATACGAAGATATTTCCTTTTCTACCATTGGCCTCAAAGCTCTGAAATCTCCACTTGCAAATTCCACAAAAAGAGAGTTTCAAATCTGCTGTTTCTAAAGGAAAGTTCAACTCTGAGAGTTGAATACACACCAGAAAAAGCAGTTACTGAGAAGTCTTCTGTCTAGCATTATATGAAGAAATCCCATTTCCAACGAAGACTTCAAAGAGGTCCAAATATCCACTTGCAGATTCTGCAAAAAGAGTGTTTCGAAACAACTGTATGAAAAGAAAGGTTAAACACTGTGAGTTGAACGCACACATTGCAAAGCGGTTTCTGAGAATGATTCCGTCTAATTATTATACGAAGGTATTTCCTTTTCTATCATTGGCCTCAAAGCGCTTGATACCTCCACCTGAAAATTCCACAAAAAGAGTGTTTCCAATCTACTCTGTCTAAAGGAACGTTCAACTCTGTGAGTTGAATACACACACACAGAAAGAATTCACTGAGAATTCTTCTGTCTGGCATTACATGAAGAAATCCCGTTTCCAACGAAGGCCTCAAAGAGGTCCAAATATCCACTTGCAGATTCTGCAAAAAGAGTGTTTCAAAACCGCTCCATTAAAAGGAATGTTGAACTCTGTGAGTTGAATGCAAACATCACAACTCAGTTTCTGAGAATGCTTCTGACTAGATTTTATGGTAAGATATTTCCTTTTCTACCGTAGGCTTCAATGCCCTCTAAATACACCCTTGCAAATTCTACAAAGAGACTGTTTCATAACTGCTCTATAGGAAGAAAGGTTGAACTCTGTGAGTTGAATGCAGAGATCACAACGTGGTTTCTGCGAATGATTCTTTGTAGTTTTTACAGGAAGATATTTCGTTGTCAACCGTAGGCTTCAAAGCACTCAAAGTATTCACTTGGAACTTTTACAAAAAGAGTGTTAGAAAACTGCTCTTTCCAAAGTAAGGTTCAACTCTGAGTTGAATGCACACATAACAATCAAGAAGTTTCTGAGAATTCTTCTGTCCTGGTTTATATGAAAAAATCCCGTTTCCAACGAAGGCCTCAAAGACGTTTAAATATCCACTTGCAGACTTCACAAACAGAGTGTTTCCAAACTGCTCTATGAAAAGAAAGGTTAAACTCTGTGAGTTGAACGCACACATCACAAAGTAGCTTCTGAGAATGATACTGTCTAGTTTGCATACGAAGATATTTCCTTTCTACCATTGGCGTCAAAGCGCTAGAATTCTCCACTTGCAAATTCCACAAAAAGAGTGTTTCCAATCTGCTCTGTCTAAAGGAAGGTTCAACTCTGTGAGTTGAATACACACACACAAAGAAGCTACTGAGAATTCTTTTGTCAAGAATTATAAGAAGAAATCCCGTTTCCAACGAAGGCCTCAAAGAGTTCCAAATATCCACTTGCACACTGCACAAACTAAGTCTTTCCAAACTGCTCTATGCAAAGAAATGTTCAACTCTGTGAGTTTAATACACACATCACAAAGCAGTTTCTGAGAATGATACTGTCTAGTTTTTATACGAAGATATTTCCTTTTGTACCATTGGCCTCATACTGCTAGAATTTTCCACTTGCAAATTCCACAAAAAGAGTGTTTCCAATCCGCTCTGTCTAAAGGAAGGTTCAACTCTCTGATTTGAATACATACATCCCAAAAGAAGTTACTGAGAATTCTTCTGTCTAGCATTATGTGAAGAAATCCCGTTTCCAACGAAAGCCTCAAAGAGGTCCAAATATCCAGTTGCAGAATTTACAAACTGACTGTTTCCAAACTCATCTATGAAAAGAAAGGTTAAACTCTGGGAGTTGAATGCACATATCACAAAGTAGTTCCTGAGAATGATTCTGTCTAGTTTTTATACGAAGATATTTCCTTTTCCACCAATGGCCTCAAAGTGCTTGAAATCTCCCCTTGCAAATTCCACAGACAAGTGTTTCAAATCTGCACTGTCTAAAGGAAGGTTCAACCCTGTGAGTTGAATACACACACACAGAAAAAAATTCACTGAGAATTCTATTGTCTATCATTACACGAAGAAATCCCGTTTACTACGAAGGCCTCAAAGAGGTCCAAATATCCAGCTGCAGACATTACAAACTGAGTGTTTCCAAAGTGCTCTATGAAAAGAAGTGTTAAACACTGTGAGTTCAATGCACACATCCCAAAGCAGTTTCTGAGAATGATTCCGTCTATTTTTTCTACGAAGATATTTCCTTTTCTACCGTTGGCCTCAAAGCGCTTGAAATCTCCACTTGCAAATTCCACAAAAAGAGAGTTTCAAATCTGCTCTGTCTAAAGGAAGGTTCAACTCTGTGAGTTGAATACACACCACAAAAAGAAGTTACTGAGAATTCTTCTGTCTAGCATTATATGAAAAATCCCGTTTCCAACGAAGGCCACAAAGAGGTCCAAATATCCACTTGCAGATTCTGCAAAAAGAGTGTTTCCAAACTGCTCTATGAAAAGAAACGTTAAACTCTGTGAGTTGAACGCAAACATCACAAAGTAGTTTCTGAGAATGACTCCGTCTAGTTTTTATACGAAGATATTTCCTTCTCTACCATTCACTTCAAAGCGCTTGAAGTCTCCCCCTGAAAATTCCACAAAAAGTGTTTCCAATCTGCTCCGCCTAAAGGAAGCTTCAACTCTGTGAGTTGAATACCCACAACCCAAAGAAGTTACTGAGAATTCTTCTGTCTAGCACTATATGAAGAAATCCCGTTTCCAACGAAGGCCTCAAATACATCCAAATATCCAGTTGCTGACTTTACAAACTGAGTGTTTCCAAACTGCTCTATGAAAAGAAAGGTTAAACACTGTGAGTTGAACACACACGTACCAAAGTAGTTTCTGAGAATGATTCTGTCTAGTTTGCATACGAAGATATTTCCTTTTCTACCATTGGCCTCAAAGCTCTGAAATCTCCACTTGCAAATTCCACAAAAAGAGAGTTTCAAATCTGCTGTTTCTAAAGGAAAGTTCAACTCTGAGAGTTGAATACACACCAGAAAAAGCAGTTACTGAGAAGTCTTCTGTCTAGCATTATATGAAGAAATCCCATTTCCAACGAAGACTTCAAAGAGGTCCAAATATCCACTTGCAGATTCTGCAAAAAGAGTGTTTCGAAACAACTGTATGAAAAGAAAGGTTAAACACTGTGAGTTGAACGCACACATTGCAAAGCAGTTTCTGAGAATGATTCCGTCTAATTATTATACGAAGGTATTTCCTTTTCTATCATTGGCCTCAAAGCGCTTGATACCTCCACCTGAAAATTCCACAAAAAGAGTGTTTCCAATCTACTCTGTCTAAAGGAACGTTCAACTCTGTGAGTTGAATACACACACACAGAAAGAATTCACTGAGAATTCTTCTGTCTGGCATTACATGAAGAAATCCCGTTTCCAACGAAGGCCTCAAAGAGGTCCAAATATCCACTTGCAGATTCTGCAAAAAGAGTGTTTCAAAACCGCTCCATTAAAAGGAATGTTGAACTCTGTGAGTTGAATGCAAACATCACAACTCAGTTTCTGAGAATGCTTCTGACTAGATTTTATGGTAAGATATTTCCTTTTCTACCGTAGGCTTCAATGCCCTCTAAATACACCCTTGCAAATTCTACAAAGAGACTGTTTCATAACTGCTCTATAGGAAGAAAGGTTGAACTCTGTGAGTTGACTGCAGAGATCACAACGTGGTTTCTGCGAATGATTCTTTGTAGTTTTTACATGAAGATATTTCGTTGTCAACCGTAGGCTTCAAAGCACTCAAAGTATTCACTTGGAACTTTTACAAAACGAGTGTTAGGAAACTGCTCTTTCCAAAGTAAGGTTCAACTCTGTGAGTTGAATGCACACATAACAATCAAGAAGTTTCTGAGAATTCTTCTGTCCTGGTTTATATGAAAAAATCCCGTTTCCAACGAAGGCCTCAAAGACGTTTAAATATCCACTTGCAGACTTCACAAACAGAGGGTTTCCAAACTGCTCTATGAAAAGAAAGGTTAAACTCTGTGAGTTTAATACACACATCACAAAGCAGTTTCTGAGAATGATACTGTCTAGTTTTTATACGAAGATATTTCCTTTTGTACCATTGGCCTCATACTGCTAGAATTTTCCACTTGCAAATTCCACAAAAAGAGTGTTTCCAATCCGCTCTGTCTAAAGGAAGGTTCAACTCTCTGATTTGAATACATACATCCCAAAAGAAGTTACTGAGAATTCTTCTGTCTAGCATTATGTGAAGAAATCCCGTTTCCAACGAAAGCCTCAAAGAGGTCCAAATATCCAGTTGCAGAATTTACAAACTGACTGTTTCCAAACTCATCTATGAAAAGAAAGGTTAAACTCTGTGAGTTGAATGCACATATCACAAAGTAGTTCCTGAGAATGATTCTGTCTAGTTTTTATACGAAGATATTTCCTTTTCCACCAATGGCCTCAAAGTGCTTGAAATCTCCCCTTGCAAATTCCACAGACAAGTGTCTCAAATCTGCACTGTCTAAAGGAAGGTTCAACCCTGTGAGTTGAATACACACACACAGAAAAAAATTCACTGAGAATTCTATTGTCTATCATTACACGAAGAAATCCCGTTTACTACGAAGGCCTCAAAGAGGTCCAAATATCCAGCTGCAGACATTACAAACTGAGTGTTTCCAAAGTGCTCTATGAAAAGAAGTGTTAAACACTGTGAGTTCAATGCACACATCCCAAAGCAGTTTCTGAGAATGATTCCGTCTATTTTTTCTACGAAGATATTTCCTTTTCTGCCGTTGGCCTCAAAGCGCTTGAAATCTCCACTTGCAAATTCCACAAAAAGAGAGTTTCAAATCTGCTCTGTCTAAAGGAAGGTTCAACTCTGTGAGTTGAATACACACCACAAAAAGAAGTTACTGAGAATTCTTCTGTCTAGCATTATATGAAAAATCCCGTTTCCAACGAAGGCCACAAAGAGGTCCAAATATCCACTTGCAGATTCTGCAAAAAGAGTGTTTCCAAACTGCTCTATGAAAAGAAACGTTAAACTCTGTGAGTTGAACGCAAACATCACAAAGTAGTTTCTGAGAATGACTCCGTCTAGTTTTTATACGAAGATATTTCCTTTTCTACCATTCACTTCAAAGCGCTTGAAGTCTCCCCCTGAAAATTCCACAAAAAGTGTTTCCAATCTGCTCCGCCTAAAGGAAGCTTCAACTCTGTGAGTTGAATACCCACAACCCAAAGAAGTTACTGAGAATTCTTCTGTCTAGCACTATATGAAGAAATCCCGTTTCCAACGAAGGCCTCAAATACATCCAAATATCCAGTTGCTGACTTTACAAACTGAGTGTTTCCAAACTGCTCTATGAAAAGAAAGGTTAAACACTGTGAGTTGAACACACACGTACCAAAGTAGTTTCTGAGAATGATTCTGTCTAGTTTGCATATGAAGATATTTCCTTTTCTACCATTGGCCTCAAAGCTCTGAAATCTCCACTTGCAAATTCCACAAAAAGAGAGTTTCAAATCTGCTGTTTCTAAAGGAAAGTTCAACTCTGAGAGTTGAATACACACCAGAAAAAGCAGTTACTGAGAAGTCTTCTGTCTAGCATTATATGAAGAAATCCCATTTCCAACGAAGACTTCAAAGAGGTCCAAATATCCACTTGCAGATTCTGCAAAAAGAGTGTTTCGAAACAACTGTATGAAAAGAAAGGTTAAACACTGTGAGTTGAACGCACACATTGCAAAGCAGTTTCTGAGAATGATTCCGTCTAATTATTATACGAAGGTATTTCCTTTTCTATCATTGGCCTCAAAGCGCTTGATACCTCCACCTGAAAATTCCACAAAAAGAGTGTTTCCAATCTACTCTGTCTAAAGGAACGTTCAACTCTGTGAGTTGAATACACACACACAGAAAGAATTCACTGAGAATTCTTCTGTCTGGCATTACATGAAGAAATCCCGTTTCCAACGAAGGCCTCAAAGAGGTCCAAATATCCACTTGCAGATTCTGCAAAAAGAGTGTTTCAAAACCGCTCCATTAAAAGGAATGTTGAACTCTGTGAGTTGAATGCAAACATCACAACTCAGTTTCTGAGAATGCTTCTGACTAGATTTTATGGTAAGATATTTCCTTTTCTACCGTAGGCTTCAATGCCCTGTAAATACACCCTTGCAAATTCAACAAAGAGACGGTTTCATAACTGCTCTATAGGAGGAAAGGTTCAACTCTGTGAGTTGAATGCAGAGATCACAACGTGGTTTCTGCGAATGATTCTTCGTAGTTTTTACATGAAGATATTTCGTTGTCTACCGTAGGCTTCAAAGCACTCAAAGTATTCACTTGGAACTTTTACAAAAAGAGTGTTAGAAAACTGCTCTTTCCAAAGTAACGTTCAACTCTGTGAGTTGAATGCACACTTAACAAACAAGAAGTTTCTGAGAATTCTTCTGTCCTGGTTTATATGAAAAAATCCCGTTTCCAACGAAGGCCTCAAAGACGTTTAAATATCCACTTGCAGACTTCACAAACAGAGTGTTTCCAAACTGGTCTATGAAAAGAAAGGTTAAACTCTGTGAGTTGAACGCACACATCACAAAGTAGTTTCTGAGAATGATACTGTCCAGTTTTTATACGAAGATATTTCCTTTCCTACCATTGGCGTCAAAGCGCTAGAATTCTCCACTTGCAAATTCCACAAAAAGAGTGTTTCCAATCTGCTCTGCCTAAAGGAAGGTTCAACTCTGTGAGTTGAATACACACACACAAAGAAGCTACTGAGAATTCTTTTGTCAAGAATTATAAGAAGAAATCCCGTTTCCAACGAAGGCCTCAAAGAGTTCCAAATATCCACTTGCACACTGCACAAACTAAGTCTTTCCAAACTGCTCTATGCAAAGAAATGTTCAACTCTGTGAGTTTAATACACACATCACAAAGCAGTTTCTGAGAATGATACTGTCTAGTTTTTATACGAAGATATTTCCTTTTGTACCATTGGCCTCATACTGCTAGAATTTTCCACTTGCAAATTCCACAAAAAGAGTGTTTCCAATCCGCTCTGTCTAAAGGAAGGTTCAACTCTCTGATTTGAATACATACATCCCAAAAGAAGTTACTGAGAATTCTTGTCTAGCATTATGTGAAGAAATCCCGTTTCCAACGAAAGCCTCAAAGAGGTCCAAATATCCAGTTGCAGAATTTACAAACTGACTGTTTCCAAACTCATCTATGAAAAGAAAGGTTAAACTCTGTGAGTTGAATGCACATATCACAAAGTAGTTCCTGAGAATGATTCTGTCTAGTTTTTATACGAAGTTATTTCCTTTTCCACCAATGGCCTCAAAGTGCTTGAAATCTCCCCTTGCAAATTCCACAGACAAGTGTTTCAAATCTGCACTGTCTAAAGGAAGGTTCAACCCTGTGAGTTGAATACACACACACAGAAAAAAATTCACTGAGAATTCTATTGTCTATCATTACACGAAGAAATCCCGTTTACCACGAAGGCCTCAAAGAGGTCCAAATATCCAGCTGCAGACATTACAAACTGAGTGTTTCCAAAGTGCTCTATGAAAAGAAGTGTTAAACACTGTGAGTTCAATGCACACATCCCAAAGCAGTTTCTGAGAATGATTCCGTCTATTTTTTCTACGAAGATATTTCCTTTTCTACCGTTGGCCTCAAAGCGCTTGAAATCTCCACTTGCTAATTCCACGAAAAGAGAGTTTCAAATCTGCTCTGTCTAAAGGAAGGTTCAACTCTGTGAGTTGAATACACACCACAAAAAGAAGTTACTGAGAATTCTTCTGTCTAGCATTATATGAAAAATCCCGTTTCCAACGAAGGCCACAAAGAGGTCCAAATATCCACTTGCAGATTCTGCAAAAAGAGTGTTTCCAAACTGCTCTATGAAAAGAAACGTTAAACTCTGTGAGTTGAACGCAAACATCACAAAGTAGTTTCTGAGAATGACTCCGTCTAGTTTTTATACGAAGATATTTCCTTTTCTACCGTTGGCCTCAAAGCGCTTGAAGTCTCCCCCTGAAAATTCCACAAAAAGTGTTTCCAATCTGCTCCGCCTAAAGGAAGCTTCAGCTCTGTTAGTTGAATACCCACAACACAAAGAAGTTACTGAGAATTCTTCTGTCTAGCATTACATGAAGAAATCCCGTTTCCAACGAAGGCCTCAAATACATCCAGATATCCAGTTGCTGACTTTACAAACTGAGTGTTTCCAAACTGCTCTATGAAAAGAAAGGTTAAACACTGTGAGTTGAACACACACGTACCAAAGTAGTTTCTGAGAATGATTCTGTCTAGTTTGCATACGAAGATATTTCCTTTTCTACCATTGGCCTCAAAGCTTTGAAATCTCCACTTGCAAATTCCACAAAAAGAGAGTTTCAACTCTGCTGTTTCTAAAGGAAAGTTCAACTCTGAGAGTTGAATACACACCAGAAAAAGCAGTTACTGAGAAGTCTTCTGTCTAGCATTATATGAAGAAATCCCATTTCCAACGAAGACTTCAAAGAGGTCCAAATATCCACTTGCAGATTCTGCAAAAAGAGTGTTTCGAAACAACTGTATGAAAAGAAAGGTTAAACACTGTGAGTTGAACGCACACATTGCAAAGCAGTTTCTGAGAATGATTCCGTCTAATTATTATACGAAGGTATTTCCTTTTCTATCATTGGCCTCAAAGCGCTTGATACCTCCACCTGAAAATTCCACAAAAAGAGTGTTTCCAATCTACTCTGTCTAAAGGAACGTTCAACTCTGTGAGTTGAATACACACACACAGAAAGAATTCACTGAGAATTCTTCTGTCTGGCATTACATGAAGAAATCCCGTTTCCAACGAAGGCCTCAAAGAGGTCCAAATATCCACTTGCAGATTCTGCAAAAAGAGTGTTTCAAAACCGCTCCATTAAAAGGAATGTTGAACTCTGTGAGTTGAATGGAAACATCACAACTCAGTTGCTGAGAATGCTTCTGACTAGATTTTATGGTAAGATATTTCCTTTTCTACCGTAGGCTTCAATGCCCTCTAAATACACCCTTGCAAATTCTACAAAGAGACTGTTTCATAACTGCTCTATAGGAAGAAAGGTTGAACTCTGTGAGTTGAATGCAGAGATCACAACGTGGTTTCTGCGAATGATTTCTTTGTAGTTTTTACATGAAGATATATCGTTGTCTACCGTAGGCTTCAAAGCACTCAAAGTATTCACTTGGAACTTTTACAAAAAGAGTGTTAGAAAACTGCTCTTTCCAAAGTAAGGTTCAACTCTGTGAGTTGAATGCACACATAACAAACAAGAAGTTTCTGAGAATTCTTCTGTCCTGGTTTATATGAAAAAATCCCGTTTCCAACGAAGGCCTCAAAGACGTTTAAATATCCACTTGCAGACTTCACAAACAGAGTGTTTCCAAACTGGTCTATGAAAAGAAAGGTTAAACTCTGTGAGTTGAACGCACACATCACAAAGTAGTTTCTGAGAATGATACTGTCCAGTTTTTATACGAAGAGATTTCCTTTCCTACCATTGGCGTCAAAGCGCTAGAATTCTCCACTTGCAAATTCCACAAAAAGAGAGTTTCCAATCTGCTCTGCCTAAAGGCAGGTTCAACTCTGTGAGTTGAATACACACACACAAGGAAGCTACTGAGAATTCTTTTGTCAAGAATTATAAGAAGAAATCCCGTTTTCAACGAAGGCCTCAAAGAGTTCCAAATATCCACTTGCACACTGTACAAACTAAGTCTTTCCAAACTGCTCTATGCAAAGAAATGTTCAACTCTGTGAGTTTAATGCACACATCACAAAGCAGTTTCTGAGAATGATACTGTCTAGTTTTTATACGAAGATATTTCCTTTTGTACCATTGGCCTCATACTGCTAGAATTTTCCACTTGCAAATTCCACAAAAAGAGGGTTTCCAATCCGCTCTGTCTAAAGGAAGGTTCAACTCTCTGATTTGAATACATACATCCCAAAAGAAGTTACTGAGAATTCTTCTGTCTAGCATTATGTGAAGAAATCCCGTTTCCAACGAAAGCCTCAAAGAGGTCCAAATATCCAGTTGCAGAATTTACAAACTGACTGTTTCCAAACTCATCTATGAAAAGAAAGGTTAAACTCTGGGAGTTGAATGCACATATCACAAAGTAGTTCCTGAGAATGATTCTGTCTAGTTTTCATACGAAGATATTTCCTTTTCCACCAATGGCCTCAAAGTGCTTGAAATCTCCCCTTGCAAATTCCACAGACAAGTGTTTCAAATCTGCACTGTCTAAAGGAAGGTTCAACCCTGTGAGTTGAATACACACACACAGAAAAAAATTCACTGAGAATTCTATTGTCTATCATTACACGAAGAAATCCCGTTTACTACGAAGGCCTCAAAGAGGTCCAAATATCCAGCTGCAGACATTACAAACTGAGTGTTTCCAAAGTGCTCTATGAAAAGAAGTGTTAAACACTGTGAGTTCAATGCACACATCCCAAAGCAGTTTCTGAGAATGATTCCGTCTATTTTTTCTACGAAGATATTTCCTTTTCTGCCGTTGGCCTCAAAGCGCTTGAAATCTCCACTTGCAAATTCCACAAAAAGAGAGTTTCAAATCTGCTCTGTCTAAAGGAAGGTTCAACTCTGTGAGTTGAATACACACCACAAAAAGAAGTTACTGAGAATTCTTCTGTCTAGCATTATATGAAAAATCCCGTTTCCAACGAAGGCCACAAAGAGGTCCAAATATCCACTTGCAGATTCTGCAAAAAGAGTGTTTCCAAACTGCTCTATGAAAAGAAACGTTAAACTCTGTGAGTTGAACGCAAACATCACAAAGTAGTTTCTGAGAATGACTCCGTCTAGTTTTTATACGAAGATATTTCCTTTCCTACCATTCACTTCAAAGCGCTTGAAGTCTCCCCCTGAAAATTCCACAAAAAGTGTTTCCAATCTGCTCCGCCTAAAGGAAGCTTCAACTCTGTGAGTTGAATACCCACAACCCAAAGAAGTTACTGAGAATTCTTCTGTCTAGCATTATATGAAGAAATCCCGTTTCCAACGAAGGCCTCAAATACATCCAAATATCCAGTTGCTGACTTTACAAACTGAGTGTTTCCAAACTGCTCTATGAAAAGAAAGGTTAAACACTGTGAGTTGAACACACACGTACCAAAGTAGTTTCTGAGAATGATTCTGTCTAGTTTGCATACGAAGATATTTCCTTTTCTACCATTGGCCTCAAAGCTCCGAAATCTCCACTTGCAAATTCCACAAAAAGAGAGTTTCAAATCTGCTGTTTCTAAAGGAAAGTTCAACTCTGAGAGTTGAATACACACCAGAAAAAGCAGTTACTGAGAAGTCTTCTGTCTAGCATTATATGAAGAAATCCCATTTCCAACGAAGACTTCAAAGAGGTCCAAATATCCACTTGCAGATTCTGCAAAAAGAGTGTTTCGAAACAACTGTATGAAAAGAAAGGTTAAACACTGTGAGTTGAACGCACACATTGCAAAGCAGTTTCTGAGAATGATTCCGTCTAATTATTATACGAAGGTATTTCCTTTTCTATCATTGGCCTCAAAGCGCTTGATACCTCCACCTGAAAATTCCACAAAAAGAGTGTTTCCAATCTACTCTGTCTAAAGGAACGTTCAACTCTGTGAGTTGAATACACACACACAGAAAGAATTCACTGAGAATTCTTCTGTCTGGCATTACATGAAGAAATCCCGTTTCCAACGAAGGCCTCAAAGAGGTCCAAATATCCACTTGCAGATTCTGCAAAAAGAGTGTTTCAAAACCGCTCCATGAAAAGGAATGTTGAACTCTGTGAGTTGAATGCAAACATCACAACTCAGTTTCTGAGAATGCTTCTGACTAGATTTTATGGTAAGATATTTCCTTTTCTACCGTAGGCTTCAATGCCCTCTAAATACACCCTTGCAAATTCTACAAAGAGACTGTTTCATAACTGCTCTATAGGAAGAAAGGTTCAACTCTGTGAGTTGAATGCAGAGATCACAACGTGGTTTCTGCGATTGATTCTTTGTAGTTTTTACATGAAGATATTTCGTTGTCAACCGTAGGCTTCAAAGCACTCAAAGTATTCACTTGGAACTTTTACAAAAAGAGTGTTAGAAAACTGCTCTTTCCAAAGTAAGGTTCAACTCTGTGAGTTGAATGCACACATAACAATCAAGAAGTTTCTGAGAATTCTTCTGTCCTGGTTTATATGAAAATATCCCGTTTCCAACGAAGGCCTCAAAGACGTTTAAATATCCACTTGCAGACTTCACAAACAGAGTGTTTCCAAACTGCTCTATGAAAAGAAAGGTTAAACTCTGTGAGTTGAACGCACACATCACAAAGTAGTTTCTGAGAATGATACTGTCTAGTTTTTATACGAAGATATTTCCTTTCTACCATTGGCGTCAAAGCGCTAGAATTCTCCACTTGCAAATTCCACAAAAAGAGTGTTTCCAATCTGCTCTGTCTCAAGGAAGGTTCAACTCTGTGAGTTGAATACACACACACAAAGAAGCTACTGAGAATTCTTTTGTCAAGAATTATAAGAAGAAATCCCGTTTCCAACGAAGGCCTCAAAGAGTTCCAAATATCCACTTGCACACTGCACAAACTAAGTCTTTCCAAACTGCTCTATGCAAAGAAATGTTCAACTCTGTGAGTTTAATACACACATCACAAAGCAGTTTCTGAGAATGATACTGTCTAGTTTTTATACGAAGATATTTCCTTTTGTACCATTGGCCTCATACTGCTAGAATTTTCCACTTGCAAATTCCACAAAAAGAGTGTTTCCAATCCGCTCTGTCTAAAGGAAGGTTCAACTCTCTGATTTGAATACATACATCCCAAAAGAAGTTACTGAGAATTCTTCTGTCTAGCATTATGTGAAGAAATCCCGTTTCCAACGAAAGCCTCAAAGAGGTCCAAATATCCAGTTGCAGAATTTACAAACTGTTTCCAAACTCATCTATGAAAAGAAAGGTTAAACTCTGTGAGTTGAATGCACATATCACAAAGTAGTTCCTGAGAATGATTCTGTCTAGTTTTTATACGAAGATATTTCCTTTTCCACCAATGGCCTCAAAGTGCTTGAAATCTCCCCTTGCAAATTCCACAGAAAAGTGTTTCAAATCTGCACTGTCTGAAGGAAGGTTCAACCCTGTGAGTTGAATACACACACACAGAAAAAAATTCACTGAGAATTCTATTGTCTATCATTACACGAAGAAATCCCGTTTACTACGAAGGCCTCAAAGAGGTCCAAATATCCAGCTGCAGACATTAGAAACTGAGTGTTTCCAAAGTGCTCTATGAAAAGAAGTGTTAAACACTGTGAGTTCAATGCACACATCCCAAAGCAGTTTCTCAGAATGATTCCGTCTATTTTTTCTACGAAGATATTTCCTTTTCTACCGTTGGCCTCAAAGCGTTTGAAATCTCCACTTGCAAATTCCACGAAAAGAGAGTTTCAAATCTGCTCTGTCTAAAGGAAGGTTCAACTCTGTGAGTTGAATACACACCACAAAAAGAAGTTACTGAGAATTCTTCTGTCTAGCATTATATGAAAAATCCCGTTTCCAACGAAGGCCACAAAGAGGTCCAAATATCCACTTGCCGATTCTGCAAAAAGAGTGTTTCCAAACTGCTCTATGAAAAGAAACGTTAAACTCTGTGAGTTGAACGCAAACATCACAAAGTAGTTTCTGAGAATGACTCCGTCTAGTTTTTATACGAAGATATTTCCTTTTCTACCGTTGGCCTCAAAGCGCTTGAAGTCTCCCCCTGAAAATTCCACAAAAAGTGTTTCCAATCTGCTCCGCCTAAAGGAAGCTTCAACTCTGTGAGTTGAATACCCACAACACAAAGAAGTTACTGAGAATTCTTCTGTCTAGCATTATATGAAGAAATCCCGTTTCCAACGAAGGCCTCAAATACATCCAAATATCCAGTTGCTGACTTTACAAACTGAGTGTTTCCAAACTGCTCTATGAAAAGAAAGGTTAAACACTGTGAGTTGAACACACACGTACCAAAGTAGTTTCTGAGAATGATTCTGTCTAGTTTGCATACGAAGATATTTCCTTTTCTACCATTGGCCTCAAAGCTCTGAAATCTCCACTTGCAAATTCCACAAAAAGAGAGTTTCAAATCTGCTGTTTCTAAAGGAAAGTTCAACTCTGAGAGTTGAATACACACCAGAAAAAGCAGTTACTGAGAAGTCTTCTGTCTAGCATTATATGAAGAAATCCCATTTCCAAAGAAGACTTCAAACAGGTCCAAATATCCACTTGCAGATTCTGCAAAAAGAGTGTTTCGAAACAACTGTATGAAAAGAAAGGTTAAACACTGTGAGTTGAACGCACCCATTGCAAAGCATTTTCTGAGAATGATTCCGTCTAATTATTATACGAAGGTATTTCCTTTTCTATCATGGGCCTCAAAGCGCTTGATACCTCCACCTGAAAATTCCACAAAAAGAGTGTTTCCAATCTACTCTGTCTAAAGGAACGTTCAACTCTGTGAGTTGAATACACACACACAGAAAGAATTCACTGAGAATTCTTCTGTCTGGCATTACATGAAGAAATCCCGTTTTCAACGAAGGCCTCAAAGAGGTCCAAATATCCACTTGCAGATTCTGCAAAAAGAGTGTTTCAAAACCGCTCCATGAAAAGGAATGTTGAACTCTGTGAGTTGAATGCAAACATCACAACTCAGTTTCTGAGAATGCTTCTGACTAGATTTTATGGTAAGATATTTCCTTTTCTACCGTAGGCTTCAATGCCCTCTAAATACACCCTTGCAAATTCTACAAAGAGACTGTTTCATAACTGCTCTATAGGAAGAAAGGTTCAACTCTGTGAGTTGAATGCAGAGATCACAACGTGGTTTCTGCGAATGATTCTTTGTAGTTTTTACATGAAGATATTTCGTTGTCAACCGTAGGCTTCAAAGCACTCAAAGTATTCACTTGGAACTTTTACAAAAAGAGTGTTAGAAAACTGCTCTTTCCAAAGTAAGGTTCAACTCTGTGAGTTGAATGCACACATAACAATCAAGAAGTTTCTGAGAATTCTTCTGTCCTGGTTTATATGAACAAATCCCGTTTCCAACGAAGGCCTCAAAGACGTTTAAATATCCACTTGCAGACTTCACAAACAGAGTGTTTCCAAACTGCTCTATGAAAAGAAAGGTTAAACTCTGTGAGTTGAACGCACACATCACAAAGTAGTTTCTGAGAATGATACTGTCTAGTTTTTATACGAAGATATTTCCTTTCTACCATTGGCGTCAAAGCGCTAGAATTCTCCACTTGCAAATTCCACAAAAAGAGTGTTTCCAATCTGCTCTGTCTAAAGGAAGGTTCAACTCTGTGAGTTGAATACACACACACAAAGAAGCTACTGAGAATTCTTTTGTCAAGAATTATAAGAAGAAATCCCGTTTCCAACGAAGGCCTCAAAGAGTTCCAAATATCCACTTGCACACTGCACAAACTAAGTCTTTCCAAACTGCTCTATGCAAAGAAATGTTCAACTCTGTGAGTTTAATACACACATCACAAAGCAGTTTCTGAGAATGATACTGTCTAGTTTTTATACGAAGATATTTCCTTTTGTACCATTGGCCTCATACTGCTAGAATTTTCCACTTGCAAATTCCACAAAAAGAGTGTTTCCAATCCGCTCTGTCTAAAGGAAGGTTCAACTCTCTGATTTGAATACATACATCCCAAAAGAAGTTACTGAGAATTCTTCTGTCTAGCATTATGTGAAGAAATCCCGTTTCCAACGAAAGCCTCAAAGAGGTCCAAATATCCAGTTGCAGAATTTACAAACTGACTGTTTCCAAACTCATCTATGAAAAGAAAGGTTAAACTCTGTGAGTTGAATGCACATATCACAAAGTAGTTCCTGAGAATGATTCTGTCTAGTTTTTATACGAAGATATTTCCTTTTCCACCAATGGCCTCAAAGTGCTTGAAATCTCCCCTTGCAAATTCCACAGACAAGTGTTTCAAATCTGCACTGTCTAAAGGAAGGTTCAACCCTGTGAGTTGAATACACACACACAGAAAAAAATTCACTGAGAATTCTATTGTCTATCATTACACGAAGAAATCCCGTTTACTACGAAGGCCTCAAAGAGGTCCAAATATCCAGCTGCAGACATTACAAACTGAGTGTTTCCAAAGTGCTCTATGAAAAGAAGTGTTAAACACTGTGAGTTCAATGCACACATCCCAAAGCAGTTTCTGAGAATGATTCCGTCTATTTTTTCTACGAAGATATTTCCTTTTCTGCCGTTGGCCTCAAAGCGCTTGAAATCTCCACTTGCAAATTCCACAAAAAGAGAGTTTCAAATCTGCTCTGTCTAAAGGAAGGTTCAACTCTGTGAGTTGAATACACACGACAAAAAGAAGTTACTGAGAATTCTTCTGTCTAGCATTATATGAAAAATCCCGTTTCCAACGAAGGCCACAAAGAGGTCCAAATATCCACTTGCAGATTCTGCAAAAAGAGTGTCTCCAAACTGCTCTATGAAAAGAAACGTTAAACTCTGTGAGTTGAACGCAAACATCACAAAGTAGTTTCTGAGAATGACTCCGTCTAGTTTTTATACGAAGATATTTCCTTTTCTACCGTTGGCCTCAAAGCGCTTGAAGTCTCCCCCTGAAAATTCCACAAAAAGTGTTTCCAATCTGCTCCGCCTAAAGGAAGCTTCAACTCTGTGATTTGAATACCCACAACACAAAGAAGTTACTGAGAATTCTTCTGTCTAGCATTATATGAAGAAATCCCGTTTCCAACGAAGGCCTCAAATACATCCAAATATCCAGTTGCTGACTTTACAAACTGAGTGTTTCCAAACTGCTCTATGAAAAGAAAGGTTAAACACTGTGAGTTGAACACACACGTACCAAAGTAGTTTCTGAGAATGATTCTGTCTAGTTTGCATACGAAGATATTTCCTTTTCTACCATTGGCCTCAAAGCTCTGAAATCTCCACTTGCAAATTCCACAAAAAGAGAGTTTCAAATCTGCTGTTTCTAAAGGAAAGTTCAACTCTGAGAGTTGAATACACACCAGAAAAAGCAGTTACTGAGAAGTCTTCTGTCTAGCATTATATGAAGAAATCCCATTTCCAACGAAGACTTCAAAGAGGTCCAAATATCCACTTGCAGATTCTGCAAAAAGAGTGTTTCGAAACAACTGTATGAAAAGAAAGGTTAAACACTGTGAGTTGAACGCACACATTGCAAAGCGGTTTCTGAGAATGATTCCGTCTAATTATTATACGAAGGTATTTCCTTTTCTATCATTGGCCTCAAAGCGCTTGATACCTCCACCTGAAAATTCCACAAAAAGAGTGTTTCCAATCTACTCTGTCTAAAGGAACGTTCAACTCTGTGAGTTGAATACACACACACAGAAAGAATTCACTGAGAATTCTTCTGTCTGGCATTACATGAAGAAATCCCGTTTCCAACGAAGGCCTCAAAGAGGTCCAAATATCCACTTGCAGATTCTGCAAAAAGAGTGTTTCAAAACCGCTCCATTAAAAGGAATGTTGAACTCTGTGAGTTGAATGGAAACATCACAACTCAGTTGCTGAGAATGCTTCTGACTAGATTTTATGGTAAGATATTTCCTTTTCTACCGTAGGCTTCAATGCCCTCTAAATACACCCTTGCAAATTCTACAAAGAGACTGTTTAATAACTGCTCTATAGGAAGAAAGGTTGAACTCTGTGAGTTGAATGCAGAGATCACAACGTGGTTTCTGCGAATGATTCTTTGTAGTTTTTACATGAAGATATTTCGTTGTCAACCGTAGGCTTCAAAGCACTCAAAGTATTCACTTGGAACTTTTACAAAAAGAGTGTTAGAAAACTGCTCTTTCCAAAGTAAGGTTCAACTCTGTGAGTTGAATGCACACATAACAATCAAGAAGTTTCTGAGAATTCTTCTGTCCTGGTTTATATGAAAAAATCCCGTTTCCAACGAAGGCCTCAAAGACGTTTAAATATCCACTTGCAGACTTCACAAACAGAGGGTTTCCAAACCGCTCTATGAAAAGAAAGGTTAAACTCTGTGAGTTGAACGCACACATCACAAAGTAGCTTCTGAGAATGATACTGTCTAGTTTTTATACGAAGATATTTCCTTTCTACCATTGGCGTCAAAGCGCTAGAATTCTCCACTTGCAAATTCCACAAAAAGAGTGTTTCCAATCTGCTCTGTCTCAAGGCAGGTTTCAACTCTGTGAGTTGAATACACACACACAAAGAAGCTACTGAGAATTCTTTTGTCAAGAATTATAAGAAGAAATCCCGTTTCCAACGAAGGCCTCAAAGAGTTCCAAATATCCACTTGCACACTGCACAAACTAAGTCTTTCCAAACTGCTCTATGCAAAGAAATGTTCAACTCTGTGAGTTTAATACACACATCACAAAGCAGTTTCTGAGAATGATACTGTCTAGTTTTTATACGAAGATATTTCCTTTTGTACCATTGGCCTCATACTGCTAGAATTTTCCACTTGCAAATTCCACAAAAAGAGTGTTTCCAATCCGCTCTGTCTAAAGGAAGGTTCAACTCTCTGAGTTGAATACATACATCCCAAAAGAAGTTACTGAGAATTCTTCTGTCTAGCATTATGTGAAGAAATCCCGTTTCCAACGAAAGCCTCAAAGAGGTCCAAATATCCAGTTGCAGAATTTACAAACTGACTGTTTCCAAACTCATCTATGAAAAGAAAGGTTAAACTCTGTGAGTTGAATGCACATATCACAAAGTAGTTCCTGAGAATGATTCTGTCTAGTTTTCATACGAAGATATTTCCTTTTCCACCAATGGCCTCAAAGTGCTTGAAATCTCCCCTTGCAAATTCCACAGACAAGTGTTTCAAATCTGCACTGTCTAAAGGAAGGTTCAACCCTGTGAGTTGAATACACACACACAGAAAAAAATTCACTGAGAATTCTATTGTCTATCATTACACGAAGAAATCCCGTTTACTACGAAGGCCTCAAAGAGGTCCAAATATCCAGCTGCAGACATTTCAAACTGAGTGTTTCCAAAGTGCTCTATGAAAAGAAGTGTTAAACACTGTGAGTTCAATGCACACATCCCAAAGCAGTTTCTGAGAATGATTCCGTCTATTTTTTCTACGAAGATATTTCCTTTTCTACCGTTGGCCTCAAAGCGCTTGAAATCTCCACTTGCAAATTCCACGAAAAGAGAGTTTCAAATCTGCTCTGTCTAAAGGAAGGTTCAAATCTGTGAGTTGAATACACACCACAAAAAGAAGTTACTGAGAATTTTTCTGTCTAGCATTATATGAAAAATCCCGTTTCCAACGAAGGCCACAAAGAGGTCCAAATATCCACTTGCAGATTCTGCAAAAAGAGTGTTTCCAAACTGCTCTATGAAAAGAAACGTTAAACTCTGTGAGTTGAACGCAAACATCACAAAGTAGTTTCTGAGAATGACTCCGTCTAGTTTTTATACGAAGATATTTCCTTTCCTACCATTCACTTCAAAGCGCTTGAAGTCTCCCCCTGAAAATTCCACAAAAAGTGTTTCCAATCTGCTCCGCCTAAAGGAAGCTTCAACACTGTGAGTTGAATACCCACAACCCAAAGAAGTTACTGAGAATTCTTCTGTCTAGCATTATATGAAGAAATCCCGTTTCCAACGAAGGCCTCAAATACATCCAAATATCCAGTTGCTGACTTTACAAACTGAGTGTTTCCAAACTGCTCTATGAAAAGAAAGGTTAAACACTGTGAGTTGAACACACACGTACCAAAGTAGTTTCTGAGAATGATTCTGCCTAGTTTGCATACGAAGATATTTCCTTTTCTACCATTGGCCTCAAAGCTCTGAAATCTCCACTTGCAAATTCCACAAAAAGAGAGTTTCAAATCTGCTGTTTCTAAAGGAAAGTTCAACTCTGAGAGTTGAATACACACCAGAAAAAGCAGTTACTGAGAAGTCTTCTGTCTAGCATTATATGAAGAAATCCCATTTCCAACGAAGACTTCAAAGAGGTCCAAATATCCACTTGCAGATTCTGCAAAAAGAGTGTTTCGAAACAACTGTATGAAAAGAAAGGTTAAACACTGTGAGTTGAACGCACACATTGCAAAGCAGTTTCTGAGAATGATTCCGTCTAATTATTATACGAAGGGTATTTCCTTTTCTATCATTGGCCTCAAAGCGCTTGATACCTCCACCTGAAAATTCCACAAAAAGAGTGTTTCCAATCTACTCTGTCTAAAGGAACGTTCAACTCCGTGAGTTGAATACACACACACAGAAAGAATTCACTGAGAATTCTTCTGTCTGGCATTACCTGAAGAAATCCCGTTTCCAACGAAGGTCTCAAAGAGGTCCAAATATCCACTTGCAGATTCTGCAAAAAGAGTGTTTCAAAACCGCTCCATGAAAAGGAATGTTGAACTCTGTGAGTTGAATGCAAACATCACAACTCAGTTTCTGAGAATGCTTCTGACTAGATTTTATGGTAAGATATTTCCTTTTCTACCGTAGGCTTCAATGCCCTCTAAATACACCCTTGCAAATTCTACAAAGAGACTGTTTCATAACTGCTCTATAGGAAGAAAGGTTCAACTCTGTGAGTTGAATGCAGAGATCACAACGTGGTTTCTGCGAATGATTCTTTGTAGTTTTTACATGAAGATATTTCGTTGTCAACCGTAGGCTTCAAAGCACTCAAAGTATTCACTTGGAACTTTTACAAAAAGAGTGTTAGAAAACTGCTCTTTCCAAAGTAAGGTTCAACTCTGTGAGTTGAATGCACACATAACAATCAAGAAGTTTCTGAGAATTCTTCTGTCCTGGTTTATATGAAGAAATCCCGTTTCCAACGCAGGCCTCAACGACGTTTAAATATCCACTTGCAGACTTCACAAACAGAGGGTTTCCAAACTGCTCTATGAAAAGAAAGGATAAACTCTGTGAGTTGAACGCACACATCACAAAGTAGCTTCTGAGAATGATACTGTCTAGTTTTTATACGAAGATATTTCCTTTCTACCATTGGCGTCAAAGCGCTAGAATTCTCCACTTGCAAATTCCACAAAAAGAGTGTTTCCAATCTGCTCTGTCTAAAGGAAGGTTCAACTCTGTGAGTTGAATACACACACACAAAGAAGCTACTGAGAATTCTTTTGTCAAGAATTATAAGAAGAAATCCCGTTTCCAACGAAGGCCTCAAAGAGTTCCAAATATCCACTTGCACACTGCACAAACTAAGTCTTTCCAAACTGCTCTATGCAAAGAAATGTTCAACTCTGTGAGTTTAATACACACATCACAAAGCAGTTTCTGAGAATGATACTGTCTAGTTTTTATACGAAGATATTTCCTTTTGTACCATTGGCCTCATACTGCTAGAATTTTCCACTTGCAAATTCCACAAAAAGAGTGTTTCCAATCCGCTCTGTCTAAAGGAAGGTTCAACTCTCTGATTTGAATACATACATCCCAAAAGAAGTTACTGAGAATTCTTGTCTAGCATTATGTGAAGAAATCCCGTTTCCAACGAAAGCCTCAAAGAGGTCCAAATATCCAGTTGCAGAATTTACAAACTGACTGTTTCCAAACTCATCTATGAAAAGAAAGGTTAAACTCTGTGAGTTGAATGCACATATCACAAAGTAGTTCCTGAGAATGATTCTGTCTAGTTTTTATACGAAGTTATTTCCTTTTCCACCAATGGCCTCAAAGTGCTTGAAATCTCCCCTTGCAAATTCCACAGACAAGTGTTTCAAATCTGCACTGTCTAAAGGAAGGTTCAACCCTGTGAGTTGAATACACACACACAGAAAAAAATTCACTGAGAATTCTATTGTCTATCATTACACGAAGAAATCCCGTTTACTACGAAGGCCTCAAAGAGGTCCAAATATCCAGCTGCAGACATTACAACCTGAGTGTTTCCAAAGTGCTCTATGAAAAGAAGTGTTAAACACTGTGAGTTCAATGCACACATCCCAAAGCAGTTTCTGAGAATGATTCCGTCTATTTTTTCTACGAAGATATTTCCTTTTCTGCCGTTGGCCTCAAAGCGCTTGAAATCTCCACTTGCAAATTCCACAAAAAGAGAGTTTCAAATCTGCTCTGTCTAAAGGAAGGTTCAACTCTGTGAGTTGAATACACACCACAAAAAGAAGTTACTGAGAATTCTTCTGTCTAGCATTATATGAAAAATCCCGTTTCCAACGAAGGCCACAAAGAGGTCCAAATATCCACTTGCAGATTCTGCAAAAAGAGTGTTTCCAAACTGCTCTATGAAAAGAAACGTTAAACTCTGTGAGTTGAACGCAAACATCACAAAGTAGTTTCTGAGAATGACTCCGTCTAGTTTTTATACGAAGATATTTCCTTTTCTACCGTTGGCCTCAAAGCGCTTGAAGTCTCCCCCTGAAAATTCCACAAAAAGTGTTTCCAATCTGCTCCGCCTAAAGGAAGCTTCAACTCTGTGAGTTGAATACCCACAACACAAAGAAGTTACTGAGAATTCTTCTGTCTAGCATTATATGAAGAAATCCCGTTTCCAACGAAGGCCTCAAATACATCCAAATATCCAGTTGCTGACTTTACAAACTGAGTGTTTCCAAACTGCTCTATGAAAAGAAAGGTTAAACACTGTGAGTTGAACACACACGTACCAAAGTAGTTTCTGAGAATGATTCTGTCTAGTTTGCATACGAAGATATTTCCTTTTCTACCATTGGCCTCAAAGCTTTGAAATCTCCACTTGCAAATTCCACAAAAAGAGAGTTTCAAATCTGCTGTTTCTAAAGGAAAGTTCAACTCTGAGAGTTGAATACACACCAGAAAAAGCAGTTACTGAGAAGTCTTCTGTCTAGCATTATATGAAGAAATCCCATTTCCAACGAAGACTTCAAAGAGGTCCAAATATCCACTTGCAGGTTCTGCAAAAAGAGTGTATCGAAACAACTGTATGAAAAGAAAGGTTAAACGCTGTGAGTTGAAGGCACACATTGCAAAGCAGTTTCTGAGAATGATTCCGTCTAATTATTATACGAAGGTATTTCCTTTTCTATCATTGGCCTCAAAGCGCTTGATACCTCCACCTGAAAATTCCACAAAAAGAGTGTTTCCAATCTACTCTGTCTAAAGGAACGTTCAACTCTGTGAGTTGAATACACACACACAGAAAGAATTCACTGAGAATTCTTCTGTCTGGCATTACATGAAGAAATCCCGTTTCCAACGAAGGCCTCAAAGAGGTCCAAATATCCACTTGCAGATTCTGCAAAAAGAGTGTTTCAAAACCGCTCCATTAAAAGGAATGTTGAACTCTGTGAGTTGAATGCAAACATCACAACTCAGTTTCTGAGAATGCTTCTGACTAGATTTTATGGTAAGATATTTCCTTTTCTACCGTAGGCTTCAATGCCCTCTAAATACACCCTTGCAAATTCTACAAAGAGACTGTTTCATAACTGCTCTACAGGAAGAAAGGTTCAACTCTGTGAGTTGAATGCAGAGATCACAACGTGGTTTCTGCGAATGATTCTTTGTAGTTTTTACATGAAGATATTTCGTTGTCAACCGTAGGCTTCAAAGCACTCAAAGTATTCACTTGGAACTTTTACAAAAAGAGTGTTAGAAAACTGCTCTTTCCAAAGTAAGGTTCAACTCTGTGAGTTGAATGCACACATAACAATCAAGAAGTTTCTGAGAATTCTTCTGTCCTGGTTTATATGAAGAAATCCCGTTTCCAACGAAGGCCTCAAAGACGTTTAAATATCCACTTGCAGACTTCACAAACAGAGTGTTTCCAAACTGCTCTATGAAAAGAAAGGGTAAATACTGTGAGTTGAACGCACACCTCACAAAGTAGTTTCTGAGAATGATACTGTCTAGTTTTTATACGAAGATATTTCCTTTTGTACCATTGGCCTCATACTGCTAGAATTTTCCACTTGCAAATTCCACAAAAAGAGTGTTTCCAATCTGCTCTGTCTAAAGGAAGGTTCAACTCTGTGAGTTGAGTACACACACACAAAGAAGCTACTGAGAATTCTTTTGTCAAGAATTATAAGAAGAAATCCCGTTTCCAACGAAGGCCTCAAAGAGTTCCAAATATCCACTTGCACACTGCACAAACTAAGTCTTTCCAAACTGCTCTATGCAAAGAAATGTTCAACTCTGTGAGTTTAATACACACATCACAAAGCAGTTTCTGAGAATGATACTGTCTAGTTTTTATACGAAGATATTTCCTTTTGTACCATTGGCCTCATACTGCTAGAATTTTCCACTTGCAAATTCCACAAAAAGAGTGTTTCCAATCCGCTCTGTCTAAAGGAAGGTTCAACTCTCTGATTTGAATACATACATCCCAAAAGAAGTTACTGAGAATTCTTCTGTCTAGCATTATGTGAAGAAATCCCGTTTCCAACGAAAGCCTCAAAGAGGCCCAAATATCCAGTTGCAGCATTTACAAACTGACTGTTTCCAAACTCATCTATGAAAAGAAAGGTTAAACTCTGTGAGTTGAATGCACATATCACAAAGTAGTTCCTGAGAATGATTCTGTCTAGTTTTTATACGCAGATATTTCCTTTTCCACCAATGGCCTCAAAGTGCTTGAAATCTCCCCTTGCAAATTCCACAGACAAGTGTCTCAAATCTGCACTGTCTAAAGGAAGGTTCAACCCTGTGAGTTGAATACACACACACAGAAAAAAATTCACTGAGAATTCTATTGTCTATCATTACCCGAAGAAATCCCGTTTACTACGAAGGCCTCAAAGAGGTCCAAATATCCAGCTGCAGACATTACAAACTGAGTGTTTCCAAAGTGCTCTATGAAAAGAAGTGTTAAACACTGTGAGTTCAATGCACACATCCCAAAGCAGTTTCTGAGAATGATTCCGTCTATTTTTTCTACGAAGATATTTCCTTTTCTGCCGTTGGCCTCAAAGCGCTTGAAATCTCCACTTGCAAATTCCACAAAAAGAGAGTTTCAAATCTGCTCTGTCTAAAGGAAGGTTCAACTCTGTGAGTTGAATACACACCACAAAAAGAAGTTACTGAGAATTCTTCTGTCTAGCATTATATGAAAAATCCCGTTTCCAACGAAGGCCACAAAGAGGTCCAAATATCCACTTGCAGATTCTGCAAAAAGAGTGTTTCCAAACTGCTCTATGAAAAGAAACGTTAAACTCTGTGAGTTGAACGCAAACATCACAAAGTAGTTTCTGAGAATGACTCCGTCTAGTTTTTATACGAAGATATTTCCTTTTCTACCATTCACTTCAAAGCGCTTGAAGTCTCCCCCTGAAAATTCCACAAAAAGTGTTTCCAATCTGCTCCGCCTAAAGGAAGCTTCAACTCTGTGAGTTGAATACCCACAACCCAAAGAAGTTACTGAGAATTCTTCTGTCTAGCATTATATGAAGAAATCCCGTTTCCAACGAAGGCCTCAAATACATCCAGATATCCAGTTGCTGACTTTACAAACTGAGTGTTTCCAAATTGCTCTATGAAAGGAAAGGTTGAACACTGTGAGTTGAACACACACGTACCAAAGTAGTTTCTGAGAATGATTCTGTCTAGTTTGCATACGAAGTTATTTCCTTTTCTACCATTGGCCTCAAAGCTCTGAAATCTCCACTTGCAAATTCCACAAAAAGAGAGTTTCAAATCTGCTGTTTCTAAAGGAAAGTTCAACTCTGAGAGTTGAATACACACCAGAAAAAGCAGTTACTGAGAAGTCTTCTGTCTAGCATTATATGAAGAAATCCCATTTCCAACGAAGACTTCAAAGAGGTCCAAATATCCACTTGCAGATTCTGCAAAAAGAGTGTTTCGAAACAACTGTATGAAAAGAAAGGTTAAACACTGTGAGTTGAACGCACACATTGCAAAGCAGTTTCTGAGAATGATTCCGTCTAATTATTATACGAAGGTATTTCCTTTTCTATCATTGGCCTCAAAGCGCTTGATACCTCCACCTGAAAATTCCACAAAAAGAGTGTTTCCAATCTACTCTGTCTAAAGGAACGTTCAACTCTGTGAGTTGAATACACACACACAGAAAGAATTCACTGAGAATTCTTCTGTCTGGCATTACATGAAGAAATCCCGTTTCCAACGAAGGCCTCAAAGAGGTCCAAATATCCACTTGCAGATTCTGCAAAAAGAGTGTTTCAAAACCGCTCCATTAAAAGGAATGTTGAACTCTGTGAGTTGAATGCAAACATCACAACTCAGTTTCTGAGAATGCTTCTGACTAGATTTTATGGTAAGATATTTCCTTTTCTACCGTAGGCTTCAATGCCCTGTAAACACACCCTTGCAAATTCTACAAAGAGACTGCTTCATAACTGCTCTATAGGAGGAAAGGTTCAACTCTGTGAGTTGAATGCAGAGATCACAACGTGGTTTCTGCGAATGATTCTTTGTAGTTTTTACATGAAGATATTTCGTTGTCAACCGTAGGCTTCAAAGCACTCAAAGTATTCACTTGGAACTTTTACAAAAAGAGTGTTAGAAAACTGCTCTTTCCAAAGTAAGGTTCAACTCTGTGAGTTGAATGCACACATAACAATCAAGAAGTTTCTGAGAATTCTTCTGTCCTGGTTTATATGAAAAAATCCCGTTTCCAACGAAGGCCTCAAAGACGTTTAAATATCCACTTGCAGACTTCACAAACAGAGGGTTTCCAAACTGCTCTATGAAAACAAAGGTTAAACTCTGTGAGTTGAACGCACACATCACAAAGTAGCTTCTGAG
Organism: Homo sapiens; assembly: GCF_000001405.40. NCBI lineage: Eukaryota > Metazoa > Chordata > Mammalia > Primates > Hominidae > Homo > Homo sapiens. The sequence continues at coordinate 93,373,653 of NC_000003.12, read as the reverse complement.
AATGATACTGTCTAGTTTTTATACGAAGATATTTCCTTTCTACCATTGGCGTCAAAGCGCTAGAATTCTCCACTTGCAAATTCCACAAAAAGAGTGTTTCCAATCTGCTCTGTCTAAAGGAAGGTTCAACTCTGTGAGTTGAATACACACACACAAAGAAGCTACTGAGAATTCTTTTGTCAAGAATTATAAGAAGAAATCCCGTTTCCAACGAAGGCCTCAAAGAGTTCCAAATATCCACTTGCACACTGCACAAACTAAGTCTTTCCAAACTGCTCTATGCAAAGAAATGTTCAACTCTGTGAGTTTAATACACACATCACAAAGCAGTTTCTGAGAATGATACTGTCTAGTTTTTATACGAAGATATTTCCTTTTGTACCATTGGCCTCATACTGCTAGAATTTTCCACTTGCAAATTCCACAAAAAGAGTGTTTCCAATCCGCTCTGTCTAAAGGAAGGTTCAACTCTCTGATTTGAATACATACATCCCAAAAGAAGTTACTGAGAATTCTTCTGTCTAGCATTATGTGAAGAAATCCCGTTTCCAACGAAAGCCTCAAAGAGGTCCAAATATCCAGTTGCAGAATTTACAAACTGACTGTTTCCAAACTCATCTATGAAAAGAAAGGTTAAACTCTGGGAGTTGAATGCACATATCACAAAGTAGTTCCTGAGAATGATTCTGTCTAGTTTTCATACGAAGATATTTCCTTTTCCACCAATGGCCTCAAAGTGCTTGAAATCTCCCCTTGCAAATTCCACAGACAAGTGTTTCAAATCTGCACTGTCTAAAGGATGGTTCAACCCTGTGAGTTGAATACACACACACAGAAAAAAATTCACTGAGAATTCTATTGTCTATCATTACACGAAGAAATCCCGTTTACCACGAAGGCCTCAAAGAGGTCCAAATATCCAGCTGCAGACATTACAAACTGAGTGTTTCCAAAGTGCTCTATGAAAAGAAGTGTTAAACACTGTGAGTTCAATGCACACATCCCAAAGCAGTTTCTGAGAATGATTCCGTCTATTTTTTCTACGAAGATATTTCCTTTTCTGCCGTTGGCCTCAAAGCGCTTGAAATCTCCACTTGCAAATTCCACAAAAAGAGAGTTTCAAATCTGCTCTGTCTAAAGGAAGGTTCAACTCTGTGAGTTGAATACACACCACAAAAAGAAGTTACTGAGAATTCTTCTGTCTAGCATTATATGAAAAATCCCGTTTCCAACGAAGGCCACAAAGAGGTCCAAATATCCACTTGCAGATTCTGCAAAAAGAGTGTTTCCAAACTGCTCTATGAAAAGAAACGTTAAACTCTGTGAGTTGAACGCAAACATCACAAAGTAGTTTCTGAGAATGACTCCGTCTAGTTTTTATACGAAGATATTTCCTTTTCTACCATTCACTTCAAAGCGCTTGAAGTCTCCCCCTGAAAATTCCACAAAAAGTGTTTCCAATCTGCTCCGCCTAAAGGAAGCTTCAACTCTGTGAGTTGAATACCCACAACCCTAAGAAGTTACTGAGAATTCTTCTGTCTAGCATTATATGAAGAAATCCCGTTTCCAACGAAGGCCTCAAATACATCCAAATATCCAGTTGCTGACTTTACAAACTGAGTGTTTCCAAACTGCTCTATGAAAAGAAAGGTTAAACACTGTGAGTTGAACACACACGTACCAAAGTAGTTTCTGAGAATGATTCTGTCTAGTTTGCATACGAAGATATTTCCTTTTCTACCATTGGCCTCAAAGCTCTGAAATCTCCACTTGCAAATTCCACAAAAAGAGAGTTTCAAATCTGCTGTTTCTAAAGGAAAGTTCAACTCTGAGAGTTGAATACACACCAGAAAAAGCAGTTACTGAGAAGTCTTCTGTCTAGCATTATATGAAGATATCCCATTTCCAACGAAGACTTCAAAGAGGCCCAAATATCCACTTGCAGATTCTGCAAAAAGAGTGTTTCGAAACAACTGTATGAAAAGAAAGGTTAAACACTGTGAGTTGAACGCACACATTGCAAAGCAGTTTCTGAAAATGATTCCGTCTAATTATTATACGAAGGTATTTCCTTTTCTATCATTGGCCTCAAAGCGCTTGATACCTCCACCTGAAAATTCCACAAAAAGAGTGTTTCCAATCTACTCTGTCTAAAGGAACGTTCAACTCTGTGAGTTGAATACACACACACAGAAAGAATTCACTGAGAATTCTTCTGTCTGGCATTACATGAAGAAATCCCGTTTCCAACGAAGGCCTCAAAGAGGTCCAAATATCCACTTGCAGATTCTGCAAAAAGAGTGTTTCAAAACCGCTCCATTAAAAGGAATGTTGAACTCTGTGAGTTGAATGCAAACATCACAACTCAGTTGCTGAGAATGCTTCTGACTAGATTTTATGGTAAGATATTTCCTTTTCTACCGTAGGCTTCAATGCCCTCTAAATACACCCTTGCAAATTCTACAAAGAGACTGTTTCACAACTGCTCTATAGGAAGAAAGGTTCAACTCTGTGAGTTGAATGCAGAGATCACAACGTGGTTTCTGCGAATGATTCTTTGTAGTTTTTACATGAAGATATTTCGTTGTCAACCGTAGGCTTCAAAGCACTCAAAGTATTCACTTGGAACTTTTACAAAAAGAGTGTTAGAAAACCGCTCTTTCCAAAGTAAGGTTCAACTCTGTGAGTTGAATGCACACATAACAATCAAGAAGTTTCTGAGAATTCTTCTGTCCTGGTTTATATGAAAAAATCCCGTTTCCAACGAAGGCCTCAAAGACGTTTAAATATCCACTTGCAGACTTCACAAACAGAGGGTTTCCAAACTGCTCTATGAAAAGAAAGGTTAAACTCTGTGAGTTGAACGCACACATCACAAAGTAGCTTCTGAGAATGATACTGTCTAGTTTTTATACGAAGATATTTCCTTTCTACCATTGGCGTCAAAGCGCTAGAATTCTCCACTTGCAAATTCCACAAAAAGAGTGTTTCCAATCTGCTCTGTCTAAAGGAAGGCTCAACTCTGTGAGTTGAATACACACACACAAAGAAGCTACTGAGAATTCTTTTTTCAAGAAATTATAAGAAGAAATCCCGTTTCCAACGAAGGCCTCAAAGAGTTCCAAATATCCACTTGCACACTGCACAAACTAAGTCTTTCCAAACTGCTCTATGCAAAGAAATGTTCAACTCTGTGAGTTTAATACACACATCACAAAGCAGTTTCTGAGAATGATACTGTCTAGTTTTTATACGAAGATATTTCCTTTTGTACCATTGGCCTCATACTGCTAGAATTTTCCACTTGCAAATTCCACAAAAAGAGTGTTTCCAATCCGCTCTGTCTAAAGGAAGGTTCAACTCTCTGATTTGAATACATACATCCCAAAAGAAGTTACTGAGAATTCTTCTGTCTAGCATTATGTGAAGAAATCCCGTTTCCAACGAAAGCCTCAAAGAGGTCCAAATATCCAGTTGCAGAATTTACAAACTGACTGTTTCCAAACTCATCTATGAAAAGAAAGGTTAAACTCTGTGAGTTGAATGCACATATCACAAAGTAGTTCCTGAGAATGATTCTGTCTAGTTTTTATACGAAGATATTTCCTTTTCCACCAATGGCCTCAAAGTGCTTGAAATCTCCCCTTGCAAATTCCACAGACAAGTGTCTCAAATCTGCACTGTCTAAAGGAAGGTTCAACCCTGTGAGTTGAATACACACACACAGAAAAAAATTCACTGAGAATTCTATTGTCTATCATTACACGAAGAAATCCCGTTTACTACGAAGGCCTCAAAGAGGTCCAAATATCCAGCTGCAGACATTCCAAACTGACTGTTTCCAAAGTGCTCTATGAAAAGAAGTGTTAAACACTGTGAGTTCAATGCACACATCCCAAAGCAGTTTCTGAGAATGATTCCGTCTATTTTTTCTACGAAGATATTTCCTTTTCTGCCGTTGGCCTCAAAGCGCTTGAAATCTCCACTTGCAAATTCCACAAAAAGAGAGTTTCAAATCTGCTCTGTCTAAAGGAAGGTTCAACTCTGTGAGTTGAATACACACCACAAAAAGAAGTTACTGAGAATTCTTCTGTCTAGCATTATATGAAAAATCCCGTTTCCAACGAAGGCCACAAAGAGGTCCAAATATCCACTTGCAGATTCTGCAAAAAGAGTGTTTCCAAACTGCTCTATGAAAAGAAACGTTAAACTCTGTGAGTTGAACGCAAACATCACAAAGTAGTTTCTGAGAATGACTCCGTCTAGTTTTTATACGAAGATATTTCCTTTCCTACCATTCACTTCAAAGCGCTTGAAGTCTCCCCCTGAAAATTCCACAAAAAGTGTTTCCAATCTGCTCCGCCTAAAGGAAGCTTCAACTCTGTGAGTTGAATACCCACAACCCAAAGAAGTTACTGAGAATTCTTCTGTCTAGCATTATATGAAGAAATCCCGTTTCCAACGAAGGCCTCAAATACATCCAAATATCCAGTTGCTGACTTTACAAACTGAGTGTTTCCAAACTGCTCTATGAAAAGAAAGGTTAAACACTGTGAGTTGAACACACACGTACCAAAGTAGTTTCTGAGAATGATTCTGTCTAGTTTGCATACGAAGATATTTCCTTTTCTACCATTGGCCTCAAAGCTTTGAAATCTCCGCTTGCAAATTCCACAAAAAGAGAGTTTCAACTCTGCTGTTTCTAAAGGAAAGTTCAACTCTGAGAGTTGAATACACACCAGAAAAAGCAGTTACTGAGAAGTCTTCTGTCTAGCATTATATGAAGAAATCCCATTTCCAACGAAGACTTCAAAGAGGTCCAAATATCCACTTGCAGATTCTGCAAAAAGAGTGTTTCGAAACAACTGTATGAAAAGAAAGGTTAAACACTGTGAGTTGAACGCACACATTGCAAAGCAGTTTCTGAGAATGATTCCGTCTAATTATTATACGAAGGTATTTCCTTTTCTATCATTGGCCTCAAAGCGCTTGATACCTCCACCTGAAAATTCCACAAAAAGAGTGTTTCCAATCTACTCTGTCTAAAGGAACGTTCAACTCTGTGAGTTGAATACACACACACAGAAAGAATTCACTGAGAATTCTTCTGTCTGGCATTACATGAAGAAATCCCGTTTCCAACGAAGGCCTCAAAGAGGTCCAAATATCCACTTGCAGATTCTGCAAAAAGAGTGTTTCAAAACCGCTCCATTAAAAGGAATGTTGAACTCTGTGAGTTGAATGCAAACATCACAACTCAGTTTCTGAGAATGCTTCTGACTCGATTTTATGGTAAGATATTTCCTTTTCTACCGTAGGCTTCAATGCCCTCTAAATACACCCTTGCAAATTCTACAAAGAGACTGTTTCATAACTGCTCTATAGGAAGAAAGGTTGAACTCTGTGAGTTGAATGCAGAGATCACAACGTGGTTTCTGCGAATGATTCTTTGTAGTTTTTACATGAAGATATTTCGTTGTCAACCGTAGGCTTCAAAGCACTCAAAGTATTCACTTGGAACTTTTACAAAAAGAGTGTTAGAAAACTGCTCTTTCCAAAGTAAGGTTCAACTCTGTGAGTTGAATGCACACATAACAATCAAGAAGTTTCTGAGAATTCTTCTGTCCTGGTTTATATGAAGAAATCCCGTTTCCAACGAAGGCCTCAAAGACGTTTAAATATCCACTTGCAGACTTCACAGAGTGTTTCCAAACTGCTCTATGAAAAGAAAGGTTAAACTCTGTGAGTTGAACGCACACATCTCAAAGTAGTTTCTGAGAATGATACTGTCTAGTTTTTATACGAAGATATTTCCTTTCTACCATTGGCGTCAAAGCGCTAGAATTCTCCACTTGCAAATTCCACAAAAAGAGTGTTTCCAATCTGCTCTGTCTAAAGGAAGGTTCAACTCTGTGAGTTGAATACACACACACAAAGAAGCTACTGAGAATTCTTTTGTCAAGAATTATAAGAAGAAATCCCGTTTCCAACGAAGGCCTCAAAGAGTTCCAAATATCCACTTGCACACTGCACAAACTAAGTCTTTCCAAACTGCTCTATGCAAAGAAATGTTCAACTCTGTGAGTTTAATACACACATCACAAAGCAGTTTCTGAGAATGATACTGTCTAGTTTTTATACGAAGATATTTCCTTTTGTACCATTGGCCTCATAATGCTAGAATTTTCCACTTGCAAATTCCACAAAAAGAGTGTTTCCAATCCGCTCTGTCTAAAGGAAGGTTCAACTCTGTGAGTTGAATACACACACACAAAGAAGCTACTGAGAATTCTTTTGTCAAGAATTATAAGAAGAAATCCCGTTTCCAACGAAAGCCTCAAAGAGGTCCAAATATCCAGTTGCAGAATTTACAAACTGACTGTTTCCAAACTCATCTATGAAAAGAAAGGTTAAACTCTGGGAGTTGAATGCACATATCACAAAGTAGTTCCTGAGAATGATTCTGTCTAGTTTTCATACGAAGATATTTCCTTTTCCACCAATGGCCTCAAAGTGCTTGAAATCTCCCCTTGCAAATTCCACAGACAAGTGTTTCAAATCTGCACTGTCTAAAGGAAGGTTCAACCCTGTGAGTTGAATACACACACACAGAAAAAAATTCACTGAGAATTCTATTGTCTATCATTACACGAAGAAATCCCGTTTACTACGAAGGCCTCAAAGAGGTCCAAATATCCAGCTGCAGACATTACAAACTGAGTGTTTCCAAAGTGCTCTATGAAAAGAAGTGTTAAACACTGTGAGTTCAATGCACACATCCCAAAGCAGTTTGCTGAGAATGATTCCGTCTATTTTTTCTACGAAGGATATTTCCCTTTCTGCCGTTGGCCTCAAAGCGCTTGAAATCTCCACTTGCAAATTCCACGAAAAGAGAGTTTCAAATCTGCTCTGTCTAAAGGAAGGTTCAACTCTGTGTCTTGAATACACACCACAAAAAGAAGTTACTGAGAATTCTTCTGTCTAGCATTATATGAAAAATCCCGTTTCCAACGAAGGCCACAAAGAGGTCCAAATATCCACTTGCAGATTCTGCAAAAAGAGTGTTTCCAAACTGCTCTATGAAAAGAAACGTTAAACTCTGTGAGTTGAACGCAAACATCACAAAGTAGTTTCTGAGAATGACTCCGTCTAGTTTTTATACGAAGATATTTCCTTTCCTACCATTCACTTCAAAGCGCTTGAAGTCTCCCCCTGAAAATTCCACAAAAAGTGTTTCCAATCTGCTCCGCCTAAAGGAAGCTTCAACTCTGTGACTTGAATACCCACAACCCAAAGAAGTTACTGAGAATTCTTCTGTCTAGCATTATATGAAGAAATCCCGTTTCCAACGAAGGCCTCAAATACATCCAAATATCCAGTTGCTGACTTTACAAACTGAGTGTTTCCAAACTGCTCTATGAAAAGAAAGGTTAAACACTGTGAGTTGAACACACACGTACCAAAGTAGTTTCTGAGAATGATTCTGTCTAGTTTGCATACGAAGATATTTCCTTTTCTACCATTGGCCTCAAAGCTCCGAAATCTCCACTTGCAAATTCCACAAAAAGAGAGTTTCAAATCTGCTGTTTCTAAAGGAAAGTTCAACTCTGAGAGTTGAATACACACCAGAAAAAGCAGTTACTGAGAAGTCTTCTGTCTAGCATTATATGAAGAAATCCCATTTCCAACGAAGACTTCAAAGAGGTCCAAATATCCACTTGCAGATTCTGCAAAAAGAGTGTTTCGAAACAACTGTATGAAAAGAAAGGTTAAACACTGTGAGTTGAACGCACACATTGCAAAGCGGTTTCTGAGAATGATTCCGTCTAATTATTATACGAAGGTATTTCCTTTTCTATCATTGGCCTCAAAGCGCTTGATACCTCCACCTGAAAATTCCACAAAAAGAGTGTTTCCAATCTACTCTGTCTAAAGGAACGTTCAACTCTGTGAGTTGAATACACACACACAGAAAGAATTCACTGAGAATTCTTCTGTCTGGCATTACATGAAGAAATCCCGTTTTCAACGAAGGCCTCAAAGAGGTCCAAATATCCACTTGCAGATTCTGCAAAAAGAGTGTTTCAAAACCGCTCCATGAAAAGGAATGTTGAACTCTGTGAGTTGAATGCAAACATCACAACTCAGTTTCTGAGAATGCTTCTGACTAGATTTTATGGTAAGATATTTCCTTTTCTACCGTAGGCTTCAATGCCCTCTAAATACACCCTTGCAAATTCTACAAAGAGACTGTTTCATAACTGCTCTATAGGAAGAAAGGTTGAACTCTGTGAGTTGAATGCAGAGATCACAACGTGGTTTCTGCGAATGATTCTTTGTAGTTTTTACATGAAGATATTTCGTTGTCAACCGTAGGCTTCAAAGCACTCAAAGTATTCACTTGGAACTTTTACAAAAAGAGTGTTAGAAAACTGCTCTTTCCAAAGTAAGGTTCAACTCTGTGAGTTGAATGCACACATAACAATCAAGAAGTTTCTGAGAATTCTTCTGTCCTGGTTTATATGAAAAAATCCCGTTTCCAACGAAGGCCTCAAAGACGTTTAAATATCCACTTGCAGACTTCACAAACAGAGGGTTTCCAAACCGCTCTATGAAAAGAAAGGTTAAACTCTGTGAGTTGAACGCACACATCACAAAGTAGCTTCTGAGAATGATACTGTCCAGTTTTTATACGAAGATATTTCCTTTCCTACCATTGGCGTCAAAGCGCTAGAATTCTCCACTTGCAAATTCCACAAAAAGAGGGTTTTCAATCTGCTCTGCCTAAAGGCAGGTTCAACTCTGCGAGTTGAATACACACACACAAGGAAGCTACTGAGAATTCTTTTGTCAAGAATTATAAGAAGAAATCCCGTTTCCAACGAAGGCCTCAAAGAGTTCCAAATATCCACTTGCACACTGCACAAGCTAAGTCTTTCCAAACTGCTCTATGCAAAGAAATGTTCAACTCTGTGAGTTTAATACACACATCACAAAGCAGTTTCTGAGAATGATACTGTCTAGTTTTTATACGAAGATATTTCCTTTTGTACCATTGGCCTCATACTGCTAGAATTTTCCACTTGCAAATTCCACAAAAAGAGTGTTTCCAATCCGCTCTGTCTAAAGGAAGGTTCAACTCTCTGATTTGAATACATACATCCCAAAAGAAGTTACTGAGAATTCTTCTATCTAGCATTATGTGAAGAAATCCCGTTTCCAACGAAAGCCTCAAAGAGGTCCAAATATCCAGTTGCAGAATTTACAAACTGACTGTTTCCAAACTCATCTATGAAAAGAAAGGTTAAACTCTGGGAGTTGAATGCCCATATCACAAAGTAGTTCCTGAGAATGATTCTGTCTAGTTTTCATACGAAGATATTTCCTTTTCCACCAATGGCCTCAAAGTGCTTGAAATCTCCCCTTGCAAATTCCACAGACAAGTGTTTCAAATCTGCACTGTCTAAAGGATGGTTCAACCCTGTGAGTTGAATACACACACACAGAAAAAAATTCACTGAGAATTCTATTGTCTATCATTACACGAAGAAATCCCGTTTACTACGAAGGCCTCAAAGAGGTCCAAATATCCAGCTGCAGACATTATAAACTGAGTGTTTCCAAAGTGCTCTATGAAAAGAAGTGTTAAACACTGTGAGTTCAATGCACACATCCCAAAGCAGTTTCTGAGAATGATTCCGTCTATTTTTTCTACGAAGATATTTCCTTTTCTGCCGTTGGCCTCAAAGCGCTTGAAATCTCCACTTGCAAATTCCACAAAAAGAGAGTTTCAAATCTGCTCTGTCTAAAGGAAGGTTCAACTTTGTGAGTTGAATACACACCACAAAAAGAAGTTACTGAGAATTCTTCTGTCTAGCATTATATGAAAAATCCCGTTTCCAACGAAGGCCACAAAGAGGTCCAAATATCCACTTGCAGATTCTGCAAAAAGAGTGTTTCCAAACTGCTCTATGAAAAGAAACGTTAAACTCTGTGAGTTGAACGCAAACATCACAAAGTAGTTTCTGAGAATGACTCCGTCTAGTTTTTATACGAAGATATTTCCTTTCCTACCATTCACTTCAAAGCGCTTGAAGTCTCCCCCTGAAAATTCCACAAAAAGTGTTTCCAATCTGCTCCGCCTAAAGGAAGCTTCAACTCTGTGACTTGAATACCCACAACCCAAAGAAGTTACTGAGAATTCTTCTGTCTAGCATTATATGAAGAAATCCCGTTTCCAACGAAGGCCTCAAATACATCCAAATATCCAGTTGCTGACTTTACAAACTGAGTGTTTCCAAACTGCTCTATGAAAAGAAAGGTTAAACAATGTGAGTTGAACACACACGTACCAAAGTAGTTTCTGAGAATGATTCTATCTAGTTTGCATACGAAGATATTTCCTTTTCTACCATTGGCCTCAAAGCTCTGAAATCTCCACTTGCAAATTCCACAAAAAGAGAGTTTCAAATCTGCTGTTTCTAAAGGAAAGTTCAACTCTGAGAGTTGAATACACACCAGAAAAAGCAGTTACTGAGAAGTCTTCTGTCTAGCATTATATGAAGAAATCCCATTTCCAACGAAGACTTCAAAGAGGTCCAAATATCCACTTGCAGATTCTGCAAAAAGAGTGTTTCGAAACAACTGTATGAAAAGAAAGGTTAAACACTGTGAGTTGAACGCACACATTGCAAAGCAGTTTCTGAGAATGATTCCGTCTAATTATTATACGAAGGTATTTCCTTTTCTATCATTGGCCTCAAAGCGCTTGATACCTCCACCTGAAAATTCCACAAAAAGAGTGTTTCCAATCTACTCTGTCTAAAGGAACGTTCAACTCTGTGAGTTGAATACACACACACAGAAAGAATTCACTGAGAATTCTTCTGTCTGGCATTACATGAAGAAATCCCGTTTCCAACGAAGGCCTCAAAGAGGTCCAAATATCCACTTGCAGATTCTGCAAAAAGAGTGTTTCAAAACCGCTCCATTAAAAGGAATGTTGAACTCTGTGAGTTGAATGCCAACATCACAACTCAGTTTCTGAGAATGCTTTTGACTAGATTTTATGGTAAGATATTTCCTTTTCTACCGTAGGCTTCAATGCCCTCTAAATACACCCTTGCAAATTCTACAAAGAGACTGTTTCATAACTGCTCTATAGGAAGAAAGGTTCAACTCTGTGAGTTGAATGCAGAGATCACAACGTGGTTTCTGCGAATGATTCTTTGTAGTTTTTACATGAAGATATTTCGTTGTCAACCGTAGGCTTCAAAGCACTCAAAGTATTCACTTGGAACTTTTACAAAAAGAGTGTTAGAAAACTGCTCTTTCCAAAGTAAGGTTCAACTCTGTGAGTTGAATGCACACATAACAATCAAGAAGTTTCTGAGAATTCTTCTGTCCTGGTTTATATGAAGAAATCCCGTTTCCAACGAAGGCCTCAAAGACGTTTAAATATCCACTTGCAGACTTCACAAACAGAGGGTTTCCAAACTGCTCTATGAAAAGAAAAGTTAAACTCTGTGAGTTGAACGCACACATCACAAAGTAGCTTCTGAGAATGATACTGTCTAGTTTTTATACGAAGATATTTCCTTTCTACCATTGGCGTCAAAGCGCTAGAATTCTCCACTTGCAAATTCCACAAAAAGAGTGTTTCCAATCTGCTCTGTCTAAAGGAAGGTTCAACTCTGTGAGTTGAATACACACACACAAAGAAGCTACTGAGAATTCTTTTGTCAAGAATTATAAGAAGAAATCCCGTTTCCAACGAAGGCCTCAAAGAGTTCCAAATATCCACTTGCACAATGCACAAACTAAGTCTTTCCAAACTGCTCTATGCAAAGAAATGTTCAACTCTGTGAGTTTAATACACACATCACAAAGCAGTTTCTGAGAATGATACTGTCTAGTTTTTATACGAAGATATTTCCTTTTGTACCATTGGCCTCATACTGCTAGAATTTTCCACTTGCAAATTCCACAAAAAGAGTGTTTCCAATCCGCTCTGTCTAAAGGAAGGTTCAACTCTCTGAGTTGAACACATACATCCCAAAAGAAGTTACTGAGAATTCTTCTGTCTAGCATTATGTGAAGAAATCCCGTTTCCAACGAAAGCCTCAAAGAGGTCCAAATATCCAGTTGCAGAATTTACAAACTGACTGTTTCCAAACTCATCTATGAAAAGAAAGGTTAAACTCTGTGAGTTGAATGCACATATCACAAAGTAGTTCCTGAGAATGATCTGTCTAGTTTTTATACGAAGATATTTCCTTTTCCACCAATGGCCTCAAAGTGCTGGAAATCTCCCCTTGCAAATTCCACAGAAAAGTGTTTCAAATCTGCACTGTCTGATGGAAGGTTCAACCCTGTGAGTTGAATACACACACACAGAAAAAAATTCACTGAGAATTCTAATTGTCTATCATTAAACAAAGAAATCCCGTTTACTACGAAGGCCTCAAAGAGGTCCAAATATCCAGCTGCAGACATTACAAACTGAGTGTTTCCAAAGCGCTCTATGAAAAGAAGGGTTAAACACTGTGAGTTCAATGCACACATCCCAAAGCAGTTTCTGAGAATGATGCCGTCTATTTTTTCTACGAAGATATTTCCTTTTCTGCCGTTGGCCTCAAAGCGCTTGAAATCTCCACTTGCAAATTCCACAAAAAGAGAGTTTCAAATCTGCTCTGTCTAAAGGAAGGTTCAACTCTGTGAGTTGAATACACACCACAAAAAGAAGTTACTGAGAATTCTTCTGTCTAGCATTATATGAAAAATCCCGTTTCCAACGAAGGCCACAAAGAGGTCCAAATATCCACTTGCAGATTCTGCAAAAAGAGTGTTTCCAAACTGCTCTATGAAAAGAAACGTTAAACTCTGTGAGTTGAACGCAAACATCACAAAGTAGTTTCTGAGAATGACTCCGTCTAGTTTTTATACGAAGATATTTCCTTTCCTACCATTCACTTCAAAGCGCTTGAAGTCTCCCCCTGAAAATTCCACAAAAAGTGTTTCCAATCTGCTCCGCCTAAAGGAAGCTTCAACTCTGTGACTTGAATACCCACAACCCAAAGAAGTTACTGAGAATTCTTCTGTCTAGCATTATATGAAGAAATCCCGTTTCCAACGAAGGCCTCAAATACATCCAAATATCCAGTTGCTGACTTTACAAACTGAGTGTTTCCAAACTGCTCTATGAAAAGAAAGGTTAAACACTGTGAGTTGAACACACACGTACCAAAGTAGTTTCTGAGAATGATTCTGTCTAGTTTGCATACGAAGATATTTCCTTTTCTACCATTGGCCTCAAAGCTCTGAAATCTCCACTTGCAAATTCCACAAAAAGAGAGTTTCAAATCTGCTGTTTCTAAAGGAAAGTTCAACTCTGAGAGTTGAATACACACCAGAAAAAGCAGTTACTGAGAAGTCTTCTGTCTAGCATTATATGAAGAAATCCCATTTCCAACGAAGACTTCAAAGAGGTCCAAATATCCACTTGCAGATTCTGCAAAAAGAGTGTTTCGAAACAACTGTATGAAAAGAAAGGTTAAACACTGTGAGTTGAACGCACACATTGCAAAGCAGTTTCTGAGAATGATTCCGTCTAATTATTATACGAAGGTATTTCCTTTTCTATCATTGGCCTCAAAGCGCTTGATACCTCCACCTGAAAATTCCACAAAAAGAGTGTTTCCAATCTACTCTGTCTAAAGGAACGTTCAACTCTGTGAGTTGAATACACACACACAGAAAGAATTCACTGAGAATTCTTCTGTCTGGCATTACATGAAGAAATCCCGTTTCCAACGAAGGCCTCAAAGAGGTCCAAATATCCACTTGCAGATTCTGCAAAAAGAGTGTTTCAAAACCGCTCCATTAAAAGGAATGTTGAACTCTGTGAGTTGAATGCAAACATCACAACTCAGTTTCTGAGAATGCTTCTGACTAGATTTTATGGTAAGATATTTCCTTTTCTACCGTAGGCTTCAATGCCCTCTAAATACACCCTTGCAAATTCTACAAAGAGACTGTTTCATAACTGCTCTATAGGAAGAAAGGTTCAACTCTGTGAGTTGAATGCAGAGATCACAACGTGGTTTCTGCGAATGATTCTTTGTAGTTTTTACATGAAGATATTTCGTTGTCAACCGTAGGCTTCAAAGCACTCAAAGTATTCACTTGGAACTTTTACAAAACGAGTGTTAGGAAACTGCTCTTTCCAAAGTAAGGTTCAACTCTGTGAGTTGAATGCACACATAACAATCAAGAAGTTTCTGAGAATTCTTCTGTCCTGGTTTATATGAAAAAATCCCGTTTCCAACGAAGGCCTCAAAGACGTTTAAATATCCTCTTGCAGACTTCACAAACAGAGTGTTTCCAAACTGCTCTATGAAAAGAAAGGTTAAACTCTGTGAGTTGAACGCACACATCACAAAGTAGTTTCTGAGAATGATACTGTCTAGTTTTTATACGGAGATATTTCCTTTCCTACCATTGGCGTCAAAGCGCTAGAATTCTCCACTTGCAAATTCCACAAAAAGTGGGTTTCCAATCTGCTCTGCCTAAAGGAAGGTTCAACTCTGTGAGTTGAATACACACACACAAAGAAGCTACTGAGAATTCTTTTGTCAAGAATTATAAGAAGAAATCCCGTTTCCAACGAAGGCCTCAAAGAGTTCCAAATATCCACTTGCACACTGCACAAACTAAGTCTTTCCAAACTGCTCTATGCAAAGAAATGTTCAACTCTGTGAGTTTAATACACACATCACAAAGCAGTTTCTGAGAATGATACTGTCTAGTTTTTATACGAAGATATTTCCTTTTGTACCATTGGCCTCATACTGCTAGAATTTTCCACTTGCAAATTCCACAAAAAGAGTGTTTCCAATCCGCTCTGTCTAAAGGAAGGTTCAACTCTCTGATTTGAATACATACATCCCAAAAGAAGTTACTGAGAATTCTTCTGTCTAGCATTATGTGAAGAAATCCCGTTTCCAACGAAAGCCTCAAAGAGGTCCAAATATCCAGTTGCAGAATTTACAAACTGACTGTTTCCAAACTCATCTATGAAAAGAAAGGTTAAACTCTGTGAGTTGAATGCACATATCACAAAGTAGTTCCTGAGAATGATTCTGTCTAGTTTTCATACGAAGATATTTCCTTTTCCACCAATGGCCTCAAAGTGCTTGAAATCTCCCCTTGCAAATTCCACAGACAAGTGTTTCAAATCTGCACTGTCTAAAGGAAGGTTCAACCCTGTGAGTTGAATACACACACACAGAAAAAAATTCACTGAGAATTCTATTGTCTATCATTACACGAAGAAATCCCGTTTACTACGAAGGCCTCAAAGAGGTCCAAATATCCAGCTGCAGACATTACAAACTGAGTGTTTCCAAAGTGCTCTATGAAAAGAAGTGTTAAACACTGTGAGTTCAATGCACACATCCCAAAGCAGTTTCTGAGAATGATTCCGTCTATTTTTTCTACGAAGATATTTCCTTTTCTACCGTTGGCCTCAAAGCGCTTGAAATCTCCACTTGCAAATTCCACAAAAAGAGAGTTTCAAATCTGCTCTGTCTAAAGGAAGGTTCAACTCTGTGAGTTGAATACACACCACAAAAAGAAGTTACTGAGAATTCTTCTGTCTAGCATTATATGAAAAATCCCGTTTCCAACGAAGGCCACAAAGAGGTCCAAATATCCACTTGCAGATTCTGCAAAAAGAGTGTTTCCAAACTGCTCTATGAAAAGAAACGTTAAACTCTGTGAGTTGAACGCAAACATCACAAAGTAGTTTCTGAGAATGACTCCGTCTAGTTTTTATACGAAGATATTTCCTTTCCTACCATTCACTTCAAAGCGCTTGAAGTCTCCCCCTGAAAATTCCACAAAAAGTGTTTCCAATCTGCTCCGCCTAAAGGAAGCTTCAACTCTGTGACTTGAATACCCACAACCCAAAGAAGTTACTGAGAATTCTTCTGTCTCGCATTATATGAAGAAATCCCGTTTCCAACGAAGGCCTCAAATACATCCAAATATCCAGTTGCTGACTTTACAAACTGAGTGTTTCCAAACTGCTCTATGAAAAGAAAGGTTAAACACTGTGAGTTGAACACACACGTACCAAAGTAGTTTCTGAGAATGATTCTGTCTAGTTTGTATACGAAGATATTTCCTTTTCTACCACTGGCCTCAAAGCTTTGAAATCTCCACTTGCAAATTCCACAAAAAGAGAGTTTCAAATCTGCTGTTTCTAAAGGAAAGTTCAACTCTGAGAGTTGAATACACACCAGAAAAAGCAGTTACTGAGAAGTCTTCTGTCTAGCATTATATGAAGAAATCCCATTTCCAACGAAGACTTCAAAGAGGTCCAAATATCCACTTGCAGATTCTGCAAAAAGAGTGTTTCGAAACAACTGTATGAAAAGAAAGGTTAAACACTGTGAGTTGAACGCACACATTGCAAAGCAGTTTCTGAGAATGATTCCGTCTAATTATTATACGAAGGTATTTCCTTTTCTATCATTGGCCTCAAAGCGCTTGATACCTCCACCTGAAAATTCCACAAAAAGAGTGTTTCCAATATACTCTGTCTAAAGGAACGTTCAACTCTGTGAGTTGAATACACACACACAGAAAGAATTCACTGAGAATTCTTCTGTCTGGCATTACATGCAGAAATCCCGTTTCCAACGAAGGCCTCAAAGAGGTCCAAATATCCACTTGCAGATTCTGCAAAAAGAGTGTTTCAAAACCGCTCCATTAAAAGGAATGTTGAACTCTGTGAGTTGAATGCAAACATCACAACTCAGTTGCTGAGAATGCTTCTGACTAGATTTTATGGTAAGATATTTCCTTTTCTACCGTAGGCTTCAATGCCCTCTAAATACACCCTTGCAAATTCTACA
This sequence comes from Homo sapiens, assembly GCF_000001405.40. Classification (NCBI taxonomy): domain Eukaryota; kingdom Metazoa; phylum Chordata; class Mammalia; order Primates; family Hominidae; genus Homo; species Homo sapiens. The sequence continues at coordinate 93,356,734 of NC_000003.12, read as the reverse complement.
AAGAGACTGTTTCATAACTGCTCTATAGGAAGAAAGGTTCAACTCTGTGAGTTGAATGCAGAGATCACAACGTGGTTTCTGCGAATGATTCTTTGTAGTTTTTACATGAAGATATTTCGTTGTCAACCGTAGGCTTCAAAGCACTCAAAGTATTCACTTGGAACTTTTACAAAAAGAGTGTTAGAAAACTGCTCTTTCCAAAGTAAGGTTCAACTCTGTGAGTTGAATGCACACATAACAATCAAGAAGTTTCTGAGAATTCTTCTGTCCTGGTTTATATGAAAAAATCCCGTTTCCAACGAAGGCCTCAAAGACGTTTAAATATCCACTTGCAGACTTCACAAACAGAGGGTTTCCAAACTGCTCTATGAAAAGAAAAGTTAAACTCTGTGAGTTGAACGCACACATCACAAAGTAGCTTCTGAGAATGATACTGTCTAGTTTTTATACGAAGATATTTCCTTTCTACCATTGGCGTCAAAGCGCTAGAATTCTCCACTTGCAAATTCCACAAAAAGAGTGTTTCCAATCTGCTCTGTCTAAAGGAAGGTTCAACTCTGTGAGTTGAATACACACACACAAAGAAGCTACTGAGAATTCTTTTGTCAAGAATTATAAGAAATCCCGTTTCCAACGAAGGCCTCAAAGAGTTCCAAATATCCACTTGCAGACTGTACAAACTAAGTCTTTCCAAACTGCTCTATGAAAAAGAAATGTTCAACTCTGTGAGTTTAATGCACACATCACAAAGCAGTTTCTGAGAATGATACTGTCTAGTTTTTATACGAAGATATTTCCTTTTGTACCATTGGCCTCATACTGCTAGAATTTTCCACTTGCAAATTCCACAAAAAGAGTGTTTCCAATCCGCTCTGTCTAAAGGAAGGTTCAACTCTCTGATTTGAATACATACATCCCAAAAGAAGTTACTGAGAATTCTTCTGTCTAGCATTATGTGAAGAAATCCCGTTTCCAATGAAAGCCTCAAAGAGGTCCAAATATCCAGTTGCAGAATTTACAAACTGACTGTTTCCAAACTCATCTATGAAAAGAAAAGTTAAACTCTGTGAGTTGAATGCACATATCACAAAGTAGTTCCTGAGAATGATTCTGTCTAGTTTTTATACGAAGATATTTCCTTTTCCACCAATGGCCTCAAAGTGCTTGAAATCTCCCCTTGCAAATTCCACAGACAAGTGTTTCAAATCTGCACTGTCTAAAGGAAGGTTCAACCCTGTGAGTTGAATACACACACACAGAAAAAAATTCACTGAGAATTCTATTGTCTATCATTACCCGAAGAAATCCCGTTTACTACGAAGGCCTCAAAGAGGTCCAAATATCCAGCTGCAGACATTCCAAACTGACTGTTTCCAAAGTGCTCTATGAAAAGAAGTGTTAAACACTGTGAGTTCAATGCACACATCCCAAAGCAGTTTCTGAGAATGATTCCGTCTATTTTTTCTACGAAGATATTTCCTTTTCTGCCGTTGGCCTCAAAGCGCTTGAAATCTCCACTTGCAAATTCCACAAAGAGAGAGTTTCAAATCTGCTCTGTCTAAAGGAAGGTTCAACTCTGTGAGTTGAATACACACCACAAAAAGAAGTTACTGAGAATTCTTCTGTCTAGCATTATATGAAAAATCCCGTTTCCAACGAAGGCCACAAAGAGGTCCAAATATCCACTTGCAGATTCTGCAAAAAGAGTGTTTCCAAACTGCTCTATGAAAAGAAACGTTAAACTCTGTGAGTTGAACGCAAACATCACAAAGTAGTTTCTGAGAATGACTCCGTCTAGTTTTTGTACGAGGATATTACCTTTCCTACCATTCACTTCAAAGCGCTTGAAGTCTCCCCCTGAAAATTCCACAAAAAGTGTTTCCAATCTGCTCCGCCTAAAGGAAGCTTCAACTCTGTGAGTTGAATACCCACAACCCTAAGAAGTTACTGAGAATTCTTCTGTCTAGCATTATATGAAGAAATCCCGTTTCCAACGAAGGCCTCAAATACATCCAAATATCCAGTTGCTGACTTTACAAACTGAGTGTTTCCAAACTGCTCTATGAAAAGAAAGGTTAAACACTGTGAGTTGAACACACACGTACCAAAGTAGTTTCTGAGAATGATTCTGTCTAGTTTGCATACGAAGATGTTTCCTTTTCTACCATTGGCCTCAAAGCTCTGAAATCTCCACTTGCAAATTCCACAAAAAGAGAGTTTCAAATCTGCTGTTTCTAAAGGAAAGTTCAACTCTGAGAGTTGAATACACACCAGAAAAAGCAGTTACTGAGAAGTCTTCTGTCTAGCATTATATGAAGAAATCCCATTTCCAACGAAGACTTCAAAGAGGTCCAAATATCCACTTGCAGATTCTGCAAAAAGAGTGTTTCGAAACAACTGTATGAAAAGAAAGGTTAAACACTGTGAGTTGAACGCACACATTGCAAAGCAGTTTCTGAGAATGATTCCGTCTAATTATTATACGAAGGTATTTCCTTTTCTATCATTGGCCTCAAAGCGCTTGATACCTCCACCTGAAAATTCCACAAAAAGAGTGTTTCCAATCTACTCTGTCTAAAGGAACGTTCAACTCTGTGAGTTGAATACACACACACAGAAAGAATTCACTGAGAATTCTTCTGTCTGGCATTACATGAAGAAATCCCGTTTCCAACGAAGGCCTCAAAGAGGTCCAAATATCCACTTGCAGATTCTGCAAAAAGAGTGTTTCAAAACCGCTCCATTAAAAGGAATGTTGAACTCTGTGAGTTGAATGCAAACATCACAACTCAGTTTCTGAGAATGCTTCTGACTAGATTTTATGGTAAGATATTTCCTTTTCTACCGTAGGCTTCAATGCCCTGTAAATACACCCTTGCAAATTCTACAAAGAGACTGTTTCATAACTGCTCTATTGGAGGAAAGGTTCAACTCTGTGAGTTGAATGCAGAGATCACAACGTGGTTTCTGCGAATGATTCTTTGTAGTTTTTACATGAAGATATTTCGTTGTCTACCGTAGGCTTCAAAGCACTCAAAGTATTCACTTGGAACTTTTACAAAAAGAGTGTTAGAAAACTGCTCTTTCCAAAGTAAGGTTCAACTCTGTGAGTTGAATGCACACATAACAAACAAGAAGTTTCTGAGAATTCTTCTGTCCTGGTTTATATGAAGAAATCCCGTTTCCAACGAAGGCCTCAAAGACGTTTAAATATCCACTTGCAGACTTCACAAACAGAGTGTTTCCAAACTGCTCTATGAAAAGAAAGGTTAAACTCTGTGAGTTGAACGCACACATCACAAAGTAGTTTCTGAGAATGATACTGTCTAGTTTTTATACGGAGATATTTCCTTTCCTTCCATTGGCGTCAAAGCGCTAGAATTCTCCACTTGCAAATTCCACAAAAAGAGTGTTTCCAATCTGCTCTGTCTAAAGGAAGGTTCAACTCTGTGAGTTGAATACACACACACAAAGAAGCTACTGAGAATTCTTTTGTCAAGAATTATAAGAAGAAATCCCGTTTCCAACGAAGGCCTCAAAGAGTTCCAAATATCCACTTGCACACTGCACAAACTAAGTCTTTCCAAACTGCTCTATGCAAAGAAATGTTCAACTCTGTGAGTTTAATACACACATCACAAAGCAGTTTCTGAGAATGATACTGTCTAGTTTTTATACGAAGATATTTCCTTTTGTACCATTGGCCTCATACTGCTAGAATTTTCCACTTGCAAATTCCACAAAAAGAGTGTTTCCAATCCGCTCTGTCTAAAGGAAGGTTCAACTCTCTGATTTGAATACATACATCCCAAAAGAAGTTACTGAGAATTCTTCTGTCTAGCATTATGTGAAGAAATCCCGTTTCCAACGAAAGCCTCAAAGAGGTCCAAATATCCAGTTGCAGAATTTACAAACTGACTGTTTCCAAACTCATCTATGAAAAGAAAGGTTAAACTCTGGGAGTTGAATGCACATATCACAAAGTAGTTCCTGAGAATGATTCTGTCTAGTTTTCATACGAAGATATTTCCTTTTCCACCAATGGCCTCAAAGTGCTTGAAATCTCCCCTTGCAAATTCCACAGACAAGTGTTTCAAATCTGCACTGTCTAAAGGATGGTTCAACCCTGTGAGTTGAATACACACACACAGAAAAAAATTCACTGAGAATTCTATTGTCTATCATTACACGAAGAAATCCCGTTTACTACGAAGGCCTCAAAGAGGTCCAAATATCCAGCTGCAGACATTACAAACTGAGTGTTTCCAAAGTGCTCTATGAAAAGAAGTGTTAAACACTGTGAGTTCAATGCACACATCCCAAAGCAGTTTCTGAGAATGATTCCGTCTATTTTTTCTACGAAGATATTTCCTTTTCTACCGTTGGCCTCAAAGCGCTTGAAATCTCCACTTGCAAATTCCACGAAAAGAGAGTTTCAAATCTGCTCTGTCTAAAGGAAGGTTCAACTCTGTGAGTTGAATACACACCACAAAAAGAAGTTACTGAGAATTTTTCTGTCTAGCATTATATGAAAAATCCCGTTTCCAACGAAGGCCACAAAGAGGTCCAAATATCCACTTGCAGATTCTGCAAAAAGAGTGTTTCCAAACTGCTCTATGAAAAGAAACGTTAAACTCTGTGAGTTGAACGCAAACATCACAAAGTAGTTTCTGAGAATGACTCCGTCTAGTTTTTATACGAAGATATTTCCTTTCCTACCATTCACTTCAAAGCGCTTGAAGTCTCCCCCTGAAAATTCCACAAAAAGTGTTTCCAATCTGCTCCGCCTAAAGGAAGCTTCAACTCTGTGACTTGAATACCCACAACCCAAAGAAGTTACTGAGAATTCTTCTGTCTAGCATTATATGAAGAAATCCCGTTTCCAACGAAGGCCTCAAATACATCCAAATATCCAGTTGCTGACTTTACAAACTGAGTGTTTCCAAACTGCTCTATGAAAAGAAAGGTTAAACACTGTGAGTTGAACACACACGTACCAAAGTAGTTTCTGAGAATGATTCTGTCTAGTTTGCATACGAAGATATTTCCTTTTCTACCATTGGCCTCAAAGCTCTGAAATCTCCACTTGCAAATTCCACAAAAAGAGAGTTTCAAATCTGCTGTTTCTAAAGGAAAGTTCAACTCTGAGAGTTGAATACACACCAGAAAAAGCAGTTACTGAGAAGTCTTCTGTCTAGCATTATATGAAGAAATCCCATTTCCAACGAAGACTTCAAAGAGGTCCAAATATCCACTTGCAGATTCTGCAAAAAGAGTGTTTCGAAACAACTGTATGAAAAGAAAGGTTAAACACTGTGAGTTGAACGCACACATTGCAAAGCAGTTTCTGAGAATGATTCCGTCTAATTATTATACGAAGGTATTTCCTTTTCTATCATTGGCCTCAAAGCGCTTGATACCTCCACCTGAAAATTCCACAAAAAGAGTGTTTCCAATCTACTCTGTCTAAAGGAACGTTCAACTCTGTGAGTTGAATACACACACACAGAAAGAATTCACTGAGAATTCTTCTGTCTGGCATTACATGAAGAAATCCCGTTTCCAACGAAGGCCTCAAAGAGGTCCAAATATCCACTTGCAGATTCTGCAAAAAGAGTGTTTCAAAACCGCTCCATTAAAAGGAATGTTGAACTCTGTGAGTTGAATGCAAACATCACAACTCAGTTGCTGAGAATGCTTCTGACTAGATTTTATGGTAAGATATTTCCTTTTCTACCGTAGGCTTCAATGCCCTCTAAATACACCCTTGCAAATTCTACAAAGAGACTGTTTCATAACTGCTCTATAGGAAGAAAGGTTCAACTCTGTGAGTTGAATGCAGAGATCACAACGTGGTTTCTGCGAATGATTCTTTGTAGTTTTTACATGAAGATATTTCGTTGTCAACCGTAGGCTTCAAAGCACTCAAAGTATTCACTTGGAACTTTTACAAAAAGAGTGTTAGAAAACTGCTCTTTCCAAAGTAAGGTTCAACTCTGTGAGTTGAATGCACACATAACAATCAAGAACTTTCTGAGAATTCTTCTGTCCTGGTTTATATGAAGAAATACCGTTTCCAACGAAGGCCTCAAAGACGTTTAAATATCCACTTGCAGACTTCACAAACAGAGGGTTTCCAAACTGCTCTATGAAAAGAAAGGTTAAACTCTGTGAGTTGAACGCACACATCACAAAGTAGTTTCTGAGAATGATACTGTCTAGTTTTTATACGAAGATATTTCCTTTCTACCATTGGCGTCAAAGCGCTAGAATTCTCCACTTGCAAATTCCACAAAAAGAGTGTTTCCAATCTGCTCTGTCTAAAGGAAGGTTCAACTCTGTGAGTTGAATACACACACACAAAGAAGCTACTGAGAATTCTTTTGTCAAGAATTATAAGAAGAAATCCCGTTTCCAACGAAGGCCTCAAAGAGTTCCAAATATCCACTTGCACACTGCACAAACTAAGTCTTTCCAAACTGCTCTATGCAAAGAAATGTTCAACTCTGTGAGTTTAATACACACATCACAAAGCAGTTTCTGAGAATGATTACTGTCTAGTTTTTATACGAAAGATATTTCCTTTTGTACCATTGGCCTCATACTGCTAGAATTTTCCACTTGCAAATTCCACAAAAAGAGTGTTTCCAATCCGCTCTGTCTAAAGGAAGGTTCAACTCTCTGATTTGAATACATACATCCCAAAAGAAGTTCCTGAGAATTCTTGTCTAGCATTATGTGAAGAAATCCCGTTTCCAACGAAAGCCTCAAAGAGGTCCAAATATCCAGTTGCAGAATTTACAAACTGACTGTTTCCAAACTCATCTATGAAAAGAAAGGTTAAACTCTGTGAGTTGAATGCACATATCACAAAGTAGTTCCTGAGAATGATTCTGTCTAGTTTTTATACGAAGTTATTTCCTTTTCCACCAATGGCCTCAAAGTGCTTGAAATCTCCCCTTGCAAATTCCACAGACAAGTGTTTCAAATCTGCACTGTCTAAAGGAAGGTTCAACCCTGTGAGTTGAATACACACACACAGAAAAAAATTCACTGAGAATTCTATTGTCTATCATTACACGAAGAAATCCCGTTTACTACGAAGGCCTCAAAGAGGTCCAAATATCCAGCTGCAGACATTACAAACTGAGTGTTTCCAAAGTGCTCTATGAAAAGAAGTGTTAAACACTGTGAGTTCAATGCACACATCCCAAAGCAGTTTCTGAGAATGATTCCGTCTATTTTTTCTACGAAGATATTTCCTTTTCTGCCGTTGGCCTCAAAGCGCTTGAAATCTCCACTTGCAAATTCCACAAAAAGAGAGTTTCAAATCTGCTCTGTCTAAAGGAAGGTTCAACTCTGTGAGTTGAATACACACCACAAAAAGAAGTTACTGAGAATTCTTCTGTCTAGCATTATATGAAAAATCCCGTTTCCAACGAAGGCCACAAAGAGGTCCAAATATCCACTTGCAGATTCTGCAAAAAGAGTGTTTCCAAACTGCTCTATGAAAAGAAACGTTAAACTCTGTGAGTTGAACGCAAACATCACAAAGTAGTTTCTGAGAATGACTCCGTCTAGTTTTTATACGAAGATATTTCCTTTCCTACCATTCACTTCAAAGCGCTTGAAGTCTCCCCCTGAAAATTCCACAAAAAGTGTTTCCAATCTGCTCCGCCTAAAGGAAGCTTCAACTCTGTGAGTTGAATACCCACAACCCAAAGAAGTTACTGAGAATTCTTCTGTCTAGCATTATATGAAGAAATCCCGTTTCCAACGAAGGCCTCAAATACATCCAAATATCCAGTTGCTGACTTTACAAACTGAGTGTTTCCAAACTGCTCTATGAAAAGAAAGGTTAAACACTGTGAGTTGAACACACACGTACCAAAGTAGTTTCTGAGAATGATTCTGTCTAGTTTGCATACGAAGATACTTCCTTTTCTACCATTGGCCTCAAAGCTCTGAAATCTCCACTTGCAAATTCCACAAAAAGAGAGTTTCAAATCTGCTGTTTCTAAAGGAAAGTTCAACTCTGAGAGTTGAATACACACCAGAAAAAGCAGTTACTGAGAAGTCTTCTGTCTAGCATTATATGAAGAAATCCCATTTCCAACGAAGACTTCAAAGAGGTCCAAATATCCACTTGCAGATTCTGCAAAAAGAGTGTTTCGAAACAACTGTATGAAAAGAAAGGTTAAACACTGTGAGTTGAACGCACACATTGCAAAGCGGTTTCTGAGAATGATTCCGTCTAATTATTATACGAAGGTATTTCCTTTTCTATCATTGGCCTCAAAGCGCTTGATACCTCCACCTGAAAATTCCACAAAAAGAGTGTTTCCAATCTACTCTGTCTAAAGGAACGTTCAACTCTGTGAGTTGAATACACACACACAGAAAGAATTCACTGAGAATTCTTCTGTCTGGCATTACATGAAGAAATCCCGTTTCCAACGAAGGCCTCAAAGAGGTCCAAATATCCACTTGCAGATTCTGCAAAAAGAGTGTTTCAAAACCGCTCCATTAAAAGGAATGTTGAACTCTGTGAGTGGAATGGAAACATCACAACTCAGTTGCTGAGAATGCTTCTGACTAGATTTTATGGTAAGATATTTCCTTTTCTACCGTAGGCTTCAATGCCCTCTAAATACACCCTTGCAAATTCTACAAAGAGACTGTTTCATAACTGCTCTATAGGAAGAAAGGTTGAACTCTGTGAGTTGAATGCAGAGATCACAACGTGGTTTCTGCGAATGATTCTTCGTAGTTTTTACATGAAGATATTTCGTTGTCTACCGTAGGCTTCAAAGCACTCAAAGTATTCACTTGGAACTTTTACAATAAGAGTGTCAGAAAACTGCTCTTTCCAAAGTAAGGTTCAACTCTGTGAGTTGAATGCACACATAACAAACAAGAAGTTTCTGAGAATTCTTCTGTACTGGTTTATATGAAAAAATCCCGTTTCCAACGAAGGCCTCAAAGACGTTTAAATATCCACTTGCAGACTTCACAAACAGAGTGTTTCCAAACTGCTCTATGAAAAGAAAGGTTAAACTCTGTGAGTTGAACGTACACATCACAAAGTAGTTTCTGAGAAAAATACTGTCTAGTTTTTATACGAAGATATTTCCTTTTGTACCACTGGCCTCATACTGCTAGAATTTTCCACTTGCAAATTCCACAAAAAGAGTGTTTCCAATCTGCTCTGTCTAAAGGAAGGTTCAACTCTGTGAGTTGAGTACACACACACAAAGAAGCTACTGAGAATTCTTTTGTCAAGAATTATAAGAAGAAATCCCGTTTCCAACGAAGGCCTCAAAGAGTTCCAAATATCCACTTGCACACTGTACAAACTAAGTCTTTCCAAACTGCTCTATGCAAAGAAATGTTCACCTCTGTGAGTTTAATGCACACATCACAAAGCAGTTTCTGAGAATGATACTGTCTAGTTTTTGTACGAAGATATTTCCTTTTGTACCATTGGCCTCATACTGCTAGAATTTTCCACTTGCAAATTCCACAAAAAGAGTGTTTCCAATCCGCTCTGTCTAAAGGAAGGTTCAACTCTCTGATTTGAATACATACATCCCAAAAGAATTTACTGAGAATTCTTCTGTCTAGCATTATGTGAAGAAATCCCGTTTCCAACGAAAGCCTCAAAGAGGTCCAAATATCCAGTTGCAGAATTTACAAACTGACTGTTTCCAAACTCATCTATGAAAAGAAAGGTTAAACTCTGGGAGTTGAATGCACATATCACAAAGTAGTTCCTGAGAATGATTCTGTCTAGTTTTTATACGAAGATATTTCCTTTTCCACCAATGGCCTCAAAGTGCTTGAAATCTCCCCTTGCAAATTCCACAGAAAAGTGTTTCAAATCTGCACTGTCTGAAGGAAGGTTCAACCCTGTGAGTTGAATACACACACACAGAAAAAAATTCACTGAGAATTCTATTGTCTATCATTACATGAAAAAATCCCGTTTACTACGAAGGCCTCAAAGAAGTCCAAATATCCAGCTGCAGACATCACAAACTGAGTGTTTCCAAAGTGCTCTATGAAAAGAAGTGTTAAACACTGTGAGTTCAATGCACACATCCCAAAGCAGTTTCTGAGAATGATTCCGTCTATTTTTTCTACGAAGATATTTCCTTTTCTGCCGTTGGCCTCAAAGCGCTTGAAATCTCCACTTGCAAATTCCACAAAAAGAGAGTTTCAAATCTGCTCTGTCTAAAGGAAGGTTCAACTCTGTGAGTTGAATACACACCACAAAAAGAAGTTACTGAGAATTCTTCTGTCTAGCATTATATGAAAAATCCCGTTTCCAACGAAGGCCACAAAGAGGTCCAAATATCCACTTGCAGATTCTGCAAAAAGAGTGTTTCCAAACTGCTCTATGAAAAGAAACGTTAAACTCTGTGAGTTGAACGCAAACATCACAAAGTAGTTTCTGAGAATGACTCCGTCTAGTTTTTATACGAAGATATTTCCTTTCCTACCATTCACTTCAAAGCGCTTGAAGTCTCCCCCTGAAAATTCCACAAAAGTGTTTCCAATCTGCTCCGCCTAAAGGAAGCTTCAACTCTGTGACTTGAATACCCACAACCCAAAGAAGTTACTGAGAATTCTTCTGTCTAGCATTATATGAAGAAATCCCGTTTCCAACGAAGGCCTCAAATACATCCAAATATCCAGTTGCTGACTTTACAAACTGAGTGTTTCCAAACTGTTCCATGAAAAGAAAGGTTAAACACTGTGAGTTGAACACACATGTACCAAAGTAGTTTCTGAGAATGATTCTGTTTAGTTTGCATACGAAGATATTTCCTTTTCTACCATTGGCCTCAAAGCTCTGAAATCTCCACTTGCAAATTCCACAAAAAGAGAGTTTCAAATCTGCTGTTTCTAAAGGAAAGTTCAACTCTGAGAGTTGAATACACACCAGAAAAAGCAGTTACTGAGAAGTCTTCTGTCTAGCATTATATGAAGAAATCCCATTTCCAACGAAGACTTCAAAGAGGTCCAAATATCCACTTGCAGATTCTGCAAAAAGAGTGTTTCGAAACAACTGTATGAAAAGAAAGGTTAAACACTGTGAGTTGAACGCACACATTGCAAAGCAGTTTCTGAGAATGATTCCGTCTAATTATTATACGAAGGTATTTCCTTTTCTATCATTGGCCTCAAAGCGCTTGATACCTCCACCTGAAAATTCCACAAAAAGAGTGTTTCCAATCTACTCTGTCTAAAGGAACGTTCAACTCTGTGAGTTGAATACACACACACAGAAAGAATTCACTGAGAATTCTTCTGTCTGGCATTACATGAAGAAATCCCGTTTCCAACGAAGGCCTCAAAGAGGTCCAAATATCCACTTGCAGATTCTGCAAAAAGAGTGTTTCAAAACCGCTCCATTAAAAGGAATGTTGAACTCTGTGAGTTGAATGCAAACATCACAACTCAGTTTCTGAGAATGCTTCTGACTAGATTTTATGGTAAGATATTTCCTTTTCTACCGTAGGCTTCAATGCCCTCTAAATACACCCTTGCAAATTCTACAAAGAGACTGTTTCATAACTGCTCTATAGGAAGAAAGGTTGAACTCTGTGAGTTGACTGCAGAGATCACAACGTGGTTTCTGCGAATGATTCTTTGTAGTTTTTACATGAAGATATTTCGTTGTCAACCGTAGGCTTCAAAGCACTCAAAGTATTCACTTGGAACTTTTACAAAAAGAGTGTTAGAAAACTGCTCTTTCCAAAGTAAGGTTCAACTCTGTGAGTTGAATGCACACATAACAATCAAGAAGTTTCTGAGAATTCTTCTGTCCTGGTTTATATGAAAAAATCCCGTTTCCAACGAAGGCCTCAAAGACGTTTAAATATCCACTTGCAGACTTCACAAACAGAGGGTTTCCAAACTGCTCTATGAAAAGAAAGGTTAAACTCTGTGAGTTGAACGCACACATCACAAAGTAGCTTCTGAGAATGATACTGTCTAGTTTTTATACGAAGATATTTCCTTTCTACCATTGGCGTCAAAGCGCTAGAATTCTCCACTTGCAAATTCCACAAAAAGAGTGTTTCCAATCTGCTCTGTCTAAAGGAAGGTTCAACTCTGTGAGTTGAATACACACACACAAAGAAGCTACTGAGAATTCTTTTTTCAAGAAATTATAAGAAGAAATCCCGTTTCCAACGAAGGCCTCAAAGAGTTCCAAATATCCACTTGCACACTGCACAAACTAAGTCTTTCCAAACTGCTCTATGCAAAGAAATGTTCAACTCTGTGAGTTTAATACACACATCACAAAGCAGTTTCTGAGAATGATACTGTCTAGTTTTTATACGAAGATATTTCCTTTTGTACCATTGGCCTCATACTGCTAGAATTTTCCACTTGCAAATTCCACAAAAAGAGGGTTTCCAATCCGCTCTGTCTAAAGGAAGGTTCAACTCTCTGATTTGAATACATACATCCCAAAAGAAGTTACTGAGAATTCTTCTGTCTAGCATTATGTGAAGAAATCCCGTTTCCAACGAAAGCCTCAAAGAGGTCCAAATATCCAGTTGCAGAATTTACAAACTGACTGTTTCCAAACTCATCTATGAAAAGTAAGGTTAAACTCTGTGAGTTGAATGCACATATCACAAAGTAGTTCCTGAGAATGATTCTGTCTAGTTTTTATACGAAGATATTTCCTTTTCCACCAATGGCCTCAAAGTGCTTTAAATCTCCCCTTGCAAATTCCACAGACAAGTGTCTCAAATCTGCACTGTCTAAAGGAAGGTTCAACCCTGTGAGTTGAATACACACACACAGAAAAAAATTCACTGAGAATTCTATTGTCTATCATTACACGAAGAAATCCCGTTTACTACGAAGGCCTCATAGAGGTCCAAATATCCAGCTGCAGACATTACAAACTGAGTGTTTCCAAAGTGCTCTATGAAAAGAAGTGTTAAACACTGTGAGTTCAATGCACACATCCCAAAGCAGTTTCTGAGAATGATTCCGTCTATTTTTTCTACGAAGATATTTCCTTTTCTGCCGTTGGCCTCAAAGCGCTTGAAATCTCCACTTGCAAATTCCACAAAAAGAGAGTTTCAAATCTGCTCTGTCTAAAGGAAGGTTCAACTCTGTGAGTTGAATACACACCACAAAAAGAAGTTACTGAGAATTCTTCTGTCTAGCATTATATGAAAAATCCCGTTTCCAACGAAGGCCACAAAGAGGTCCAAATATCCACTTGCAGATTCTGCAAAAAGAGTGTTTCCAAACTGCTCTATGAAAAGAAACGTTAAACTCTGTGAGTTGAACGCAAACATCACAAAGTAGTTTCTGAGAATGACTCCGTCTAGTTTTTATACGAAGATATTTCCTTTCCTACCATTCACTTCAAAGCGCTTGAAGTCTCCCCCTGAAAATTCCACAAAAAGTGTTTCCAATCTGCTCCGCCTAAAGGAAGCTTCAACTCTGTGACTTGAATACCCACAACCCAAAGAAGTTACTGAGAATTCTTCTGTCTAGCATTATATGAAGAAATCCCGTTTCCAACGAAGGCCTCAAATACATCCAAATATCCAGTTGCTGACTTTACAAACTGAGTGTTTCCAAACTGCTCTATGAAAAGAAAGGTTAAACACTGTGAGTTGAACACACACGTACCAAAGTAGTTTCTGAGAATGATTCTGTCTAGTTTGCATACGAAGGATATTTCCTTTTCTACCATTGGCCTCAAAGCTCTGAAATCTCCACTTGCAAATTCCACAAAAAGAGAGTTTCAACTCTGCTGTTTCTAAAGGAAAGTTCAACTCTGAGAGTTGAATACACACCAGAAAAAGCAGTTACTGAGAAGTCTTCTGTCCAGCATTATATGAAGAAATCCCGTTTCCAACGAAGACTTCAAAGAAGTCCAAAAAAATATCCACTTGAAGATTCTGCAAAAAGAGTGTTTCGAAACAACTGTATGAAAACAAAGTTAAACTCTGTGAGTTCAACGCACACATTGCAAAGCAGTTTCTGAGAATGATTCCGTCTAATTATTATACGAAGGTATTTCCTTTTCTATCATTGGCCTCAAAGCGCTTGATATCTCCACCTGAAAATTCCACAAAAAGAGTGTTTCCAATCTACTCTGTCTAAAGGAACGTTCAACTCGGTGAGTTGAATACACACACACAGAAAGAATTCACTGAGAATTCTTCTGTCTGGCATTTACATGAAGAAATCCCGTTTCCAACGAAGGCCTCAAAGAGGTCCAAATGTCCACTTGCAGATTCTGCAAATAGAGTGTTTCAAAACCGCTCTATTAAAAGGAATGTTGAACTCTGTGAGTTGAACGCAAACATCACAACTCAGTTTCTGAGAATGCTTCTGTCTAGTTTTTATGGTCAGATATTTCCTTTTCTACCGTAGGCTTCAATGCCCTCTAAATACACCCTTGCAAATTCTACAAAGAGAGTGTTTCATAACTGCTCTATAGAAAGAATGGTTGAACTCTGTGAGTTGAATGCACAGATCACAACGTGGTTTCTGCGAATGATTCTTTGTAGTTTTTACATGAAGATATTTCGTTGTCTACCGTAGGCTTCAAAGCACTCAAAGTATGCACTTGGAAGTTTTACAAAAAGAGTGTTAGAAAACTGCTCTTTCCAAAGTAAGGTTCAACTCTGTGAGTTGAATGCACACATAACAAAGAAGAAGTTTCTGAGAATTCTTCTGTCCTGGTTTATATGAAAAAATCCCGTTTCCAACGAAGGCCTCAAAGACGTTTAAATATCCACTGGCAGACTTCACAAACAGAGTGTTTCCAAACTGCTCTATGAAAAGAAAGGTTAAACTCTGTGAGTTGAACGCACACATCACAAAGTAGTTTCTGAGAATGATACTGTCTAGTTTTTATACGGAGATATTTCCTTTCCTACCATTGGCGTCAAAGCGCTAGAATTCTCCACTTGCAAATTCCACAAAAAGTGGGTTTCCAATCTGCTCTGCCTAAAGGAAGGTTCAACTCTGTGAGTTGAATACACACACACAAAGAAGCTACTGAGAATTCTTTTGTCAAGAATTATAAGAAGAAATCCCGTTTTCAACGAAGGCCTCAAAGAGTTCCAAATATCCACTTGCACACTGTACAAACTAAGTCTTTCCAAACTGCTCTATGCAAAGAAATGTTCAACTCTGTGAGTTTAATGCACACATCACAAAGCAGTTTCTGAGAATGATTCCCTCTAGTTTTTATACGAAGATAGCCTTTTCTACCATTGGCCTCAAGGCTCTTGGAATCTCCACCTGAAAATTCCGCAAAAAGCGTGTTTCCAATCCGCTCTGTCTAAAGGAAGGTTCAACTCTCTGAGTTGAATACATACATCCCAAAAGAAGTTACTGCGAATTCTTCTGTCTAGCATTATGTGAAGAAATCCCGTTTCCAACGAAAGCCTCAAAGAGGTCCAAATATCCAGTTGCAGAATTTCCAAACTGACTGTTTCCAAACTCATCTATGAAAAGAAAGGTTAAACTCTGTGAGTTGAATGCACATATCACAAAGTAGTTCCTGAGAATGATTCTGTCTAGTTTTTATACGAAGATATTTCCTTTTCCACCAATGGCCTCAAAGTGCTTGAAATCTCCCCTTGCAAATTCCACAGACAAGTGTTTCAAATCTGCACTGTCTAAAGGAAGGTTCAACCCTGTGAGTTGAATACACACACACAGAAAAAAATTCACTGAGAATTCTATTGTCTATCATTACACGAAGAAATCCCGTTTACTACGAAGGCCTCAAAGAGGTCCAAATATCCAGCTGCAGACATTACAAACTGAGTGTTTCCAAAGTGCTCTATGAAAAGAAGTGTTAAACACTGTGAGTTCAATGCACACATCCCAAAGCAGTTTCTGAGAATGATTCCGTCTATTTTTTCTACGAAGATATTTCCTTTTCTGCCGTTGGCCTCAAAGCGCTTGAAATCTCCAATTGCAAATTCCACAAAAAGAGAGTTTCAAATCTGCTCTGTCTAAAGGAAGGTTCAACTCTGTGAGTTGAATACACACACACAGAAAGAATTCACTGAGAATTCTTCTGTCTGGCATTACATGAAGAAATCCCGTTTCCAACGAAGGCCTCAAAGAGGTCCAAATATCCACTTGCAGATTCTGCAAAAAGAGTGTTTCAAAAACGCTCCATTAAAAGGAATGTTGAACTCTGTGAGTTGAATGCAAACATCACAACTCAGTTGCTGAGAATGCTTCTGACTAGATTTTATGGTAAGATATTTCCTTTTATACCGTAGGCTTCAATGCCCTCTAAATACACCCTTGCAAATTCTACAAAGAGACTGTTTCATAACTGCTCTATAGGAAGAAAGGTTCAACTCTGTGAGTTGAATGCAGAGATCACAACGTGGTTTCTGCGAATGATTCTTTGTAGTTTTTACAGGAAGATATTTCGTTGTCAACCGTAGGCTTCAAAGCACTCAAAGTATTCACTTGGAACTTTTACAAAAAGAGTGTTAGAAAACTGCTCTTTCCAAAGTAAGGTTCAACTCTGTGAGTTGAATGCACACATAACAATCAAGAAGTTTCTGAGAATTCTTCTGTCCTGGTTTATATGAAAAAATCCCGTTTCCAACGAAGGCCTCAAAGACGTTTAAATATCCACTTGCAGACTTCACAAACAGAGTGTTTCCAAACTGCTCTATGAAAAGAAAGGTTAAACTCTGTGAGTTGAACGCACACATCACAAAGTAGCTTCTGAGAATGATACTGTCCAGTTTTTATACGAAGATATTTCCTTTCCTACCATTGGCGTCAAAGCGCTAGAATTCTCCACTTGCAAATTCCACAAAAAGAGGGTTTCCAATCTGCTCTGCCTAAAGGCAGGTTCAACTCTGTGAGTTGAATACACACACACAAGGAAGCTACTGAGAATTCTGTTGCCAAGAATTATAAGAAGAAATCCCGTTTCCAATGAAGTCCTCAAAGAGTCCGAAATATCCACTTGCACACTGTAAAAACTAAGTCTTTCCAAACTGCTCTATGCAAAGAAATGTTCAACTCTGTGAGTTTAATGCACACATCACAAAGAGGTTTCTGAGAATGATTCCCTCTAGTTTTTATACGAAGATAGCCTTTTCTACCATTGGCCTCAAGGCTCTTGGAATCTCTACCTGAAAATTCCGCAAAAAGCGTGTTTCCAATCCGCTCTGTCTAAAGGAAGGTTCAACTCTCTGAGTTGAATACATACATCCCAAAAGAAGTTACTGAGAATTCTTCTGTCTAGCATTATGTGAAGAAATCCCGTTTCCAAAGAAAGCCTCAAAGAGGTCCAAATATCCACTTGCAGATTCTGCAAAAAGAGTGCTTCAAAACCGCTCTATTAAAAGGAATGTTGAACTCTGTGAGTTGAATGCAAACATCACAACTCAGTTTATGAGAATGCTTCTGACTAGATTTTATGGGAAGATATTTCCTTTTCTACCGTAGGCTTCAATGACCTCTAAATACACCCTTGCACATTCTACAAAGAGACTGTTTAATAACTGCCCTATAGGAAGGAAGGTTGAACTCTGTGAGTTGAATGCAGAGATCACAACGTGGTTTCTGCGAATGATTCTTTGTAGTTTTTACATGAAGATATTTCGTTGTCTACCGTAGGCTTCAAAGCACTCAAAGTATTCACTTGGAACTTTTACAAAAAGAGTGTTAGAAAACTGCTCTTTCCAAAGTAAGGTTCAACTCTGTGAGTTGAATGCACACATAACAAACAAGAAGTTTCTGAGAATTCTTCTGTCCTGGTTTATATGAAGAAATCCCGTTTCCAACGAAGGCCTCAAAGACGTTTAAATATCCACTTGCAGACTTCACAAACAGAGTGTTTCCAAACTGCTCTATGAAAAGAAAGGGTAAACACTGTGAGTTGAACGCACACATCACAAAGTAGTTTCTGAGAATGATACTGTCTAGTTTTTATACGAAGATATTTCCTTTTGTACCATTGGCCTCATACTGCTAGAATTTTCCACTTGCAAATTCCACAAAAAGAGTGTTTCCAATCTGCTCTGTCTAAAGGAAGGTTCAACTCTGTGAGTTGAGTACACACACACAAAGAAGCTACTGAGAATTCTTTTGTCAAGAATTATAAGAAGAAATCCCGTTTCCAACGAAGGCCTCAAAGAGTTCCAAATATCCACTTGCACACTGCACAAACTAAGTCTTTCCAAACTGCTCTATGCAAAGAAATGTTCAACTCTGTGAGTTTAATACACACATCACAAAGCAGTTTCTGAGAATGATACTGTCTAGTTTTTATACGAAGATATTTCCTTTTGTACCATTGGCCTCATACTGCTAGAATTTTCCACTTGCAAATTCCACAAAAAGAGTGTTTCCAATCCGCTCTGTCTAAAGGAAGGTTCAACTCTCTGATTTGAATACATACATCCCAAAAGAAGTTACTGAGAATTCTTCTGTCTAGCATTATGTGAAGAAATCCCGTTTCCAACGAAAGCCTCAAAGAGGTCCAAATATCCAGTTGCAGAATTTACAAACTGACTGTTTCCAAACTCATCTATGAAAAGAAAGGTTAAACTCTGTGAGTTGAATGCACATATCACAAAGTAGTTCCTGAGAATGATTCTGTCTAGTTTTTATACGAAGATATTTCCTTTTCCACCAATGGCCTCAAAGTGCTTGAAATCTCCCCTTGCAAATTCCACAGACAAGTGTTTCAAATCTGCACTGTCTAAAGGAAGGTTCAACCCTGTGAGTTGAATACACACACACAGAAAAAAATTCACTGAGAATTCTATTGTCTATCATTACACGAAGAAATCCCGTTTACTACGAAGGCCTCAAAGAGGTCCAAATATCCAGCTGCAGACATTACAAACTGAGTGTTTCCAAAGTGCTCTATGAAAAGAAGTGTTAAACACTGTGAGTTCAATGCACACATCCCAAAGCAGTTTCTGAGAATGATGCCGTCTATTTTTTCTACGAAGATATTTCCTTTTCTGCCGTTGGCCTCAAAGCGCTTGAAATCTCCACTTGCAAATTCCACAAAAAGAGAGTTTCAAATCTGCTCTGTCTAAAGGAAGGTTCAACTCTGTGAGTTGAATACACACCACAAAAAGAAGTTACTGAGAATTCTTCTGTCTAGCATTATATGAAAAATCCCGTTTCCAACGAAGGCCACAAAGAGGTCCAAATATCCACTTGCAGATTCTGCAAAAAGAGTGTTTCCAAACTGCTCTATGAAAAGAAACGTTAAACTCTGTGAGTTGAACGCAAACATCACAAAGTAGTTTCTGAGAATGACTCCGTCTAGTTTTTATACGAAGATATTTCCTTTTCTACCGTTGGCCTCAAAGCGCTTGAAGTCTCCCCCTGAAAATTCCACAAAAAGTGTTTCCAATCTGCTCCGCCTAAAGGAAGCTTCAACTCTGTGAGTTGAATACCCACAACACAAAGAAGTTACTGAGAATTCTTCTGTCTAGCATTATATGAAGAAATCCCGTTTCCAACGAAGGCCTCAAATACATCCAAATATCCAGTTGCTGACTTTACAAACTGAGTGTTTCCAAACTGCTCTATGAAAAGAAAGGTTAAACACTGTGAGTTGAACACACACGTACCAAAGTAGTTTCTGAGAATGATTCTGTCTAGTTGGCATACGAAGATATTTCCTTTTCTACCATTGGCCTCAATGCTTTGAAATCTCCACTTGCAAATTCCACAAAAAGAGAGTTTCATATCTGCTGTTTCTAAAGGAAAGTTCAACTCTGAGAGTTGAATACACACCAGAAAAACCAGTTACTGAGAAGTCTTCTGTCTAGCATTATATGAAGAAATCCCATTTCCAACGAAGACTTCAAAGAGGTCCAAATATCCACTTGCAGATTCTGCAAAAAGAGTGTTTCGAAACAACTGTATGAAAAGAAAGATTAAACGCTGTGAGTTGAAGGCACACATTGCAAAGCAGTTTCTGAGAATGATTCCGTCTAATTATTATACGAAGGTATTTCCTTTTCTATCATGGGCCTCAAAGCGCTTGATACCTCCACCTGAAAATTCCACAAAAAGAGTGTTTCCAATCTACTCTGTCTAAAGGAACGTTCAACTCTGTGAGTTGAATACACACACACAGAAAGAATTCACTGAGAGTTCTTCTGTCTGGCATTACATGAAGAAATCCCGTTTCCAACGAAGTCCTGAAAGAGGTCCAAATATCCACTTGCAGATTCTGCAAAAAGAGTGTTTCAAAACCGCTCTATGAAAAGGAATGTTGAACTCTGTGAGTTGAATGCAAACATCACAACTCAGTTTCTGAGAATGCTTCTGACTAGATTTTATGGTCAGATATTTCCTTTTCTACCGTAGGCCTCAATGCCCTCTAAATACACCCTTGCAAATTCTACAAAGGGACTGTTTAATAACTGCTCTATAGGAAGAAAGGTTGAACTCTGTGAGTTGCATGCAGAGATCACAACGTGGTTTCGGCGAATGATTCTTTGTAGTTTTTACATGAAGATATTTCGTTGTCTACCGTAGGCTTCAAAGCACTCAAAGTATTCACTTGGAACTTTTACAAAAAGAGTGTTAGAAAACTGCTCTTTCCAAAGTAAGGTTCAACTCTGTGAGTTGAATGCACACATAACAAACAAGAAGTGTCTGAGAATTCTTCTGTCCTGGTTTATATGAAGAAATCCCGTTTCCAACGAAGGCCTCAAAGACGTTTAAATATCCACTTGCAGACTTCACAAACAGAGTGTTTCCAAACTGCTCTATGAAAAGAAAGGGTAAATACTGTGAGTTGAACGCACACCTCACAAAGTAGTTTCTGAGAATGATTACTGTCTAGTTTTTATACGAAGATATTTCCTTTCTACCATTGGTGTCAAAGCGCTAGAATTCTCCACTTGCAAATTCCACAAAAAGAGTGTTTCCAATCTGCTCTGTCTAAAGGAAAGTTCAACTCTGTGAGTTGAATACACACACACAAAGAAGCTACTGAGAATTCTTTTGTCAAGAATTATAAGAAGAAATCCCGTTTCCAACGAAGGCCTCAAAGAGTTCCAAATATCCACTTGCACACTGCACAAACTAAGTCTTTCCAAACTGCTCTATGCAAAGAAATGTTCAACTCTGTGAGTTTAATACACACATCACAAAGCAGTTTCTGAGAATGATACTGTCTAGTTTTTATACGAAGATATTTCCTTTTGTACCATTGGCCTCATACTGCTAGAATATTCCACTTGCAAATTCCACAAAAAGAGTGTTTCCAATCCGCTCTGTCTAAAGGAAGGTTCAACTCTCTGATTTGAATACACACATCCCAAAAGAAGTTACTGAGAATTCTTCTGTCTAGCATTATGTGAAGAAATCCCGTTTCCAATGAAAGCCTCAAAGGGGTCCAAATATCCAGTTGCAGAATTTACAAACTGACTGTTTCCAAACTCATCTATGAAAAGAAAGGTTGAACTCTGGGAGTTGAATGCACATATCACAAAGTAGTTCCTGAGAATGATTCTGTCTAGTTTTTATACGAAGATATTTCCTTTTCCACCAATGGCCTCAAAGTGCTTGAAATCTCCCCTTGCAAATTCCACAGAAAAGTGTTTCAAATCTGCACTGTCTGAAGGAAGGTTCAACCCTGTGAGTTGAATACACACACACAGAAAAAAATTCACTGAGAATTCTATTGTCTATCATTACACGAAGAAATCCCGTTTACTACGAAGGCCTCAAAGAGGTCCAAATATCCAGCTGCAGACATTACAAACTGAGTGTTTCCAAAGTGCTCTATGAAAAGAAGTGTTAAACACTGTGAGTTCAATGCACACATCCCAAAGCAGTTTCTGAGAATGATGCCGTCTATTTTTTCTACAAAGATATTTCCTTTTCTGCCGTTGGCCTCAAAGCGCTTGAAATCTCCACTTGCAAATTCCACAAAAAGAGAGTTTCAAATCTGCTCTGTCTAAAGGAAGGTTCAACTCTGTGAGTTGAATACACACCACAAAAAGAAGTTACTGAGAATTCTTCTGTCTAGCATTATATGAAAAATCCCGTTTCCAACGAAGGCCACAAAGAGGTCCAAATATCCACTTGCAGATTCTGCAAAAAGAGTGTTTCCAAACTGCTCTATGGAAAGAAACGTTAAACTCTGTGAGTTGAACGCAAACATCACAAAGTAGTTTCTGAGAATGACTCCGTCTAGTTTTTATACGAAGATATTTCCTTTCCTACCATTCACTTCAAAGCGCTTGAAGTCTCCCCCTGAAAATTCCACAAAAAGTGTTTCCAATCTGCTCCGCCTAAAGGAAGCTTCAACTCTGTGACTTGAATACCCACAACCCAAAGAAGTTACTGAGAATTCTTCTGTCTAGCATTATATGAAGAAATCCCGTTTCCAACGAAGGCCTCAAATACATCCAAATATCCAGTTGCTGACTTTACAAACTGAGTGTTTCCAAACTGCTCTATGAAAAGAAAGGTTAAACACTGTGAGTTGAACACACACGTACCAAAGTAGTTTCTGAGAATGATTCTGTCTAGTTTGCATACGAAGATATTTCCTTTTCTACCATTGGCCTCAAAGCTCTGAAATCTCCACTTGCAAATTCCACAAAAAGAGAGTTTCAACTCTGCTGTTTCTAAAGGAAAGTTCAACTCTGAGTGTTGAATACACACCAGAAAAAGCAGTTACTGAGAAGTCTTCTGTCTAGCATTATATGAAGAAATCCCATTTCCAACGAAGACTTCAAAGAGGTCCAAATATCCACTTGCAGATTCTGCAAAAAGAGTGTTTCGAAACAACTGTATGAAAAGAAAGGTTAAACACTGTGAGTTGAACGCACACATTGCAAAGCAGTTTCTGAGAATGATTCCGTCTAATTATTATACGAAGGTATTTCCTTTTCTATCATTGGCCTCAAAGCGCTTGATACCTCCACCTGAAAATTCCACAAAAAGAGTGTTTCCAATCTACTCTGTCTAAAGGAACGTTCAACTCTGTGAGTTGAATACACACACACAGAAAGAATTCACTGAGAATTCTTCTGTCTGGCATTACATGAAGAAATCCCGTTTCCAACGAAGGCCTCAAAGAGGTCCAAATATCCACTTGCAGATTCTGCAAAAAGAGTGTTTCAAAACCGCTCCATTAAAAGGAATGTTGAACTCTGTGAGTTGAATGCAAACATCACAACTCAGTTGCTGAGAATGCTTCTGACTAGATTTTATGGTAAGATATTTCCTTTTCTACCGTAGGCTTCAATGCCCTCTAAATACACCCTTGCAAATTCTACAAAGAGACTGTTTCATAACTGCTCTATAGGAAGAAAGGTTGAACTCTGTGAGTTGACTGCAGAGATCACAACGTGGTTTCTGCGAATGATTCTTTGTAGTTTTTACATGAAGATATTTCGTTGTCAACCGTAGGCTTCAAAGCACTCAAAGTATTCACTTGGAACTTTTACAAAAAGAGTGTTAGAAAACTGCTCTTTCCAAAGTAAGGTTCAACTCTGTGAGTTGAATGCACACATAACAATCAAGAAGTTTCTGAGAATTCTTCTGTCCTGGTTTATATGAAAAAATCCCGTTTCCAACGAAGGCCTCAAAGACGTTTAAATATCCACTTGCAGACTTCACAGAGTGTTTCCAAACTGCTCTATGAAAAGAAAGGTTAAACTCTGTGAGTTGAACGCACACATCACAAAGTAGTTTCTGAGAATGATACAGTCTAGTTTTTATACGAAGATATTTCCTTTCTACCATTGGCGTCAAAGCGCTAGAATTCTCCACTTGCAAATTCCACAAAAAGAGTGTTTCCAATCTGCTCTGTCTAAAGGAAGGTTCAACTCTGTGAGTTGAATACACACACACAAAGAAGCTACTGAGAATTCTTTTGTCAAGAATTATAAGAAGAAATCCCGTTTCCAACGAAGGCCTCAAAGAGTTCCAAATATCCACTTGCACACTGCACAAACTAAGTCTTTCCAAACTGCTCTATGCAAAGAAATGTTCAACTCTGTGAGTTTAATACACACATCACAAAGCAGTTTCTGAGAATGATACTGTCTAGTTTTTATACGAAGATATTTCCTTTTGTACCATTGGCCTCATACTGCTAGAATTTTCCACTTGCAAATTCCACAAAAAGAGTGTTTCCAATCCGCTCTGTCTAAAGGGAAGGTTCAACTCTCTGATTTGAATACATACATCCCAAAAGAAGTTACTGAGAATTCTTCTGTCTAGCATTATGTGAAGAAATCCCGTTTCCAACGAAAGCCTCAAAGAGGCCCAAATATCCAGTTGCAGCATTTACAAACTGACTGTTTCCAAACTCATCTATGAAAAGAAAGGTTAAACTCTGTGAGTTGAATGCACATATCACAAAGTAGTTCCTGAGAATGATTCTGTCTAGTTTTCATACGAAGTTATTTCCTTTTCCACCAATGGCCTCAAAGTGCTTGAAATCTCCCCTTGCAAATTCCACAGACAAGTGTTTCAAATCTGCACTGTCTAAAGGAAGGTTCAACACTGTGAGTTGAATACACACACACAGAAAAAAATTCACTGAGAATTCTATTGTCTATCATTACACGAAGAAATCCCGTTTACTACGAAGGCCTCAAAGAGGTCCAAATATCCAGCTGCAGACATTACAAACTGAGTGTTTCCAAAGTGCTCTATGAAAAGAAGTGTTAAACACTGTGAGTTCAATGCACACATCCCAAAGCAGTTTCTGAGAATGATTCCGTCTATTTTTTCTACGAAGATATTTACTTTTCTACCGTTGGCCTCAAAGCGCTTGAAATCTCCACTTGCAAATTCCACAAAAAGAGAGTTTCAAATCTGCTCTGTCTAAAGGAAGGTTCAACTCTGTGAGTTGAATACACACCACAAAAAGAAGTTACTGAGAATTCTTCTGTCTAGCATTATATGAAAAATCCCGTTTCCAACGAAGGCCACAAAGAGGTCCAAATATCCACTTGCAGATTCTGCAAAAAGAGTGTTTCCAAACTGCTCTATGAAAAGAAACGTTAAACTCTGTGAGTTGAACGCAAACATCACAAAGTAGTTTCTGAGAATGACTCCGTCTAGTTTTTATACGAAGATATTTCCTTTTCTACCGTTGGCCTCAAAGCGCTTGAAGTCTCCCCCTGAAAATTCCACAAAAAGTGTTTCCAATCTGCTCCGCCTAAAGGAAGCTTCAACTCTGTGAGTTGAATACCCACAACACAAAGAAGTTACTGAGAATTCTTCTGTCTAGCATTATATGAAGAAATCCCGTTTCCAACGAAGGCCTCAAATACATCCAAATATCCAGTTGCTGACTTTACAAACTGAGTGTTTCCAAACTGCTCTATGAAAAGAAAGGTTAAACACTGTGAGTTGAACACACACGTACCAAAGTAGTTTCTGAGAATGATTCTGTCTAGTTTGCATACGAAGATATTTCCTTTTCTACCATTGGCCTCAAAGCTCTGAAATCTCCACTTGCAAATTCCACAAAAAGAGAGTTTCAAATCTGCTGTTTCTAAAGGAAAGTTCAACTCTGAGAGTTGAATACACACCAGAAAAAGCAGTTACTGAGAAGTCTTCTGTCTAGCATTATATGAAGAAATCCCATTTCCAACGAAGACTTCAAAGAGGTCCAAATATCCACTTGCAGATTCTGCAAAAAGAGTGTTTCGAAACAACTGTATGAAAAGAAAGGTTAAACGCTGTGAGTTGAAGGCACACATTGCAAAGCAGTTTCTGAGAATGATTCCGTCTAATTATTATACGAAGGTATTTCCTTTTCTATCATGGGCCTCAAAGCGCTTGATACCTCCACCTGAAAATTCCACAAAAAGAGTGTTTCCAATCTACTCTGTCTAAAGGAACGTTCAACTCTGTGAGTTGAATACACACACACAGAAAGAATTCACTGAGAGTTCTTCTGTCTGGCATTACATGAAGAAATCCCGTTTCCAACGAAGTCCTGAAAGAGGTCCAAATATCCACTTGCAGATTCTGCAAAAAGAGTGTTTCAAAACCGCTCTATGAAAAGGAATGTTGAACTCTGTGAGTTGAATGCAAACATCACAACTCAGTTTCTGAGAATGCTTCTGACTAGATTTTATGGTAAGATATTTCCTTTTCTACCGTAGGCTTCAATGCCCTCTAAATACACCCTTGCAAATTCTACAAAGAGACTGTTTCATAACTGCTCTATAGGAAGAAAGGTTGAACTCTGTGAGTTGAATGCAGAGATCACAACGTGGTTTCTGCGAATGATTCTTTGTAGTTTTTACATGAAGATATTTCGTTGTCAACCGTAGGCTTCAAAGCACTCAAAGTATTCACTTGGAACTTTTACAAAAAGAGTGTTAGAAAACTGCTCTTTCCAAAGTAAGGTTCAACTCTGTGAGTTGAATGCACACATAACAATCAAGAAGTTTCTGAGAATTCTTCTGTCCTGGTTTATATGAACAAATCCCGTTTCCAACGAAGGCCTCAAAGACGTTTAAATATCCACTTGCAGACTTCACAAACAGAGTGTTTCCAAACTGCTCTATGAAAAGAAAGGTTAAACTCTGTGAGTTGAACGCACACATCACAAAGTAGTTTCTGAGAATGATACTGTCTAGTTTTTATACGAAGATATTTCCTTTCTACCATTGGCGTCAAAGCGCTAGAATTCTCCACTTGCATATTCCACAAAAAGAGTGTTTCCAATCTGCTCTGTCTAAAGGAAGGTTCAACTCTGTGAGTTGAATACACACACACAAAGAAGCTACTGAGAATTCTTTTGTCAAGAATTATAAGAAGAAATCCCGTTTCCAACGAAGGCCTCAAAGAGTTCCAAATATCCACTTGCACACTGCACAAACTAAGTCTTTCCAAACTGCTCTATGCAAAGAAATGTTCAACTCTGTGAGTTTAATACACACATCACAAAGCAGTTTCTGAGAATGATACTGTCTAGTTTTTATACGAAGATATTTCCTTTTGTACCATTGGCCTCATACTGCTAGAATTTTCCACTTGCAAATTCCACAAAAAGAGTGTTTCCAATCCGCTCTGTCTAAAGGAAGGTTCAACTCTCTGATTTGAATACATACATCCCAAAAGAAGTTACTGAGAATTCTTCTGTCTAGCATTATGTGAAGAAATCCCGTTTCCAACGAAAGCCTCAAAGAGGTCCAAATATCCAGTTGCAGAATTTACAAACTGACTCTTTCCAAACTCATCTATGAAAAGAAAGGTTAAACTCTGTGAGTTGAATGCACATATCACAAAGTAGTTCCTGAGAATGATTCTGTCTGGTTTTTATACGAAGATGTTTCCTTATCCACCAATGGCCTCAAAGTCCTTGAAATCTCCCCTTGCAAATTCCACAGAAAAGTGTTTCAAATCTGCACTGTCTGAAGGAAGGTTCAACCCTGTGAGTTGAATACACACACACAGAAAAAAATTCACTGACATTTCTATTGTGTATCATTACACGAAGAAATCCCGTTTACTACGAAGGCCTCAGAGAGGTCCAAATATCCAGCTGCAGACATTAAAAACTGAGAGTTTCCAAAGTGCTCTATGAAAAGAAGTGTTAAACACTGTGAGTTCAATGCACACATCCCAAAGCAGTTTCTGAGAATGATTCCGTCTATTTTTTTCTAAGAAGATATTTCCTTTTCTACCGTTGGCCTCAAAGCGCTTGAAATCTCCACTTGCAAATTCCACAAAAAGAGAGCTTCAAATCTGCTCTGTCTAAAGGAAGGTTCAACTCTGTGAGTTGAATACACACCACAAAAAGAAGTTACTGAGAATTCTTCTGTCTAGCATTATATGAAAAATCCCGTTTCCAACGAAGGCCACAAAGAGGTCCAAATATCCACTTGCAGACTCTGCAAAAAGAGTGTTTCCAAACTGCTCTATGAAAAGAAACGTTAAACTCTGTGAGTTGAACGCAAACATCACAAAGTAGTTTCTGACAATGACTCCGTCTAGTTTTTATACGAAGATATTTCCTTTTCTACCGTTGGCCTCAAAGCGCTTGAAGTCTCCCCCTGAAAATTCCACAAAAAGTGTTTCCAATCTGCTCCGCCTAAAGGAAGCTTCAACTCTGTGAGTTGAATACCCACAACACAAAGAAGTTACTGAGAATTCTTCTGTCTAGCATTATATGAAGAAATCCCGTTTCCAACGAAGGCCTCAAATACATCCAAATATCCAGTTGCTGACTTTACAAACTGAGTGTTTCCAAACTGCTCTATGAAAAGAAAGGTTAAACACTGTGAGTTGAACACACACGTACCAAAGTAGTTTCTGAGAATGATTCTGTCTAGTTTGCATACGAAGGATATTTCCTTTTCTACCATTGGCCTCAAAGCTTTGAAATCTCCACTTGCAAATTCCACAAAAAGAGAGTTTCAACTCTGCTGTTTCTAAAGGAAAGTTCAACTCTGAGAGTTGAATACACACCAGAAAAAGCAGTTACTGAGAAGTCTTCTGTCTAGCATTATATGAAGAAATCCCATTTCCAACGAAGACTTCAAAGAGGTCCAAATATCCACTTGCAGATTCTGCAAAAAGAGTGTTTCGAAACAACTGTATGAAAAGAAAGGTTAAACACTGTGAGTTGAACGCACACATTGCAAAGCAGTTTCTGAGAATGATTCCGTCTAATTATTATACGAAGGTATTTCCTTTTCTATCATGGGCCTCAAAGCGCTTGATACCTCCACCTGAAAATTCCACAAAATGAGTGTTTCCAATCTACTCTGTCTAAAGGAACGTTCAACTCTGTGAGTTGAATACACACACACAGAAAGAATTCACTGAGAGTTCTTCTGTCTGGCATTACATGAAGAAATCCCGTTTCCAACGAAGGCCTCAAAGAGGTCCAAATATCCACTTGCAGATTCTGCAAAAAGAGTGTTTCAAAACCGCTCCATTAAAAGGAATGTTGAACTCTGTGAGTTGAATGCAAACATCACAACTCAGTTGCTGAGAATGCTTCTGACTAGATTTTATGGTAAGATATTTCCTTTTCTACCGTAGGCTTCAATGCCCTCTAAATACACCCTTGCAAATTCTACAAAGAGACTGTTTCATAACTGCTCTATAGGAAGAAAGGTTGAACTCTGTGAGTTGAATGCAGAGATCACAACGTGGTTTCTGCGAATGATTCTTTGTAGTTTTTACAGGAAGATATTTCGTTGTCAACCGTAGGCTTCAAAGCACTCAAAGTATTCACTTGGAACTTTTACAAAAAGAGTGTTAGAAAACTGCTCTTTCCAAAGTAAGGTTCAACTCTGTGAGTTGAATGCACACATAACAATCAAGAAGTTTCTGAGAATTCTTCTGTCCTGGTTTATATGAAGAAATCCCGTTTCCAACGCAGGCCTCAACGACGTTTAAATATCCACTTGCAGACTTCACAAACAGAGGGTTTCCAAACTGCTCTATGAAAAGAAAGGATAAACTCTGTGAGTTGAACGCACACATCACAAAGTAGCTTCTGAGAATGATACTGTCTAGTTTTTATACGAAGATATTTCCTTTCTACCATTGGCGTCAAAGCGCTAGAATTCTCCACTTGCAAATTCCACAAAAAGAGTGTTTCCAATCTGCTCTGTCTAAAGGAAGGTTCAACTCTGTGAGTTGAATACACACACACAAAGAAGCTACTGAGAATTCTTTTGTCAAGAATTA
The DNA here is from genome assembly GCF_000001405.40 of Homo sapiens. Classification (NCBI taxonomy): domain Eukaryota; kingdom Metazoa; phylum Chordata; class Mammalia; order Primates; family Hominidae; genus Homo; species Homo sapiens. The sequence continues at coordinate 93,327,028 of NC_000003.12, read as the reverse complement.
TAAGAAGAAATCCCGTTTCCAACGAAGGCCTCAAAGAGTTCCAAATATCCACTTGCACACTGTACAAACTAAGTCTTTCCAAACTGCTCTATGCAAAGAAATGTTCAACTCTGTGAGTTTAATGCACACATCACAAAGCAGTTTCTGAGAATGATTCCCTCTAGTTTTTATACGAAGATAGCCTTTTCTACCATTGGCCTCAAGGCTCTTGGAATCTCCACCTGAAAATTCCGCAAAAAGCGTGTTTCCAATCCGCTCTGTCTAAAGGAAGGTTCAACTCTCTGAGTTGAATACATACATCCCAAAAGAAGTTACTGAGAATTCTTCTGTCTAGCATTATGTGAAGAAATCCCGTTTCCAACGAAAGCCTCAAAGAGGTCCAAATATCCAGTTGCAGAATTTACAAACTGACTGTTTCCAAACTCATCTATGAAAAGAAAGGTTAAACTCTGTGAGTTGAATGCACATATCACAAAGTAGTTCCTGAGAATGATTCTGTCTAGTTTTTATACGAAGATATTTCCTTTTCCACCAATGGCCTCAAAGGGCTTGAAATCTCCCCTTGCAAATTCCACAGACAAGTGTTTCAAATCTACACTGTCTAAAGGAAGGTTCAACCCTGTGAGTTGAATACACACACACAGAAAAAAATTCACTGAGAATTCTATTGTCTATCATTACACGAAGAAATCCCGTTTACTACGAAGGCCTCAAAGAGGTCCAAATATCCAGCTGCAGACATTACAAACTGAGTGTTTCCAAAGTGCTCTATGAAAAGAAGTGTTAAACACTGTGAGTTCAATGCACACATCCCAAAGCAGTTTCTGAGAATGATTCCGTCTATTTTTTCTACGAAGATATTTCCTTTTCTGCCGTTGGCCTCAAAGCGCTTGAAATCTCCACTTGCAAATTCCACAAAAAGAGAGTTTCAAATCTGCTCTGTCTAAAGGAAGGTTCAACTCTGTGAGTTGAATACACACCACAAAAAGAAGTTACTGAGAATTCTTCTGTCTAGCATTATATGAAAAATCCCGTTTCCAACGAAGGCCACAAAGAGGTCCAAATATCCACTTGCAGATTCTGCAAAAAGAGTGTTTCCAAACTGCTCTATGAAAAGAAACGTTAAACTCTGTGAGTTGAACGCAAACATCACAAAGTAGTTTCTGAGAATGACTCCGTCTAGTTTTTATACGAAGATATTTCCTTTTCTACCATTCACTTCAAAGCGCTTGAAGTCTCCCCCTGAAAATTCCAGAAAAAGTGTTTCCAATCTGCTCCGCCTAAAGGAAGCTTCAACTCTGTGAGTTGAATACCCACAACCCAAAGAAGTTACTGAGAATTCTTCTGTCTAGCATTATATGAAGAAATCCCGTTTCCAACGAAGGCCTCAAATACATCCAAATATCCAGTTGCTGACTTTACAAACTGAGTGTTTCCAAACTGCTCTATGAAAAGAAAGGTTAAACACTGTGAGTTGAACACACACGTACCAAAGTAGTTTCTGAGAATGATTCTGTCTAGTTTGCATACGAAGATATTTCCTTTTCTACCATTGGCCTCAAAGCTCTGAAATCTCAACTTGCAAATTCCACAAAAAGAGAGTTTCAAATCTGCTGTTTCTAAAGGAAAGTTCAACTCTGAGAGTTGAATACACACCAGAAAAAGCAGTTACTGAGAAGTCTTCTGTCTAGCATTATATGAAGAAATCCCATTTCCAACGAAGACTTCAAAGAGGTCCAAATATCCACTTGCAGATTCTGCAAAAAGAGTGTTTCGAAACAACTGTATGAAAAGAAAGGTTAAACACTGTGAGTTGAACGCACACATTGCAAAGCAGTTTCTGAGAATGATTCCGTCTAATTATTATACGAAGGTATTTCCTTTTCTATCATTGGCCTCAAAGCGCTTGATACCTCCACCTGAAAATTCCACAAAAAGAGTGTTTCCAATCTACTCTGTCTAAAGGAACGTTCAACTCTGTGAGTTGAATACACACACACAGAAAGAATTCACTGAGAATTCTTCTGTCTGGCATTACATGAAGAAATCCCGTTTCCAACGAAGGCCTCAAAGAGGTCCAAATATCCACTTGCAGATTCTGCAAAAAGAGTGTTTCAAAACCGCTCCATTAAAAGGAATGTTGAACTCTGTGAGTTGAATGCAAACATCACAACTCAGTTTCTGAGAATGCTTCTGACTAGATTTTATGGTCAGATATTTCCTTTTCTACCATAGGCTTCAATGCCTTCTAAATACACCCTTGCAAATTCTACAAAGAGACTGTTTAATAACTGCTCTATAGGAAGAAAGGTTGAACTCTGTGAGTTGAATGCAGAGATCACAACGTGGTTTCGGCGAATGATTCTTCTCAGTTTTTACATGAAGATATTTCGTTCTCTACCGTAGGCTTGAAAGCACTCAAAGTATTCACTTGGAACTTTTACAAAAAGAGTGTTAGAAAACTGCTCTTTCCAAAGTAAGGTTCAACTCTGTGAGTTGAATGCACACATAACAAACAAGAAGTTTCTGAGAATTCTTCTGTCCTGGTTTATATGAAAAAATCCCGTTTCCAACGAAGGCCTCAAAGACGTTTAAATATCCACTTGCAGACTTCACAAACAGAGTGTTTCCAAACTGCTCTATGAAAAGAAAGGTTAAACTCTGTGAGTTGAACGCACACATCACAAAGTAGTTTCTGAGAATGATACTGTCTAGTTTATATAGGAAGATATTTCCTTTCTACCATTGGCGTCAAAGCGCTAGAATTCTCCACTTGCAAATTCCACAAAAAGAGTGTTTCCAATCTGCTCTGTCTAAAGGAAGGTTCAACTCTGTGAGTTGAATACACACACACAAAGAAGCTACTGAGAATTCTTTTGTCAAGAATTATAAGAAGAAATCCCGTTTCCAACGAAGGCCTCAAAGAGTTCCAAATATCCACTTGCACACTGCACAAACTAAGTCTTTCCAAACTGCTCTATGCAAAGAAATGTTCAACTCTGTGAGTTTAATACACACATCACAAAGCAGTTTCTGAGAATGATACTGTCTAGTTTTTATACGAAGATATTTCCTTTTGTACCATTGGCCTCATACTGCTAGAATTTTCCACTTGCAAATTCCACAAAAAGAGTGTTTCCAATCCGCTCTGTCTAAAGGAAGGTTCAAATCTGTGAGTTGAATACACACACACAAAGAAGCTACTGAGAATTCTTTTGTCAAGAATTATAAGAAGAAATCCCGTTTCCAACGAAGGCCTCAAAGAGTTCCAAATATCCACTTGCACACTGCACAAACTAAGTCTTTCCAAACTGCTCTATGCAAAGAAATGTTCAACTCTGTGAGTTTAATACACACATCACAAAGCAGTTTCTGAGAATGATACTGTCTAGTTTTTATACGAAGATATTTCCTTTTGTACCATTGGCCTCATACTGCTAGAATTTTCCACTTGCAAATTCCACAAAAAGAGTGTTTCCAATCCGCTCTGTCTAAAGGGAAGGTTCAACTCTCTGATTTGAATACATACATCCCAAAAGAAGTTACTGAGAATTCTTCTGTCTAGCATTATGTGAAGAAATCCCGTTTCCAACCAAAGCCTCAAAGAGGTCCTAATATCCAGTTGCAGAATTTACAAACTGACTGTTTCCAAACTCATCTATGAAAAGAAAGGTTAAACCCTGTGAGTTGAATGCACATATCACAAAGTAGTTCCTGACAATGATTCTGTCTAGTTTTTATACGAAGATATTTCCTTTTCCACCAATGGCCTCAAAGTGCTTGAAATCTCCCCTTGCAAATTCCACAGAAAAGTGTTTCAAATCTGCACTGTCTGAAGGAAGGTTCAACCCTGTGAGTTGAATACACACACATAGAAAAAAATTCACTGAGAATTCTATTGTCTATCATTACACGAAGAAATCCCGTTTACTACGAAGGCCTCAAAGAGGTCCAAATATCCAGCTGCAGACATTACAAACTGAGTGTTTCCAAAGTGCTCTATGAAAAGAAGTGTTAAACACTGTGAGTTCAATGCACACATCCCAAAGCAGTTTCTGAGAATGATTCCGTCTATTTTTTCTACGAAGATATTTCCTTTTCTGCCGTTGGCCTCAAAGCGCTTGAAATCTCCACTTGCAAATTCCACAAAAAGAGAGTTTCAAATCTGCTCTGTCTAAAGGAAGGTTCAACTCTGTGAGTTGAATACACACCACAAAAAGAAGTTACTGAGAATTCTTCTGTCTAGCATTATATGAAAAATCCCGTTTCCAACGAAGGCCACAAAGAGGTCCAAATATCCACTTGCAGATTCTGCAAGAAGAGTGTTTCCAAACTGCTCTATGAAAAGAAACGTTAAACTCTGTGAGTTGAACGCAAACATCACAAAGTAGTTTCTGAGAATGACTCCGTCTAGTTTTTATACGAAGATATTTCCTTTCCTACCATTCACTTCAAAGCGCTTGAAGTCTCCCCCTGAAAATTCCACAAAAAGTGTTTCCAATCTGCTCCGCCTAAAGGAAGCTTCAACTCTGTGACTTGAATACCCACAACCCAAAGAAGTTACTGAGAATTCTTCTGTCTAGCATTATATGAAGAAATCCCGTTTCCAACGAAGGCCTCAAATACATCCAAATATCCAGTTGCTGACTTTACAAACTGAGTGTTTCCAAACTGCTCTATGAAAAGAAAGGTTAAACACTGTGAGTTGAACACACACGTACCAAAGTAGTTTCTGAGAATGATTCTGCCTAGTTTGCATACGAAGATATTTCCTTTTCTACCATTGGCCTCAAAGCTCTGAAATCTCCACTTGCAAATTCCACAAAAAGAGAGTTTCAAATCTGCTGTTTCTAAAGGAAAGTTCAACTCTGAGAGTTGAATACACACCAGAAAAAGCAGTTACTGAGAAGTCTTCTGTCTAGCATTATATGAAGAAATCCCATTTCCAAAGAAGACTTCAAACAGGTCCAAATATCCACTTGCAGATTCTGCAAAAAGAGTGTTTCGAAACAACTGTATGAAAAGAAAGGTTAAACACTGTGAGTTGAACGCACCCATTGCAAAGCATTTTCTGAGAATGATTCCGTCTAATTATTATACAAAGGTATTTCCTTTTCTATCATGGGCCTCAAAGCGCTTGATACCTCCACCTGAAAATTCCACAAAAAGAGTGTTTCCAAACTACTCTGTCTAAAGGAACGTTCAACTCTGTGAGTTGAATACACACACACAGAAAGAATTCACTGAGAATTCTTCTGTCTGGCATCACATGAAGAAATCCCGTTTCCAACGAAGGCCTCAAAGAGGTCCAAATATCCACTTGCAGATTCTGCAAAAAGAGTGTTTCAAAACCGCTCCATGAAAAGGAATGTTGAACTCTGTGAGTTGAATGCAAACATCACAACTCAGTTTCTGAGAATGCTTCTGACTAGATTTTATGGTCAGATATTTCCTTTTCTACCGTAGGCTTCAATGCCCTCTAAATACACCCTTGCAAATTCTACAAAGAGACTGTTTAATAACTGCTCTATAGGAAGAAAGGTTGAACTCTGTGAGTTGAATGCAGAGATCACAACGTGGTTTCGGCGAATGATTCTTCGTAGTTTTTACATGAAGATATTTCGTGGTCTACCGTAGGCTTCAAAGCACTCAAAGTATTCACTTGGAACTTTTACAAAAAGAGTGTTAGAAAACTGCTCTTTCCAAAGTAAGGTTCAACTCTGTGAGTTCAATGCACACTTAACAAACAGGAAGTTTCTGAGAATTCTTCTGTCCTGGTTTATATGAAAAATCCCGTTTCCAACGAAGGCCTCAAAGACGTTTAAATATCCACTTGCAGACTTCACAAACAGAGTGTTTCCAAACTGCTCTATGAAAAGAAAGGTTAAACTCTGTGAGTTGAACGCACACATCACAAAGTAGTTTCTGAGAATGATACTGTCTAGTTTTTATACGAAGATATTTCCTTTCTACAATTGGCGTCAAAGCGCTAGAATTCTCCACTTGCAAATTCCACAAAAAGAGTGTTTCCAATCTGCTCTGTCTAAAGGAAGGTTCAACTCTGTGAGTTGAATACACACACACAAAGAAGCTACTGAGAATTCTTTTGTCAAGAATTATAAGAAGAAATCCCGTTTCCAACGAAGGCCTCAAAGAGTTCCAAATATCCACTTGCACACTGCACAAACTAAGTCTTTCCAAACTTCTCTATGCAAAGAAATGTTCAACTCTGTGAGTTTAATACACACATCACAAAGCAGTTTCTGAGAATGATACTGTCTAGTTTTTATACGAAGATATTTCCTTTTGTACCATTGGCCTCATACTGCTAGAATTTTCCACTTGCAAATTCCACAAAAAGAGTGTTTCCAATCCGCTCTGTCTAAAGGAAGGTTCAACTCTCTGATTTGAATACATACATCCCAAAAGAAGTTACTGAGAATTCTTCTGTCTAGCATTATGTGAAGAAATCCCGTTTCCAACGAAAGCCTCAAAGAGGCCCAAATATCCAGTTGCAGAATTTACAAACTGACTGTTTCCAAACTCATCTATGAAAAGAAAGGTTAAACTCTGTGAGTTGAATGCACATATCACAAAGTAGTTCCTGAGAATGATTCTGTCTAGTTTTTATACGAAGATATTTCCTTTTCCACCAATGGCCTCAAAGTGCTTGAAATCTCCCCTTGCAAATTCCACAGACAAGTGTCTCAAATCTGCACTGTCTAAAGGAAGGTTCAACCCTGTGAGTTGAATACACACACACAGAAAAAAATTCACTGAGAATTCTATTGTCTATCATTACACGAAGAAATCCCGTTTACCACGAAGGCCTCAAAGAGGTCCAAATATCCAGCTGCAGACATTACAAACTGAGTGTTTCCAAAGTGCTCTATGAAAAGAAGTGTTAAACACTGTGAGTTCAATGCACACATCCCAAAGCAGTTTCTGAGAATGATTCCGTCTATTTTTTCTACGAAGATATTTCCTTTTCTGCCGTTGGCCTCAAAGCGCTTGAAATCTCCACTTGCAAATTCCACAAAAAGAGAGTTTCAAATCTGCTCTGTCTAAAGGAAGGTTCAACTCTGTGAGTTGAATACACACCACAAAAAGAAGTTACTGAGAATTCTTCTGTCTGGCATTACATGAAGAAATCCCGTTTCCAACGAAGGCCTCAAAGAGGTCCAAATATCCACTTGCAGATTCTGCAAAAAGAGTGTTTCAAAACCGCTCCATTAAAAGGAATGTTGAACTCTGTGAGTTGAATGCAAACATCACAACTCAGTTGCTGAGAATGCTTCTGACTAGATTTTATGGTAAGATATTTCCTTTTATACCGTAGGCTTCAATGCCCTCTAAATACACCCTTGCAAATTCTACAAAGAGACTGTTTCATAACTGCTCTATAGGAAGAAAGGTTCAACTCTGTGAGTTGAATGCAGAGATCACAACGTGGTTTCTGCGAATGATTCTTTGTAGTTTTTACATGAAGATATTTCGTTGTCAACCGTAGGCTTCAAAGCACTCAAAGTATTCACTTGGAACTTTTACAAAAAGAGTGTTAGAAAACTGCTCTTTCCAAAGTAAGGTTCAACTCTGTGAGTTGAATGCACACATAACAATCAAGAAGTTTCTGAGAATTCTTCTGTCCTGGTTTATATGAAGAAATCCCGTTTCCAACGAAGGCCTCAAAGACGTTTAAATATCCACTTGCAGACTTCACAAACAGAGGGTTTCCAAACTGCTCTATGAAAAGAAAGGTTAAACTCTGTGAGTTGAACGCACACATCACAAAGTAGCTTCTGAGAATGATACTGTCTAGTTTTTATACGAAGATATTTCCTTTTGTACCATTGGCCTCATACTGCTAGAATTTTCCACTTGCAAATTCCACAAAAAGAGTGTTTCCAATCTGCTCTGTCTAAAGGAAGGTTCAACTCTGTGAGTTGAGTACACACACACACAAAGAAGCTACTGAGAATTCTTTTGTCAAGAATTATAAGAAGAAATCCCGTTTCCAACGAAGGCCTCAAAGAGTTCCAAATATCCACTTGCACACTGCACAAACTAAGTCTTTCCAAACTGCTCTATGCAAAGAAATGTTCAACTCTGTGAGTTTAATACACACATCACAAAGCAGTTTCTGAGAATGATACTGTCTAGTTTTTATACGAAGATATTTCCTTTTGTACCATTGGCCTCATACTGCTAGAATTTTCCACTTGCAAATTCCACAAAAAGAGTGTTTCCAATCCGCTCTGTCTAAAGGAAGGTTCAACTCTCTGATTTGAATACATACATCCCAAAAGAAGTTACTGAGAATTCTTCTGTCTAGCATTATGTGAAGAAATCCCGTTTCCAACGAAAGCCTCAAAGAGGTCCAAATATCCAGTTGCAGAATTTACAAACTGACTGTTTCCAAACTCATCTATGAAAAGAAAGGTTAAACTCTGTGAGTTGAATGCACATATCACAAAGTAGTTCCTGAGAATGATTCTGTCTAGTTTTTATACGAAGATATTTCCTTTTCCACCAATGGCCTCAAAGTGCTTGAAATCTCCCCTTGCAAATTCCACAGACAAGTGTTTCAAATCTGCACTGTCTAAAGGAAGGTTCAACCCTGTGAGTTGAATACACACACACAGAAAAAAATTCACTGAGAATTCTATTGTCTATCATTACACGAAGAAATCCCGTTTACTACGAAGGCCTCAAAGAGGTCCAAATATCCAGCTGCAGACATTACAAACTGAGTGTTTCCAAAGTGCTCTATGAAAAGAAGTGTTAAACACTGTGAGTTCAATGCACACATCCCAAAGCAGTTTCTGAGAATGATTCCGTCTATTTTTTCTACGAAGATATTTCCTTTTCTGCCGTTGGCCTCAAAGCGCTTGAAATCTCCACTTGCAAATTCCACAAAAAGAGAGTTTCAAATCTGCTCTGTCTAAAGGAAGGTTCAACTCTGTGAGTTGAATACACACCACAAAAAGAAGTTACTGAGAATTCTTCTGTCTAGCATTATATGAAAAATCCCGTTTCCAACGAAGGCCACAAAGAGGTCCAAATATCCACTTGCAGATTCTGCAAAAAGAGTGTTTCCAAACTGCTCTATGAAAAGAAACGTTAAACTCTGTGAGTTGAACGCAAACATCACAAAGTAGTTTCTGAGAATGACTCCGTCTAGTTTTTATACGAAGATATTTCCTTTCCTACCATTCACTTCAAAGCGCTTGAAGTCTCCCCCTGAAAATTCCACAAAAAGTGTTTCCAATCTGCTCCGCCTAAAGGAAGCTTCAACTCTGTGAGTTGAATACCCACAACCCAAAGAAGTTACTGAGAATTCTTCTGTCTAGCATTATATGAAGAAATCCCGTTTCCAACGAAGGCCTCAAATACATCCAAATATCCAGTTGCTGACTTTACAAACTGAGTGTTTCCAAACTGCTCTATGAAAAGAAAGGTTAAACACTGTGAGTTGAACACACACGTACCAAAGTAGTTTCTGAGAATGATTCTGTCTAGTTTGCATACGAAGATATTTCCTTTTTTACCAGTGGCCTCAAAGCTCTGAAATCTCCACTTGCAAATTCCAGAAAAAGAGAGTTTCAAATCTGCTGTTTCTAAAGGAAAGTTCAACTCTGAGAGTTGAATACACACCAGAAAAAGCAGTTACTGAGAAGTCTTCTGTCTAGCATTATATGAAGAAATCCCATTTCCAACGAAGACTTCAAAGAGGTCCAAATATCCACTTGCAGATTCTGCAAAAAGAGTGTTTCGAAACAACTGTATGAAAAGAAAGGTTAAACACTGTGAGTTGAACGCACACATTGCAAAGCAGTTTCTGAGAATGATTCCGTCTAATTATTATACGAAGGTATTTCCTTTTCTATCATTGGCCTCAAAGCGCTTGATACCTCCACCTGAAAATTCCACAAAAAGAGTGTTTCCAATCTACTCTGTCTAAAGGAACGTTCAACTGCTGTGAGTTGAATACACACACACAGAAAGAATTCACTGAGAATTCTTCTGTCTGGCATTACATGAAGAAATCCCTTTTCCAACGAAGGGCTCAAAGAGGTCCAAATATCCACTTGCAGATTCTGCAAAAAGAGTGTTTCAAAACCGCTCCATTAAAAGGAATGTTGAACTCTGTGAGTTGAATGCAAACATCACAACTCAGTTGCTGAGAATGCTTCTGACTAGATTTTATGGTAAGATATTTCCTTTTCTACCGTAGGCTTCAATGCCCTGTAAATACACCCTTGCAAATTCTACAAAGAGACTGTTTCATAACTGCTCTATAGGAGGAAAGGTTCAACTCTGTGAGTTGAATGCAGAGATCACAACGTGGTTTCTGCGAATGATTCTTTGTAGTTTTTACATGAAGATATTTCGTTGTCAACCGTAGGCTTCAAAGCACTCAAAGTATTCACTTGGAACTTTTACAAAAAGAGTGTTAGAAAACCGCTCTTTCCAAAGTAAGGTTCAACTCTGTGAGTTGAATGCACCCATAACAATCAAGAAGTTTCTGAGAATTCTTCTGTCCTGGTTTATATGAAAAAATCCCGTTTCCAACGAAGGCCTCAAAGACGTTTAAATATCCTCTTGCAGACTTCACAAACAGAGTGTTTCCAAACTGCTCTATGAAAAGAAAGGTTAAACTCTGTGAGTTGAACGCACACATCACAAAGTAGTTTCTGAGAATGATACTGTCTAGTTTTTATACGGAGATATTTCCTTTCCTACCATTGGCGTCAAAGCGCTAGATTTCTCCACTTACAAATTCCACAGAAAGAGTGTTTCCAATCTGCTCTGCCTAAAGGAAGGTTCAACTCTGTGAGTTGAATACACACACACAAAGAAGCTACTGAGAATTCTGTTGCCAAGAATTATAAGAAGAAATCCCGTTTCCAATGAAGTCCTCAAAGAGTCCGAATTATCCACTTGCACACTGTAAAAACTAAGTCTTTCCAAACTGCTCTATGCAAAGAAATGTTCAACTCTGTGAGTTTAATGCACACATCACAAAGAGGTTTCTGAGAATGATTCCCTCTAGTTTTTATACGAAGATAGCCTTTTCTACCATTGGCCTCAAGGCTCTTGGAATCTCTACCTGAAAATTCCGCAAAAAGCGTGTTTCCAATCCGCTCTGTCTAAAGGAAGGTTCAACTCTCTGAGTTGAATACGTACATCCCAAAAGAAGTTACTGAGAATTCTTCTGTCTAGCATTATGTGAAGAAATCCCGTTTCCAACGAAAGCCTCAAAGAGGTCCAAATATCCAGTTGCAGAATTTACAAACTGACTGTTTCCAAACTCATCTATGAAAAGAAAGGTTAAACTCTGTGAGTTGAATGCACATATCACAAAGTAGTTCCTGAGAATGATTCTGTCTAGTTTTTATACGAAGATATTTCCTTTTCCACCAATGGCCTCAAAGTGCTTGAAATCTCCCCTTGCAAATTCCACAGACAAGTGTTTCAAATCTGCACTGTCTAAAGGAAGGTTCAACCCTGTGAGTTGAATACACACACACAGAAAAAAATTCACTGAGAATTCTATTGTCTATCATTACACGAAGAAATCCCGTTTACTACGAAGGCCTCAAAGAGGTCCAAATATCCAGCTGCAGACATTACAAACTGAGTGTTTCCAAAGTGCTCTATGAAAAGAAGTGTTAAACACTGTGAGTTCAATGCACACATCCCAAAGCAGTTTCTGAGAATGATTCCGTCTATTTTCTCTACGAAGATATTTCCTTTTCTGCCGTTGGCCTCAAAGCGCTTGAAATCTCCACTTGCAAATTCCACAAAAAGAGAGTTTCAAATCTGCTCTGTCTAAAGGAAGGTTCAACTTCTGTGAGTTGAATACACACCACAAAAAGAAGTTACTGAGAATTCTTCTGTCTAGCATTATATGAAAAATCCCGTTTCCAACGAAGGCCACAAAGAGGTCCAAATATCCACTTGCAGATTCTGCAAAAAGAGTGTTTCCAAACTGCTCTATGAAAAGAAACGTTAAACTCTGTGAGTTGAGCGCAAACATCACAAAGTAGTTTCTGAGAATGACTCCGTCTAGTTTTTATACGAAGATATTTCCTTTTCTACCGTTGGCCTCAAAGCGCTTGAAGTCTCCCCCTGAAAATTCCACAAAAAGTGTTTCCAATCTGCTCCGCCTAAAGGAAGCTTCAACTCTGTGAGTTGAATACCCACAACACAAAGAAGTTACTGAGAATTCTTCTGTCTCGCATTATATGAAGAAATCCCGTTTCCAACGAAGGCCTCAAATACATCCACATATCCAGTTGCTGACTTTACAAACTGAGTGTTTCCAAACTGCTCTATGAAAAGAAAGGTTAAACACTGTGAGTTGAACACACACGTACCAAAGTAGTTTCTGAGAATGATTCTGTCTAGTTTGCATACAAAGATATTTCCTTTTCTACCACTGGCCTCAAAGCTTTGAAATCTCCACTTGCAAATTCCACAAAAAGAGAGTTTCAAATCTGCTGTTTCTAAAGGAAAGTTCAACTTCTGAGAGTTGAATACACACCAGAAAAAGCAGTTACTGAGAAGTCTTCTGTCTAGCATTATATGAAGAAATCCCATTTCCAACGAAGACTTCAAAGAGGTCCAAATATCCACTTGCAGATTCTGCAAAAAGAGTGTTTCGAAACAACTGTATGAAAAGAAAGGTTAAACACTGTGAGTTGAACGCACACATTGCAAAGCGGTTTCTGAGAATGATTCCGTCTAATTATTATACGAAGGTATTTCCTTTTCTATCATTGGCCTCAAAGCGCTTGATACCTCCACCTGAAAATTCCACAAAAAGAGTGTTTCCAATCTACTCTGTCTAAAGGAACGTTCAACTCTGTGAGTTGAATACACACACACAGAAAGAATTCACTGAGAATTCTTCTGTCTGGCATTACATGAAGAAATCCCGTTTCCAACGAAGGCCTCAAAGAGGTCCAAATATCCACTTGCAGATTCTGCAAAAAGAGTGTTTCAAAACCGCTCCATTAAAAGGAATGTTGAACTCTGTGAGTTGAATGCAAACATCACAACTCAGTTGCTGAGAATGCTTCTGACTAGATTTTATGGTAAGATATTTCCTTTTCTACCGTAGGCTTCAATGCCCTCTAAATACACCCTTGCAAATTCTACAAAGAGACTGTTTCATAACTGCTCTATAGGAGGAAAGGTTCAACTCTGTGAGTTGAATGCAGAGATCACAACGTGGTTTCTGCGAATGATTCTTTGTAGTTTTTACATGAAGATATTTCGTTGTCTACCGTAGGCTTCAAAGCACTCAAAGTATTCACTTGGAACTTTTACAAAAAGAGTGTTAGAAAACTGCTCTTTCCAAAGTAAGGTTCAACTCTGTGAGTTGAATGCACACATAACAAACAAGAAGTTTCTGAGAATTCTTCTGTCCTGGTTTATATGAAAAAATCCCGTTTCCAACGAAGGCCTCAAAGACGTTTAAATATCCACTTGCAGACTTCACAAACAGAGTGTTTCCAAACTGCTCTATGAAAAGAAAGGTTAAACTCTGTGAGTTGAACGCACACATCACAAAGTAGTTTCTGAGAATGATTCCGTCTAGTTTTTATACGAAGATAGCCTTTTCTACCATTGGCCTCAAAGCTCTTGAAATCTCCACCTGAAAATTCGGCAAAAAGAGGGTTTCCAATCTGCTCTGTCTAAAGGAAGGTTCAACTCTCTGAGTTGAATACACACAACCCATAAGAAGTTACTTAGAATTCTTTTGTCAAGAATTATAAGAAGAAATCCCGTTTCCAACGAAGGGCCTCAAAGAGTTCCAAATATCCACTTGCACACTGCACAAACTAAGTCTTTCCAAACTGCTCTATGCAAAGAAATGTTCAACTCTGTGAGTTTAATACACACATCACAAAGCAGTTTCTGAGAATGATACTGTCTAGTTTTTATACGAAGATATTTCCTTTTGTACCATTGGCCTCATACTGCTAGAATTTTCCACTTGCAAATTCCACAAAAAGAGTGTTTCCAATCCGCTCTGTCTAAAGGAAGGTTCAACTCTCTGATTTGAATACATACATCCCAAAAGAAGTTACTGAGAATTCTTCTGTCTAGCATTATGTGAAGAAATCCCGTTTCCAACGAAAGCCTCAAAGAGGTCCAAATATCCAGTTGCAGAATTTACAAACTGACTGTTTCCAAACTCATCTATGAAAAGAAAGGTTAAACTCTGTGAGTTGAATGCACATATCACAAAGTAGTTCCTGACAATGATTCTGTCTAGTTTTTATACGAAGATATTTCCTTTTCCACCAATGGCCTCAAAGTGCTTGAAATCTCCCCTTGCAAATTCCACAGACAAGTGTTTCAAATCTGCACTGTCTAAAGGAAGGTTCAACCCTGTGAGTTGAATACACACACACAGAAAAAAATTCACTGAGAATTCTATTGTCTATCATTACACGAAGTAATCCCGTTTACTACGAAGGCCTCAAAGAGGTCCAAATATCCAGCTGCAGACATTACAAACTGAGTGTTTCCAAAGTGCTCTATGAAAAGAAGTGTTAAACACTGTGAGTTCAATGCACACATCCCAAAGCAGTTTCTGAGAATGATTCCGTCTATTTTTTCTACGAAGATATTTCCTTTTCTGCCGTTGGCCTCAAAGCGCTTGAAATCTCCACTTGCAAATTCCACAAAAAGAGAGTTTCAAATCTGCTCTGTCTAAAGGAAGGTTCAACTCTGTGAGTTGAATACACACCACAAAAAGAAGTTACTGAGAATTCTTCTGTCTAGCATTATATGAAAAATCCCGTTTCCAACGAAGGCCACAAAGAGGTCCAAATATCCACTTGCAGATTCTGCAAAAAGAGTGTTTCCAAACTGCTCTATGAAAAGAAACGTTAAACTCTGTGAGTTGAACGCAAACATCACAAAGTAGTTTCTGAGAATGACTCCGTCTAGTTTTTATACGAAGATATTTCCTTTCCTACCATTCACTTCAAAGCGCTTGAAGTCTCCCCCTGAAAATTCCACAAAAAGTGTTTCCAATCTGCTCCGCCTAAAGGAAGCTTCAACTCTGTGACTTGAATACCCACAACCCAAAGAAGTTACTGAGAATTCTTCTGTCTAGCATTATATGAAGAAATCCCGTTTCCAACGAAGGCCTCAAATACATCCAAATATCCAGTTGCTGACTTTACAAACTGAGTGTTTCCAAACTGCTCTATGAAAAGAAAGGTTAAACACTGTGAGTTGAACACACACGTACCAAAGTAGTTTCTGAGAATGATTCTGTCTAGTTTGCATACGAAGATATTTCCTTTTCTACCATTGGCCTCAAAGCTCTGAAATCTCCACTTGCAAATTCCACAAAAAGAGAGTTTCAAATCTGCTGTTTCTAAAGGAAAGTTCAACTCTGAGAGTTGAATACACACCAGAAAAAGCAGTTACTGAGAAGTCTTCTGTCTAGCATTATATGAAGAAATCCCATTTCCAACGAAGACTTCAAAGAGGTCCAAATATCCACTTGCAGATTCTGCAAAAAGAGTGTTTCGAAACAACTGTATGAAAAGAAAGGTTAAACACTGTGAGTTGAACGCACACATTGCAAAGCAGTTTCTGAGAATGATTCCGTCTAATTATTATACGAAGGTATTTCCTTTTCTATCATTGGCCTCAAAGCGCTTGATACCTCCACCTGAAAATTCCACAAAAAGAGTGTTTCCAATCTACTCTGTCTAAAGGAACGTTCAACTCTGTGAGTTGAATACACACACACAGAAAGAATTCACTGAGAATTCTTCTGTCTGGCATTACATGAAGAAATCCCGTTTCCAACGAAGGCCTCAAAGAGGTCCAAATATCCACTTGCAGATTCTGCAAAAAGAGTGTTTCAAAACCGCTCCATTAAAAGGAATGTTGAACTCTGTGAGTTGAATGCAAACATCACAACTCAGTTTCTGAGAATGCTTCTGACTAGATTTTATGGTAAGATATTTCCTTTTCTACCGTAGGCTTCAATGCCCTCTAAATACACCCTTGCAAATTCTACAAAGAGACTGTTTCATAACTGCTCTACAGGAAGAAAGGTTCAACTCTGTGAGTTGAATGCAGAGATCACAACGTGGTTTCTGCGAATGATTCTTTGTAGTTTTTACATGAAGATATTTCGTTGTCAACCGTAGGCTTCAAAGCACTCAAAGTATTCACTTGGAACTTTTACAAAAAGAGTGTTAGAAAACTGCTCTTTCCAAAGTAAGGTTCAACTCTGTGAGTTGAATGCACACATAACAATCAAGAAGTTTCTGAGAATTCTTCTGTCCTGGTTTATATGAAGAAATCCCGTTTCCAACGAAGGCCTCAAAGACGTTTAAATATCCACTTGCAGACTTCACAAACAGAGTGTTTCCAAACTGCTCTATGAAAAGAAAGGTTAAACTCTGTGAGTTGAACGCACACATCACAAAGTAGTTTCTGAGAATGATACTGTCTAGTTTTTATACGAAGATATTTCCTTTCTACCATTGGCGTCAAAGCGCTAGAATTCTCCACTTGCAAATTCCACAAAAAGAGTGTTTCCAATCTGCTCTGTCTAAAGGAAGGTTCAACTCTGTGAGTTGAATACACACACACAAAGAAGCTACTGAGAATTCTTTTGTCAAGAATTATAAGAAGAAATCCCGTTTCAAACGAAGGCCTCAAAGAGTTCCAAATATCCACTTGCACACTGCACAAACTAAGTCTTTCCAAACTGCTCTATGCAAAGAAATGTTCAACTCTGTGAGTTTAATACACACATCACAAAGCAGTTTCTGAGAATGATACTGTCTAGTTTTTATACGAAGATATTTCCTTTTGTACCATTGGCCTCATACTGCTAGAATTTTCCACTTGCAAATTCCACAAAAAGAGTGTTTCCAATCCGCGCTGTCTAAAGGAAGGTTCAACTCTCTGATTTGAATACATACATCCCAAAAGAAGTTACTGAGAATTCTTCTGTCTAGCATTATGTGAAGAAATCCCGTTTCCAACGAAAGCCTCAAAGAGGTCCAAATATCCAGTTGCAGAATTTACAAACTGACTGTTTCCAAACTCATCTATGAAAAGAAAGGTTAAACTCTGGGAGTTGAATGCACATATCACAAAGTAGTTCCTGAGAATGATTCTGTCTAGTTTTCATACGAAGATATTTCCTTTTCCACCAATGGCCTCAAAGTGCTTGAAATCTCCCCTTGCAAATTCCACAGACAAGTGTTTCAAATCTGCACTGTCTAAAGGAAGGTTCAACCCTGTGAGTTGAATACACACACACAGAAAAAAATTCACTGAGAATTCTATTGTCTATCATTACACGAAGAAATCCCGTTTACTACGAAGGCCTCAAAGAGGTCCAAATATCCAGCTGCAGACATTACAAACTGAGTGTTTCCAAAGGGCTCTATGAAAAGAAGTGTTAAACACTGTGAGTTCAATGCACACATCCCAAAGCAGTTTCTGAGAATGATTCCGTCTATTTTTTCTACGAAGATATTTCCTTTTCTGCCGTTGGCCTCAAAGCGCTTGAAATCTCCACTTGCAAATTCCACAAAAAGAGAGTTTCAAATCTGCTCTGTCTAAAGGAAGGTTCAACTCTGTGAGTTGAATACACACCACAAAAAGAAGTTACTGAGAATTCTTCTGTCTAGCATTATATGAAAAATCCCGTTTCCAACGAAGGCCACAAAGAGGTCCAAATATCCACTTGCAGATTCTGCAAAAAGAGTGTTTCCAAACTGCTCTATGAAAAGAAACGTTAAACTCTGTGAGTTGAACGCAAACATCACAAAGTAGTTTCTGAGAATGACTCCGTCTAGTTTTTATACGAAGATATTTCCTTTCCTACCATTCACTTCAAAGCGCTTGAAGTCTCCCCCTGAAAATTCCACAAAAAGTGTTTCCAATCTGCTCCGCCTAAAGGAAGCTTCAACTCTGTGAGTTGAATACCCACAACCCAAAGAAGTTACTGAGAATTCTTCTGTCTAGCATTATATGAAGAAATCCCGTTTCCAACGAAGGCCTCAAATACATCCAAATATCCAGTTGCTGACTTTACAAACTGAGTGTTTCCAAACTGCTCTATGAAAAGAAAGGTTAAACACTGTGAGTTGAACACACACGTACCAAAGTAGTTTCTGAGAATGATTCTGTCTAGTTTGCATACGAAGCATATTTCCTTTTCTACCATTGGCCTCAAAGCTCTGAAATCTCCACTTGCAAATTCCACAAAAAGAGAGTTTCAAATCTGCTGTTTCTAAAGGAAAGTTCAACTCTGAGAGTTGAATACACACCAGAAAAAGCAGTTACTGAGAAGTCTTCTGTCTAGCATTATATGAAGAAATCCCATTTCCAACGAAGACTTCAAAGAGGTCCAAATATCCACTTGCAGATTCTGCAAAAAGAGTGTTTCGAAACAACTGTATGAAAAGAAAGGTTAAACACTGTGAGTTGAACGCACACATTGCAAAGCGGTTTCTGAGAATGATTCCGTCTAATTATTATACGAAGGTATTTCCTTTTCTATCATTGGCCTCAAAGCGCTTGATACCTCCACCTGAAAATTCCACAAAAAGAGTGTTTCCAATCTACTCTGTCTAAAGGAACGTTCAACTCTGTGAGTTGAATACACACACACAGAAAGAATTCACTGAGAATTCTTCTGTCTGGCATTACATGAAGAAATCCCGTTTCCAACGAAGGCCTCAAAGAGGTCCAAATATCCACTTGCAGATTCTGCAAAAAGAGTGTTTCAAAACCGCTCCATTAAAAGGAATGTTGAACTCTGTGAGTTGAATGCAAACATCACAACTCAGTTGCTGAGAATGCTTCTGACTAGATTTTATGGTAAGATATTTCCTTTTCTACCGTAGGCTTCAATGCCCTCTAAATACACCCTTGCAAATTCTACAAAGAGACTGTTTCATAACTGCTCTATAGGAAGAAAGGTTGAACTCTGTGAGTTGAATGCAGAGATCACAACGTGGTTTCTGCGAATGATTCTTTGTAGTTTTTACATGAAGATATTTCGTTGTCAACCGTAGGCTTCAAAGCACTCAAAGTATTCACTTGGAACTTTTACAAAAAGAGTGTTAGAAAACTGCTCTTTCCAAAGTAAGGTTCAACTCTGTGAGTTGAATGCACACATAACAATCAAGAAGTTTCTGAGAATTCTTCTGTCCTGGTTTATATGAAAAAATCCCGTTTCCAACGAAGGCCTCAAAGACGTTTAAATATCCACTTGCAGACTTCACAAACAGAGGGTTTCCAAACTGCTC
Organism: Homo sapiens; assembly: GCF_000001405.40. Taxonomy (NCBI): domain Eukaryota; kingdom Metazoa; phylum Chordata; class Mammalia; order Primates; family Hominidae; genus Homo; species Homo sapiens. Next base: position 93,307,712 of record NC_000003.12, on the reverse strand, counting down.
TATGAAAAGAAAGGTTAAACTCTGTGAGTTTAATACACACATCACAAAGCAGTTTCTGAGAATGATACTGTCTAGTTTTTATACGAAGATATTTCCTTTTGTACCATTGGCGTCAAAGCGCTAGAATTCTCCACTTGCAAATTCCACAAAAAGAGTGTTTCCAATCTGCTCTGTCTAAAGGAAGGTTCAACTCTGTGAGTTGAATACACACACACAAAGAAGCTACTGAGAATTCTTTTTTCAAGAAATTATAAGAAGAAATCCCGTTTCCAACGAAGGCCTCAAAGAGTTCCAAATATCCACTTGCACACTGCACAAACTAAGTCTTTCCAAACTGCTCTATGCAAAGAAATGTTCAACTCTGTGAGTTTAATACACACATCACAAAGCAGTTTCTGAGAATGATACTGTCTAGTTTTTATACGAAGATATTTCCTTTTGTACCATTGGCCTCATACTGCTAGAATTTTCCACTTGCAAATTCCACAAAAAGAGTCTTTCCAATCCGCTCTGTCTAAAGGAAGGTTCAACTCTCTGATTTGAATACATACATCCCAAAAGAAGTTACTGAGAATTCTTCTGTCTAGCATTATGTGAAGAAATCCCGTTTCCAACGAAAGCCTCAAAGAGGTCCAAATATCCAGTTGCAGAATTTACAAACTGACTGTTTCCAAACTCATCTATGAAAAGAAAGGTTAAACTCTGGGAGTTGAATGCACATATCACAAAATAGTTCCTGAGAATGATTCTGTCTAGTTTTCATACGAAGATATTTCCTTTTCCACCAATGGCCTCAAAGTGCTTGAAATCTCCCCTTGCAAATTCCACAGACAAGTGTTTCAAATCTGCACTGTCTAAAGGAAGGTTCAACCCTGTGAGTTGAATACACACACACAGAAAAAAATTCACTGAGAATTCTATTGTCTATCATTACACGAAGAAATCCCGTTTACCACGAAGGCCTCAAAGAGGTCCAAATATCCAGCTGCAGACATTACAAACTGAGTGTTTCCAAAGTGCTCTATGAAAAGAAGTGTTAAACACTGTGAGTTCAATGCACACATCCCAAAGCAGTTTCTGAGAATGATTCCGTCTATTTTTTCTACGAAGATATTTCCTTTTCTGCCGTTGGCCTCAAAGCGCTTGAAATCTCCACTTGCAAATTCCACAAAAAGAGAGTTTCAAATCTGCTCTGTCTAAAGGAAGGTTCAACTCTGTGAGTTGAATACACACCACAAAAAGAAGTTACTGAGAATTACTTCTGTCTAGCATTATATGAAAAATCCCGTTTCCAACGAAGGCCACAAAGAGGTCCAAATATCCACTTGCAGATTCTGCAAAAAGAGTGTTTCCAAACTGCTCTATGAAAAGAAACGTTAAACTCTGTGAGTTGAACGCAAACATCACAAAGTAGTTTCTGAGAATGACTCCGTCTAGTTTTTATACGAAGATATTTCCTTTCCTACCATTCACTTCAAAGCGCTTGAAGTCTCCCCCTGAAAATTCCACAAAAAGTGTTTCCAATCTGCTCCGCCTAAAGGAAGCTTCAACTCTGTGAGTTGAATACCCACAACCCAAAGAAGTTACTGAGAATTCTTCTGTCTAGCATTATATGAAGAAATCCCGTTTCCAACGAAGGCCTCAAATACATCCAAATATCCAGTTGCTGACTTTACAAACTGAGTGTTTCCAAACTGCTCTATGAAAAGAAAGGTTAAACACTGTGAGTTGAACACACACGTACCAAAGTAGTTTCTGAGAATGATTCTGTCTAGTTTGCATATGAAGATATTTCCTTTTCTACCATTGGCCTCAAAGCTCTGAAATCTCCACTTGCAAATTCCACAAAAAGAGAGTTTCAAATCTGCTGTTTCTAAAGGAAAGTTCAACTCTGAGAGTTGAATACACACCAGAAAAAGCAGTTACTGAGAAGTCTTCTGTCTAGCATTATATGAAGAAATCCCATTTCCAACGAAGACTTCAAAGAGGTCCAAATATCCACTTGCAGATTCTGCAAAAAGAGTGTTTCGAAACAACTGTATGAAAAGAAAGGTTAAACACTGTGAGTTGAACGCACACATTGCAAAGCAGTTTCTGAGAATGATTCCGTCTAATTATTATACGAAGGTATTTCCTTTTCTATCATTGGCCTCAAAGCGCTTGATACCTCCACCTGAAAATTCCACAAAAAGAGTGTTTCCAATCTACTCTGTCTAAAGGAACGTTCAACTCGGTGAGTTGAATACACACACACAGAAAGAATTCACTGAGAATTCTTCTGTCTGGCATTACATGAAGAAATCCCGTTTCCAACGAAGGCCTCAAAGAGGTCCAAATATCCACTTGCAGATTCTGCAAAAAGAGTGTTTCAAAACCGCTCCATTAAAAGGAATGTTGAACTCTGTGAGTTGAATGCAAACATCACAACTCAGTTGCTGAGAATGCTTCTGACTAGATTTTATGGTAAGATATTTCCTTTTCTACCGTAGGCTTCAATGCCCTCTAAATACACCCTTGCAAATTCTACAAAGAGACTGTTTCATAACTGCTCTATAGGAAGAAAGGTTGAACTCTGTGAGTTGAATGCAGAGATCACAACTTGGTTTCTGCGAATGATTCTTTGTAGTTTTTACATGAAGATATTTCGTTGTCAACCGTAGGCTTCAAAGCACTCAAAGTATTCACTTGGAACTTTTACAAAAAGAGTGTTAGAAAACTGCTCTTTCCAAAGTAAGGTTCAACTCTGTGAGTTGAATGCACACATAACAATCAAGAAGTTTCTGAGAATTCTTCTGTCCTGGTTTATATGAAAAAATCCCGTTTCCAACGAAGGCCTCAAAGACGTTTAAATATCCACTTGCAGACTTCACAAACAGAGGGTTTCCAAACTGCTCTATGAAAAGAAAGGTTAAACTCTGTGAGTTGAACGCACACATCACAAAGTAGCTTCTGAGAATGATACTGTCTAGTTTTTATACGAAGATATTTCCTTTCTACCATTGGCGTCAAAGCGCTAGAATTCTCCACTTGCAAATTCCACAAAAAGAGTGTTTCCAATCTGCTCTGTCTAAAGGAAGGTTCAACTCTGTGAGTTGAATACACACACACAAAGAAGCTACTGAGAATTCTTTTTTCAAGAAATTATAAGAAGAAATCCCGTTTCCAACGAAGGCCTCAAAGAGTTCCAAATATCCACTTGCACACTGCACAAACTAAGTCTTTCCAAACTGCTCTATGCAAAGAAATGTTCAACTCTGTGAGTTTAATACACACATCACAAAGCAGTTTCTGAGAATGATACTGTCTAGTTTTTATACGAAGATATTTCCTTTTGTACCATTGGCCTCATACTGCTAGAATTTTCCACTTGCAAATTCCACAAAAAGAGGGTTTCCAATCCGCTCTGTCTAAAGGAAGGTTCAACTCTCTGATTTGAATACATACATCCCAAAAGAAGTTACTGAGAATTCTTCTGTCTAGCATTATGTGAAGAAATCCCGTTTCCAACGAAAGCCTCAAAGAGGTCCAAATATCCAGTTGCAGAATTTACAAACTGACTGTTTCCAAACTCATCTATGAAAAGAAAGGTTAAACTCTGGGAGTTGAATGCACATATCACAAAGTAGTTCCTGAGAATGATTCTGTATAGTTTTCATACGAAGATATTTCCTTTTCCACCAATGGCCTCAAAGTGCTTGAAATCTCCCCTTGCAAATTCCACAGACAAGTGTTTCAAATCTGCACTGTCTAAAGGATGGTTCAACCCTGTGAGTTGAATACACACACACAGAAAAAAATTCACTGAGAATTCTATTGTCTATCATTACACGAAGAAATCCCGTTTACAACGAAGGCCTCAAAGAGGTCCAAATATCCAGCTGCAGACATTACAAACTGAGTGTTTCCAAAGTGCTCTATGAAAAGAAGTGTTAAACACTGTGAGTTCAATGCACACATCCCAAAGCAGTTTCTGAGAATGATTCCGTCTATTTTTTCTACGAAGATATTTCCTTTTCTGCCGTTGGCCTCAAAGCGCTTGAAATCTCCACTTGCAAATTCCACAAAAAGAGAGTTTCAAATCTGCTCTGTCTAAAGGAAGGTTCAACTCTGTGAGTTGAATACACACCACAAAAAGAAGTTACTGAGAATTCTTCTGTCTAGCATTATATGAAAAATCCCGTTTCCAACGAAGGCCACAAAGAGGTCCAAATATCCACTTGCAGATTCTGCAAAAAGAGTGTTTCCAAACTGCTCTATGAAAAGAAACGTTAAACTCTGTGAGTTGAACGCAAACATCACAAAGTAGTTTCTGAGAATGACTCCGTCTAGTTTTTATACGAAGATATTTCCTTTCCTACCATTCACTTCAAAGCGCTTGAAGTCTCCCCCTGAAAATTCCACAAAAAGTGTTTCCAATCTGCTCCGCCTAAAGGAAGCTTCAACTCTGTGAGTTGAATACCCACAACCCAAAGAAGTTACTGAGAATTCTTCTGTCTAGCATTATATGAAGAAATCCCGTTTCCAACGAAGGCCTCAAATACATCCAAATATCCAGTTGCTGACTTTACAAACTGAGTGTTTCCAAACTGCTCTATGAAAAGAAAGGTTAAACACTGTGAGTTGAACACACACGTACCAAAGTAGTTTCTGAGAATGATTCTGTCTAGTTTGCATACGAAGATATTTCCTTTTCTACCATTGGCCTCAAAGCTCTGAAATCTCCACTTGCAAATTCCACAAAAAGAGAGTTTCAAATCTGCTGTTTCTAAAGGAAAGTTCAACTCTGAGAGTTGAATACACACCAGAAAAAGCAGTTACTGAGAAGTCTTCTGTCTAGCATTATATGAAGAAATCCCATTTCCAACGAAGACTTCAAAGAGGTCCAAATATCCACTTCCAGATTCCGCAAAAAGGGTGTTTCGAAACAACTGTATGAAAAGAAAGGTTAAACACTGTGAGTTGAAGGCACACATTGCAAAGCAGTTTCTGAGAATGATTCCGTCTAATTATTATACGAAGGTATTTCCTTTTCTATCATTGGCCTCAAAGCGCTTGATACCTCCACCTGAAAATTCCACAAAAAGAGTGTTTCCAATCTACTCTGTCTAAAGGAACGTTCAACTCTGTGAGTTGAATACACACACACAGAAAGAATTCACTGAGAATTCTTCTGTCTGGCATTACATGAAGAAATCCCGTTTCCAACGAAGGCCTCAAAGAGGTCCAAATATCCACTTGCAGATTCTGCAAAAAGAGTGTTTCAAAACCGCTCCATTAAAAGGAATGTTGAACTCTGTGAGTTGAATGCAAACATCACAACTCAGTTGCTGAGAATGCTTCTGACTAGATTTTATGGTAAGATATTTCCTTTTATACCGTAGGCTTCAATGCCCTCTAAATACACCCTTGCAAATTCTACAAAGAGACTGTTTCATAACTGCTCTATAGGAAGAAAGGTTGAACTCTGTGAGTTGAATGCAGAGATCACAACGTGGTTTCTGCGAATGATTCTTTGTAGTTTTTACAGGAAGATATTTCGTTGTCAACCGTAGGCTTCAAAGCACTCAAAGTATTCACTTGGAACTTTTACAAAAAGAGTGTTAGAAAACTGCTCTTTCCAAAGTAAGGTTCAACTCTGTGAGTTGAATGCACACATAACAATCAAGAAGTTTCTGAGAATTCTTCTGTCCTGGTTTATATGAAAAAATCCCGTTTCCAACGAAGGCCTCAAAGACGTTTAAATATCCACTTGCAGACTTCACAAACAGAGTGTTTCCAAACTGCTCTATGAAAAGAAAGGTTAAACTCTGTGAGTTGAACGCACACATCACAAAGTAGCTTCTGAGAATGATACTGTCTAGTTTTTATACGAAGATATTTCCTTTTGTACCATTGGCCTCATACTGCTAGAATTTTCCACTTGCAAATTCCACAAAAAGAGTGTTTCCAATCCGCTCTGTCTAAAGGAAGGTTCAACTCTCTGATTTGAATACATACATCCCAAAAGAAGTTACTGAGAATTCTTCTGTCTAGCATTATGTGAAGAAATCCCGTTTCCAACGAAAGCCTCAAAGAGGTCCAAATATCCAGTTGCAGAATTTACAAACTGACTGTTTCCAAACTCATCTATGAAAAGAAAGGTTAAACTCTGGGAGTTGAATGCACATATCACAAAGTAGTTCCTGAGAATGATTCTGTCTAGTTTTCATACGAAGATATTTCCTTTTCCACCAATGGCCTCAAAGTGCTTGAAATCTCCCCTTGCAAATTCCACAGACAAGTGTTTCAAATCTGCACTGTCTAAAGGAAGGTTCAACCCTGTGAGTTGAATACACACACACAGAAAAAAATTCACTGAGAATTCTATTGTCTATCATTACACGAAGAAATCCCGTTCACTACGAAGGCCTCAAAGAGGTCCAAATATCCAGCTGCAGACATTACAAACTGAGTGTTTCCAAAGTGCTCTATGAAAAGAAGTGTTAAACACTGTGAGTTCAATGCACACATCCCAAAGCAGTTTCTGAGAATGATTCCGTCTATTTTTTCTACGAAGATATTTCCTTTTCTGCCGTTGGCCTCAAAGCGCTTGAAATCTCCACTTGCAAATTCCACAAAAAGAGAGTTTCAAATCTGCTCTGTCTAAAGGAAGGTTCAACTCTGTGAGTTGAATACACACCACAAAAAGAAGTTACTGAGAATTCTTCTGTCTAGCATTATATGAAAAATCCCGTTTCCAACGAAGGCCACAAAGAGGTCCAAATATCCACTTGCAGATTCTGCAAAAAGAGTGTTTCCAAACTGCTCTATGAAAAGAAACGTTAAACTCTGTGAGTTGAACGCAAACATCACAAAGTAGTTTCTGAGAATGACTCCGTCTAGTTTTTATACGAAGATATTTCCTTTTCTACCATTCACTTCAAAGCGCTTGAAGTCTCCCCCTGAAAATTCCACAAAAAGTGTTTCCAATCTGCTCCGCCTAAAGGAAGCTTCAACTCTGTGACTTGAATACCCACAACCCAAAGAAGTTACTGAGAATTCTTCTGTCTAGCATTATATGAAGAAATCCCGTTTCCAACGAAGGCCTCAAATACATCCAAATATCCAGTTGCTGACTTTACAAACTGAGTGTTTCCAAACTGCTCTATGAAAAGAAAGGTTAAACACTGTGAGTTGAACACACACGTACCAAAGTAGTTTCTGAGAATGATTCTGTCTAGTTTGCATACGAAGATATTTCCTTTTCTACCATTGGCCTCAAAGCTCTGAAATCTCCACTTGCAAATTCCACAAAAAGAGAGTTTCAAATCTGCTGTTTCTAAAGGAAAGTTCAACTCTGAGAGTTGAATACACACCAGAAAAAGCAGTTACTGAGAAGTCTTCTGTCTAGCATTATATGAAGAAATCCCATTTCCAACGAAGACTTCAAAGAGGTCCAAATATCCACTTGCAGATTCTGCAAAAAGAGTGTTTCGAAACAACTGTATGAAAAGAAAGGTTAAACACTGTGAGTTGAACGCACACATTGCAAAGCGGTTTCTGAGAATGATTCCGTCTAATTATTATACGAAGGTATTTCCTTTTCTATCATTGGCCTCAAAGCGCTTGATACCTCCACCTGAAAATTCCACAAAAAGAGTGTTTCCAATCTACTCTGTCTAAAGGAACGTTCAACTCTGTGAGTTGAATACACACACACAGAAAGAATTCACTGAGAATTCTTCTGTCTGGCATTACATGAAGAAATCCCGTTTCCAACGAAGGCCTCAAAGAGGTCCAAATATCCACTTGCAGATTCTGCAAAAAGAGTGTTTCAAAACCGCTCCATGAAAAGGAATGTTGAACTCTGTGAGTTGAATGCAAACATCACAACTCAGTTGCTGAGAATGCTTCTGACTAGATTTTATGGTAAGATATTTCCTTTTCTACCGTAGGCTTCAATGCCCTCTAAATACACCCTTGCAAATTCTACAAAGAGACTGTTTCATAACTGCTCTATAGGAAGAAAGGTTGAACTCTGTGAGTTGAATGCAGAGATCACAACGTGGTTTCTGCGAATGATTCTTTGTAGTTTTTACATGAAGATATTTCGTTGTCAACCGTAGGCTTCAAAGCACTCAAAGTATTCACTTGGAACTTTTACAAAAAGAGTATTAGAAAACTGCTCTTTCCAAAGTAAGGTTCAACTCTGTGAGTTGAATGCACACATAACAATCAAGAAGTTTCTGAGAATTCTTCTGTCCTGGTTTATATGAAAAAATCCCGTTTCCAACGAAGGCCTCAAAGACGTTTAAATATCCACTTGCAGACTTCACAAACAGAGTGTTTCCAAACTGCTCTATGAAAAGAAAGGTTAAACTCTGTGAGTTGAACGCACACATCACAAAGTAGCTTCTGAGAATGATACTGTCTAGTTTTTATACGAAGATATTTCCTTTCTACCATTGGTGTCAAAGCGCTAGAATTCTCCACTTGCAAATTCCACAAAAAGAGTGTTTCCAATCTGCTCTGTCTAAAGGAAGGTTCAACTCTGTGAGTTGAATACACACACACAAAGAAGCTACTGAGAATTCTTTTGTCAAGAATTATAAGAAGAAATCCCGTTTCCAACGAAGGCCTCAAAGAGTTCCAAATATCCACTTGCACACTGCACAAACTAAGTCTTTCCAAACTGCTCTATGCAAAGAAATGTTCAACTCTGTGAGTTTAATACACACATCACAAAGCAGTTTCTGAGAATGATACTGTCTAGTTTTTATACGAAGATATTTCCTTTTGTACCATTGGCCTCATACTGCTAGAATTTTCCACTTGCAAATTCCACAAAAAGAGTGTTTCCAATCCGCTCTGTCTAAAGGAAGGTTCAACTCTCTGATTTGAATACATACATCCCAAAAGAAGTTACTGAGAATTCTTCTGTCTAGCATTATGTGAAGAAATCCCGTTTCCAACGAAAGCCTCAAAGAGGTCCAAATATCCAGTTGCAGAATTTACAAACTGACTGTTTCCAAACTCATCTATGAAAAGAAAGGTTAAACTCTGTGAGTTGAATGCACATATCACAAAGTAGTTCCTGAGAATGATTCTGTCTAGTTTTCATACGAAGATATTTCCTTTTCCACCAATGGCCAAAAAGTGCTTGAAATCTCCCCTTGCAAATTCCACAGACAAGTGTTTCAAATCTGCACTGTCTAAAGGAAGGTTCAACCCTGTGAGTTGAATACACACACACAGAAAAAAATTCACTGAGAATTCTATTGTCTATCATTACACGAAGAAATCCCGTTTACTACGAAGGCCTCAAAGAGGTCCAAATATCCAGCTGCAGACATTACAAACTGAGTGTTTCCAAAGTGCTCTATGAAAAGAAGTGTTAAACACTGTGAGTTCAATGCACACATCCCAAAGCAGTTTCTGAGAATGATTCCGTCTATTTTTTCTACCGTTGGCCTCAAAGCGCTTGAAATCTCCACTTGCAAATTCCACAAAAAGAGAGTTTCAAATCTGCTCTGTCTAAAGGAAGGTTCAACTCTGTGAGTTGAATACACACCACAAAAAGAAGTTACTGAGAATTCTTCTGTCTAGCATTATATGAAAAATCCCGTTTCCAACGAAGGCCACAAAGAGGTCCAAATATCCACTTGCAGATTCTGCAAAAAGAGTGTTTCCAAACTGCTCTATGAAAAGAAACGTTAAACTCTGTGAGTTGAACGCAAACATCACAAAGTAGTTTCTGAGAATGACTCCGTCTAGTTTTTATACGAAGATATTTCCTTTCCTACCATTCACTTCAAAGCGCTTGAAGTCTCCCCCTGAAAATTCCACAAAAAGTGTTTCCAATCTGCTCCGCCTAAAGGAAGCTTCAACTCTGTGACTTGAATACCCACAACCCAAAGAAGTTACTGAGAATTCTTCTGTCTAGCATTATATGAAGAAATCCCGTTTCCAACGAAGGCCTCAAATACATCCAAATATCCAGTTGCTGACTTTACAAACTGAGTGTTTCCAAACTGCTCTATGAAAAGAAAGGTTAAACACTGTGAGTTGAACACACACGTACCAAAGTAGTTTCTGAGAATGATTCTGTCTAGTTTGCATACGAAGATATTTCGTTTTCTACCATTGGCCTCAAAGCTCCGAAATCTCCACTTGCAAATTCCACAAAAAGAGAGTTTCAAATCTGCTGTTTCTAAAGGAAAGTTCAACTCTGAGAGTTGAATACACACCAGAAAAAGCAGTTACTGAGAAGTCTTCTGTCTAGCATTATATGAAGAAATCCCATTTCCAACGAAGACTTCAAAGAGGTCCAAATATCCACTTGCAGATTCTGCAAAAAGAGTGTTTCGAAACAACTGTATGAAAAGAAAGGTTAAACACTGTGAGTTGAACGCACACATTGCAAAGCGGTTTCTGAGAATGATTCCGTCTAATTATTATACGAAGGTATTTCCTTTTCTATCATTGGCCTCAAAGCGCTTGATACTTCCACCTGAAAATTCCACAAAAAGAGTGTTTCCAATCTACTCTGTCTAAAGGAACGTTCAACTCTGTGAGTTGAATACACACACACAGAAAGAATTCACTGAGAATTCTTCTGTCTGGCATTACATGAAGAAATCCCGTTTCCAACGAAGGCCTCAAAGAGGTCCAAATATCCACTTGCAGATTCTGCAAAAAGAGTGTTTCAAAACCGCTCCATTAAAAGGAATGTTGAACTCTGTGAGTTGAATGGAAACATCACAACTCAGTTGCTGAGAATGCTTCTGACTAGATTTTATGGTAAGATATTTCCTTTTCTACCGTAGGCTTCAATGCCCTCTAAATACACCCTTGCAAATTCTACAAAGAGACTGTTTCATAACTGCTCTATAGGAAGAAAGGTTGAACTCTGTGAGTTGAATGCAGAGATCACAACGTGGTTTCTGCGAATGATTCTTTGTAGTTTTTACATGAAGATATTTCGTTGTCAACCGTAGGCTTCAAAGCACTCAAAGTATTCACTTGGAACTTTTACAAAAAGAGTGTTAGAAAACTGCTCTTTCCAAAGTAAGGTTCAACTCTGTGAGTTGAATGCACACATAACAATCAAGAAGTTTCTGAGAATTCTTCTGTCCTGGTTTATATGAACAAATCCCGTTTCCAACGAAGGCCTCAAAGACGTTTAAATATCCACTTGCAGACTTCACAAACAGAGGGTTTCCAAACTGCTCTATGAAAAGAAAGGTTAAACTCTGTGAGTTGAACGCACACATCACAAAGTAGCTTCTGAGAATGATACTGTCTAGTTTTTATACGAAGATATTTCCTTTCTACCATTGGCGTCAAAGCGCTAGAATTCTCCACTTGCAAAATCCACAAAAAGAGTGTTTCCAATCTGCTCTGTCTAAAGGAAGGTTCAACTCTGTGAGTTGAATACACACACACAAAGAAGCTACTGAGAATTCTTTTGTCAAGAATTATAAGAAGAAATCCCGTTTCCAACGAAGGCCTCAAAGAGTTCCAAATATCCACTTGCACACTGCACAAACTAAGTCTTTCCAAACTGCTCTATGCAAAGAAATGTTCAACTCTGTGAGTTTAATACACACATCACAAAGCAGTTTCTGAGAATGATACTGTCTAGTTTTTATACGAAGATATTTCCTTTTGTACCATTGGCCTCATACTGCTAGAATTTTCCACTTGCAAATTCCACAAAAAGAGTGTTTCCAATCCGCTCTGACTAAAGGAAGGTTCAACTCTCTGATTTGAATACATACATCCCAAAAGAAGTTACTGAGAATTCTTCTGTCTAGCATTATGTGAAGAAATCCCGTTTCCAACGAAAGCCTCAAAGAGGTCCAAATATCCAGTTGCAGAATTTACAAACTGACTGTTTCCAAACTCATCTATGAAAAGAAAGGTTAAACTCTGTGAGTTGAATGCACATATCACAAAGTAGTTCCTGAGAATGATTCTGTCTAGTTTTTATACGAAGATATTTCCTTTTTCACCAATGGCCTCAAAGTGCTTGAAATCTCCCCTTGCAAATTCCACAGACAAGTGTTTCAAATCTGCACTGTCTAAAGGAAGGTTCAACCCTGTGAGTTGAATACACACACACAGAAAAAAATTCACTGAGAATTCTATTGTCTATCATTACACGAAGAAATCCCGTTTACTACGAAGGCCTCAAAGAGGTCCAAATATCCAGCTGCAGACATTACAAACTGAGTGTTTCCAAAGTGCTCTATGAAAAGAAGTGTTAAACACTGTGAGTTCAATGCACACATCCCAAAGCAGTTTCTGAGAATGATTCCGTCTATTTTTTCTACGAAGTATATTTCCTTTTCTGCCGTTGGCCTCAAAGCGCTTGAAATCTCCACTTGCAAATTCCACAAAAAGAGAGGTTCAAATCTGCTCTGTCTAAAGGAAGGTTCAACTCTGTGAGTTGAATACACACCACAAAAAGAAGTTACTGAGAATTCTTCTGTCTGGCATTACATGAAGAAATCCCGTTTTCAACGAAGGCCTCAAAGAGGTCCAAATATCCACTTGCAGATTCTGCAAAAAGAGTGTTTCAAAACCGCTCCATGAAAAGGAATGTTGAACTCTGTGAGTTGAATGCAAACATCACAACTCAGTTTCTGAGAATGCTTCTGACTAGATTTTATGGTAAGATATTTCCTTTTCTACCGTAGGCTTCAATGCCCTCTAAATACACCCTTGCAAATTCTACAAAGAGACTGTTTCATAACTGCTCTATAGGAAGAAAGGTTGAACTCTGTGAGTTGACTGCAGAGATCACAACGTGGTTTCTGCGAATGATTCTTTGTAGTTTTTACATGAAGATATTTCGTTGTCTACCGTAGGCTTCAAAGCACTCAAAGTATTCACTTGGAACTTTTACAAAAAGAGTGTTAGAAAACTGCTCTTTCCAAAGTAAGGTTCAACTCTGTGAGTTGAATGCACACATAACAAACAAGAAGTTTCTGAGAATCCTTCTGTCCTGGTTTATATGAAAAAATCCCGTTTCCAACGAAGGCCTCAAAGACGTTTAAATATCCACTTGCAGACTTCACAAACAGAGGGTTTCCAAACTGCTCTATGAAAAGAAAGGTTAAACTCTGTGAGTTGAACGCACACATCACAAAGTAGTTTTTGAGAATGATACTGTCTAGTTTTTATACGAAGATATTTCCTTTCTACCATTGGCGTCAAAGCGCTAGAATTCTCCACTTGCAAATTCCACAAAAAGAGTGTTTTCAATCTGCTCTGTCTAAAGGAAGGTTCAACTCTGTGAGTTGAATACACACACACAAAGAAACTACTGAGAATTCTTTTGTCAAGAATTATAAGAAGAAATCCCGTTTCCAACGAAGGCCTCAAAGAGTTCCAAATATCCACTTGCACACTGCACAAACTAAGTCTTTCCAAACTGCTCTATGCAAAGAAATGTTCAACTCTGTGAGTTTAATACACACATCACAAAGCAGTTTCTGAGAATGATACTGTCTAGTTTTTATACGAAGATATTTCCTTTTGTACCATTGGCCTCATACTGCTAGAATTTTCCACTTGCAAATTCCACAAAAAGAGTGTTTCCAATCCGCTCTGTCTAAAGGAAGGTTCAACTCTCTGATTTGAATACATACATCCCAAAAGAAGTTCCTCAGAATTCTTCTGTCTAGCATTATGTGAAGAAATCCCGTTTCCAACGAAAGCCTCAAAGAGGTCCAAATATCCAGTTGCAGAATTTACAAACTGACTGTTTCCAAACTCATCTATGAAAAGAAAGGTTAAACTCTGGGAGTTGAATGCACATATCACAAAGTAGTTCCTGAGAATGATTCTGTCTAGTTTTCATACGAAGATATTTCCTTTTCCACCAATGGCCTCAAAGTGCTTGAAATCTCCCCTTGCAAATTCCACAGACAAGTGTTTCAAATCTGCACTGTCTAAAGGAAGGTTCAACCCTGTGAGTTCAATACACACACACAGAAAAAAATTCACTGAGAATTCTATTGTCTATCATTACACGAAGAAATCCCGTTTACTACGAAGGCCTCAAAGAGGTCCAAATATCCAGCTGCAGACATTACAACCTGAGTGTTTCCAAAGTGCTCTATGAAAAGAAGTGTTAAACACTGTGAGTTCAATGCACACATCCCAAAGCAGTTTCTGAGAATGATTCCGTCTATTTTTTCTACGAAGATATTTCCTTTTCTACCGTTGGCCTCAAAGCGCTTGAAATCTCCACTTGCAAATTCCACAAAAAGAGAGTTTCAAATCTGCTCTGTCTAAAGGAAGGTTCAACTCTGTGAGTTGAATACACACCACAAAAAGAAGTTACTGAGAATTCTTCTGTCTAGCATTATACGAAAAATCCCATTTCCAACGAAGGCCACAAAGAGGTCCAAATATCCACTTGCAGATTCTGCAAAAAGAGTGTTTCCAAACTGCTCTATGAAAAGAAACGTTAAACTCTGTGAGTTGAACGCAAACATCACAAAGTAGTTTCTGAGAATGACTCCGTCTAGTTTTTATACGAAGATATTTCCTTTCCTACCATTCACTTCAAAGCGCTTGAAGTCTCCCCCTGAAAATTCCACAAAAAGTGTTTCCAATCTGCTCCGCCTAAAGGAAGCTTCAACTCTGTGACTTGAATACCCACAACCCAAAGAAGTTACTGAGAATTCTTCTGTCTAGCATTATATGAAGAAATCCCGTTTCCAACGAAGGCCTCAAATACATCCAAATATCCAGTTGCTGACTTTACAAACTGAGTGTTTCCAAACTGCTCTATGAAAAGAAAGGTTAAACACTGTGAGTTGAACACACACGTACCAAAGTAGTTTCTGAGAATGATTCTGTCTAGTTTGCATACGAAGATATTTCCTTTTCTACCATTGGCCTCAAAGCTCTGAAATCTCCACTTGCAAATTCCACAAAAAGAGAGTTTCAAATCTGCTGTTTCTAAAGGAAAGTTCAACTCTGAGAGTTGAATACACACCAGAAAAAGCAGTTACTGAGAAGTCTTCTGTCTAGCATTATATGAAGAAATCCCATTTCCAACGAAGACTTCAAAGAGGTCCAAATATCCACTTGCAGATTCTGCAAAAAGAGTGTTTCGAAACAAAACTGTATGAAAAGAAAGGTTAAACACTGTGAGTTGAACGCACACATTGCAAAGCAGTTTCTGAGAATGATTCCGTCTAATTATTATACGAAGGTATTTCCTTTTCTATCATTGGCCTCAAAGCGCTTGATACCTCCACCTGAAAATTCCACAAAAAGAGTGTTTCCAATCTACTCTGTCTAAAGGAACGTTCAACTCTGTGAGTTGAATACACACACACAGAAAGAATTCACTGAGAATTCTTCTGTCTGGCATTACATGAAGAAATCCCGTTTTCAACGAAGGCCTCAAAGAGGTCCAAATATCCACTTGCAGATTCTGCAAAAAGAGTGTTTCAAAACCGCTCCATGAAAAGGAATGTTGAACTCTGTGAGTTGAATGCAAACATCACAACTCAGTTTCTGAGAATGCTTCTGACTAGATTTTATGGTCAGATATTTCCTTTTCTACCGTAGGCTTCAATGCCCTCTAAATACACCCTTGCAAATTCTACAAAGAGACTGTTGAATAACTGCTCTATAGGAAGAAAGGTTGAACTCTGTGAGTTGAATGCAGAGATCAGAACGTGGTTTCGGCGAATGATTCTTTGTAGTTTTTACATGAAGATATTTCGTTGTCAACCGTAGGCTTCAAAGCACTCAAAGTATTCACTTGGAACTTTTACAAAAAGAGTGTTAGAAAACTGCTCTTTCCAAAGTAAGGTTCAACTCTGTGAGTTGAATGCACACATAACAATCAAGAAGTTTCTGAGAATTCTTCTGTCCTGGTTTATATGAAAAAATCCCGTTTCCAACGAAGGCCTCAAAGACGTTTAAATATCCACTTGCAGACTTCACAAACAGAGTGTTTCCAAACTGCTCTATGAAAAGAAAGGATAAACTCTGTGAGTTGAACGCACACATCACAAAGTAGTTTCTGAGAATGATACTGTCTAGTTTTTATACGGAGATATTTCCTTTCCTTCCATTGGCGTCAAAGCGCTAGAATTCTCCACTTGCAAATTCCACAAAAAGAGTGTTTCCAATCTGCTCTGTCTAAAGGAAGGTTCAACTCTGTGAGTTGAATACACACACACAAAGAAGCTACTGAGAATTCTTTTGTCAAGAATTATAAGAAGAAATCCCGTTTCCAACGAAGGCCTCAAAGAGTTCCAAATATCCACTTGCACACTGCACAAACTAAGTCTTTCCAAACTGCTCTATGCAAAGAAATGTTCAACTCTGTGAGTTTAATGCACACATCACAAAGCAGTTTCTGAGAATGATACTGTCTAGTTTTTATACGAAGATATTTCCTTTTGTACCATTGGCCTCATACTGCTAGAATTTTCCACTTGCAAATTCCACAAAAAGAGTGTTTCCAATCCGCTCTGTCTAAAGGAAGGTTCAACTCTCTGATTTGAATACATACATCCCAAAAGAAGTTCCTGAGAATTCTTCTGTCTAGCATTATGTTAAGAAATCCCGTTTCCAACGAAAGCCTCAAAGAGGTCCAAATATCCAGTTGCAGAATTTACAAACTGACTCTTTCCAAACTCATCTATGAAAAGAAAGGTTAAACTCTGTGAGTTGAATGCACATATCACAAAGTAGTTCCTGAGAATGATTCTGTCTAGTTTTTATACGAAGATATTTCCTTTTCCACCAATGGCCTCAAAGTGCTTGAAATCTCCCCTTGCAAATTCCACAGACAAGTGTTTCAAATCTGCACTGTCTAAAGGAAGGTTCAACCCTGTGAGTTGAATACACACACACACAGAAACAAATTCACTGAGAATTCTATTGTCTATCATTACACGAAGAAATCCCGTTTACTACGAAGGCCTCAAAGAGGTCCAAATATACAGCTGCAGACATTACAAACTGAGTGTTTCCAAAGTGCTCTATGAAAAGAAGTGTTAAACACTGTGAGTTCAATGCACACATCCCAAAGCAGTTTCTGAGAATGATTCCGTCTATTTTTTCTACGAAGATATTTCCTTTTCTGCCGTTGGCCTCAAAGCGCTTGAAATCTCCACTTGCAAATTCCACAAAAAGAGAGTTTCAAATCTGCTCTGTCTAAAGGAAGGTTCAACTCTGTGAGTTGAATACACACCACAAAAAGAAGTTACTGAGAATTCTTCTGTCTAGCATTATATGAAAAATCCCTTTTCCAACGAAGGCCACAAAGAGGTCCAAATATCCACTTGCAGATTCTGCAAAAAGAGTGTTTCCAAACTGCTCTATGAAAAGAAACGTTAAACTCTGTGAGTTGAACGCAAACATCACAAAGTAGTTTCTGAGAATGACTCCGTCTAGTTTTTATACGAAGATATTTCCTTTCCTACCATTCACTTCAAAGCGCTTGAAGTCTCCCCCTGAAAATTCCACAAAAAGTGTTTCCAATCTGCTCCGCCTAAAGGAAGCTTCAACTCTGTGACTTGAATACCCACAACCCAAAGAAGTTACTGAGAATTCTTCTGTCTAGCATTATATGAAGAAATCCCGTTTCCAACGAAGGCCTCAAATACATCCAAATATCCAGTGGCTGACTTTACAAACTGAGTGTTTCCAAACTGCTCTATGAAAGGAAAGGTTAAACACTGTGAGTTGAACACACACGTACCAAAGTAGTTTCTGAGAATGATTCTGTCTAGTTGGCATACGAAGATATTTCCTTTTCTACCATTGGCCTCAATGCTTTGAAATCTCCACTTGCAAATTCCACAAAAAGAGAGTTTCATATCTGCTGTTTCTAAAGGAAAGTTCAACTCTGAGAGTTGAATACACACCAGAAAAACCAGTTACTGAGAAGTCTTCTGTCTAGCATTATATGAAGAAATCCCATTTCCAACGAAGACTTCAAAGAGGTCCAAATATCCACTTCCAGATTCCGCAAAAAGGGTGTTTCGAAACAACTGTATGAAAAGAAAGGTTAAACACTGTGAGTTGAAGGCACACATTGCAAAGCAGTTTCTGAGAATGATTCCATCTAATTATTATACGAAGGTATTTCCTTTTCTATCATGGGCCTCAAAGCGCTTGATACCTCCACGTGAACATTCCACAAAAAGAGTGTTTCCAATCTACTCTGTCTAAGGGAACGTTCAACTCTGTGAGTTGAGTACACACACACAGAAAGAATTCACTGAGAGTTCTTCTGTCTGGCATTACATGAAGAAATCCCGTTTCCAACGAAGGCCTCAAAGAGGTCCAAATATCCACTTGCAGATTCTGCAAAAAGAGTGTTTCAAAACCGCTCCATTAAAAGGAATGTTGAACTCTGTGAGTTGAATGCAAACATCACAACTCAGTTTCTGAGAATGCTTCTGACTAGATTTTATGGTAAGATATTTCCTTTTCTACCGTAGGCTTCAATGCCCTCTAAATACACCCTTGCAAATTCTACAAAGAGACTGTTTCATAACTGCTCTATAGGAAGAAAGGTTGAACGCTGTGAGTTGAATGCAGAGATCACAACGTGGTTTCTGCGAATGATTCTTTGTAGTTTTTACATGAAGATATTTCGTTGTCAACCGTAGGCTTCAAAGCACTCAAAGTATTCACTTGGAACTTTTACAAAAAGAGTATTAGAAAACTGCTCTTTCCAAAGTAAGGTTCAACTCTGTGAGTTGAATGCACACATAACAATCAAGACGTTTCTGAGAATTCTTCTGTCCTGGTTTATATGAACAAATCCCGTTTCCAACGAAGGCCTCAAAGACGTTTAAATATCCACTTGCAGACTTCACAAACAGAGTGTTTCCAAACTGCTCTATGAAAAGAAAGGTTAAGCTCTGTGAGTTGAACGCACACATCACAAAGTAGTTTCTGAGAATGATACTGTCTAGTTTTTATACGAAGATATTTCCTTTCTACCATTGGCGTCAAAGCGCTAGAATTCTCCACTTGCAAATTCCACAAAAAGAGTGTTTCCAATCTGCTCTGTCTAAAGGAAGGTTCAACTCTGTGAGTTGAATACACACACACAAAGAAGCTACTGAGAATTCTTTTGTCAAGAATTATAAGAAGAAATCCCGTTTCCAACGAAGGCCTCAAAGAGTTCCAAATATCCACTTGCACACTGTACAAACTAAGTCTTTCCAAACTGCTCTATGCAAAGAAATGTTCAACTACTGTGAGTTTAATGCACACATCACAAAGCAGTTTCTGAGAATGATACTGTCTAGTTTTTATACGAAGATATTTCCTTTTGTACCATTGGCCTCATACTGCTAGAATTTTCCACTTGCAAATTCCACAAAAAGAGTGTTTCCAATCCGCTCTGTCTAAAGGAAGGTTCAACTCTCTGATTTGAATACATACATCCCAAAAGAAGTTACTGAGAATTCTTCTGTCTAGCATTATGTGAAGAAATCCCGTTTCCAACGAAAGCCTCAAAGAGGTCCAAATATCCAGTTGCAGAATTTACAAACTGACTGTTTCCAAACTCATCTATGAAAAGAAAGGTTAAACTCTGGGAGTTGAATGCCCATATCACAAAGTAGTTCCTGAGAATGATTCTGTATAGTTTTCATACGAAGATATTTCCTTTTCCACCAATGGCCTCAAAGTGCTTGAAATCTCCCCTTGCAAATTCCACAGACAAGTGTTTCAAATCTGCACTGTCTAAAGGATGGTTCAACCCTGTGAGTTGAATACACACACACAGAAAAAAATTCACTGAGAATTCTATTGTCTATCATTACACGAAGAAATCCCGTTTACTACGAAGGCCTCAAAGAGGTCCAAATATCCAGCTGCAGACATTATAAACTGAGTGTTTCCAAAGTGCTCTATGAAAAGAAGTGTTAAACACTGTGAGTTCAATGCACACATCCCAAAGCAGTTTCTGAGAATGATTCCGTCTATTTTTTCTACGAAGATATTTCCTTTTCTGCCGTTGGCCTCAAAGCGCTTGAAATCTCCACTTGCAAATTCCACAAAAAGAGAGTTTCAAATCTGCTCTGTCTAAAGGAAGGTTCAACTCTGTGAGTTGAATACACACCACAAAAAGAAGTTACTGAGAATTCTTCTGTCTAGCATTATATGAAAAATCCCGTTTCCAACGAAGGCCACAAAGAGGTCCAAATATCCACTTGCAGATTCTGCAAAAAGAGTGTTTCCAAACTGCTCTATGAAAAGAAGCGTTAAACTCTGTGAGTTGAATGCAAACATCACAAAGTAGTTTCTGAGAATGACTCCGTCTAGTTTTTATACGAAGATATTTCCTTTCCTACCATTCACTTCAAAGCGCTTGAAGTCTCCCCCTGAAAATTCCACAAAAAGTGTTTCCAATCTGCTCCGCCTAAAGGAAGCTTCAACTCTGTGACTTGAATACCCACAACCCAAAGAAGTTACTGAGAATTCTTCTGTCTAGCATTATATGAAGAAATCCCGTTTCCAACGAAGGCCTCAAATACATCCAAATATCCAGTTGCTGACTTTACAAACTGAGTGTTTCCAAACTGCTCTATGAAAAGAAAGGTTAAACACTGTGAGTTGAACACACACGTACCAAAGTAGTTTCTGAGAATGATTCTGTCTAGTTTGCATACGAAGATATTTCCTTTTCTACCATTGGCCTCAAAGCTCTGAAATCTCCACTTGCAAATTCCACAAAAAGAGAGTTTCAAATCTGCTGTTTCTAAAGGAAAGTTCAACTCTGAGAGTTGAATACACACCAGAAAAAGCAGTTACTGAGAAGTCTTCTGTCTAGCATTATATGAAGAAATCCCATTTCCAACGAAGACTTCAAAGAGGTCCAAATATCCACTTGCAGATTCTGCAAAAAGAGTGTTTCGAAACAACTGTATGAAAAGAAAGGTTAAACACTGTGAGTTGAACGCACACATTGCAAAGCGGTTTCTGAGAATGATTCCGTCTAATTATTATACGAAGGTATTTCCTTTTCTATCATTGGCCTCAAAGCGCTTGATACTTCCACCTGAAAATTCCACAAAAAGAGTGTTTCCAATCTACTCTGTCTAAAGGAACGTTCAACTCTGTGAGTTGAATACACACACACAGAAAGAATTCACTGAGAATTCTTCTGTCTGGCATTACATGAAGAAATCCCGTTTCCAACGAAGGCCTCAAAGAGGTCCAAATATCCACTTGCAGATTCTGCAAAAAGAGTGTTTCAAAACCGCTCCATTAAAAGGAATGTTGAACTCTGTGAGTTGAATGCAAACATCACAACTCAGTTTCTGAGAATGCTTCTGACTAGATTTTATGGTAAGATATTTCCTTTTCTACCGTAGGCTTCAATGCCCTCTAAATACACCCTTGCAAATTCTACAAAGAGACTGTTTCATAACTGCTCTATAGGAAGAAAGGTTGAACTCTGTGAGTTGAATGCAGAGATCACAACGTGGTTTCTGCGAATGATTCTTTGTAGTTTTTACATGAAGGATATTTCGTTGTCAACCGTAGGCTTCAAAGCACTCAAAGTATTCACTTGGAACTTTTACAAAAAGAGTGTTAGAAAACTGCTCTTTCCAAAGTAAGGTTCAACTCTGTGAGTTGAATGCACACATAACAATCAAGAAGTTTCTGAGAATTCTTCTGTCCTGGTTTATATGAAAAAATCCCGTTTCCAACGAAGGCCTCAAAGACGTTTAAATATCCACTTGCAGACTTCACAAACAGAGGGTTTCCAAACTGCTCTATGAAAAGAAAGGTTAAACTCTGTGAGTTGAACGCACACATCACAAAGTAGCTTCTGAGAATGATACTGTCTAGTTTTTATACGAAGATATTTCCTTTCTACCATTGGCGTCAAAGCGCTAGAATTCTCCACTTGCAAATTCCACAAAAAGAGTGTTTCCAATCTGCTCTGTCTAAAGGAAGGTTCAACTCTGTGAGTTGAATACACACACACAAAGAAGCTACTGAGAATTCTTTTTTCAAGAAATTATAAGAAGAAATCCCGTTTCCAACGAAGGCCTCAAAGAGTTCCAAATATCCACTTGCACACTGCACAAACTAAGTCTTTCCAAACTGCTCTATGCAAAGAAATGTTCAACTCTGTGAGTTTAATACACACATCACAAAGCAGTTTCTGAGAATGATACTGTCTAGTTTTTATACGAACATATTTCCTTTTGTACCATTGGCCTCATACTGCTAGAATTTTCCACTTGCAAATTCCACAAAAAGAGTGTTTCCAATCCGCTCTGTCTAAAGGAAGGTTCAACTCTCTGATTTGAATACATACATCCCAAAAGAAGTTACTGAGAATTCTTCTGTCTAGCATTATGTGAAGAAATCCCGTTTCCAACGGAAGCCTCAAAGAGGTCCAAATATCCAGTTGCAGAATTTACAAACTGACTGTTTCCAAACTCATCTATGAAAAGAAAGGTTAAACTCTGTGAGTTGAATGCACATATCACAAAGTAGTTCCTGAGAATGATTCTGTCTAGTTTTTATACGAAGATATTTCCTTTTCCACCAATGGCCTCAAAGTGCTTGAAATCTCCCCTTGCAAATTCCACAGACAAGTGTTTCAAATCTGCACTGTCTAAAGGAAGGTTCAACCCTGTGAGTTGAATACACACACACAGAAACAAATTCACTGAGAATTCTATTGTCTATCATTACACGAAGAAATCCCGTTTACCACGAAGGCCTCAAAGAGGTCCAAATATCCAGCTGCAGACATTACAAACTGAGTGTTTCCAAAGTGCTCTATGAAAAGAAGTGTTAAACACTGTGAGTTCAATGCACACATCCCAAAGCAGTTTCTGAGAATGATTCCGTCTATTTTTTCTACGAAGATATTTCCTTTTCTACCGTTGGCCTCAAAGCGCTTGAAATCTCCACTTGCTAATTCCACGAAAAGAGAGTTTCAAATCTGCTCTGTCTAAAGGAAGGTTCAACTCTGTGAGTTGAATACACACCACAAAAAGAAGTTACTGAGAATTCTTCTGTCTAGCATTATATGAAAAATCCCGTTTCCAACGAAGGCCACAAAGAGGTCCAAATATCCACTTGCAGATTCTGCAAAAAGAGTGTTTCCAAACTGCTCTATGAAAAGAAACGTTAAACTCTGTGAGTTGAACGCAAACATCACAAAGTAGTTTCTGAGAATGACTCCGTCTAGTTTTTATACGAAGATATTTCCTTTTCTACCGTTGGCCTCAAAGCGCTTGAAGTCTCCCCCTGAAAATTCCACAAAAAGTGTTTCCAATCTGCTCCGCCTAAAGGAAGCTTCAGCTCTGTTAGTTGAATACCCACAACACAAAGAAGTTACTGAGAATTCTTCTGTCTAGCATTATATGAAGAAATCCCGTTTCCAACGAAGGCCTCAAATACATCCAAATATCCAGTTGCTGACTTTACAAACTGAGTGTTTCCAAACTGCTCTATGAAAAGAAAGGTTAAACACTGTGAGTTGAACACACACGTACCAAAGTAGTTTCTGAGAATGATTCTGTCTAGTTTGCATACGAAGATATTTCCTTTTCTACCAGTGGCCTCAAAGCTCTGAAATCTCCACTTGCAAATTCCACAAAAAGAGAGTTTCAAATCTGCTGTTTCTAAAGGAAAGTTCAACTCTGAGAGTTGAATACACACCAGAAAAAGCAGTTACTGAGAAGTCTTCTGTCTAGCATTATATGAAGAAATCCCATTTCCAACGAAGACTTCAAAGAGGTCCAAATATCCACTTGCAGATTCTGCAAAAAGAGTGTTTCGAAACAACTGTATGAAAAGAAAGGTTAAACACTGTGAGTTGAACGCACACATTGCAAAGCGGTTTCTGAGAATGATTCCGTCTAATTATTATACGAAGGTATTTCCTTTTCTATCATTGGCCTCAAAGCGCTTGATACCTCCACCTGAAAATTCCACAAAAAGAGTGTTTCCAATCTACTCTGTCTAAAGGAACGTTCAACTCTGTGAGTTGAATACACACACACAGAAAGAATTCACTGAGAATTCTTCTGTCTGGCATTACATGAAGAAATCCCGTTTCCAACAAAGGCCTCAAAGAGGTCCAAATATCCACTTGCAGATTCTGCAAAAAGAGTGTTTCAAAACCGCTCCATTAAAAGGAATGTTGAACTCTGTGAGTTGAATGCAAACATCACAACTCAGTTTATGAGAATGCTTCTGACTAGATTTTATGGTAAGATATTTCCTTTTCTACCGTAGGCTTCAATGCCCTGTAAATACACCCTTGCAAATTCTACAAAGAGACTGTTTCATAACTGCTCTATTGGAGGAAAGGTTCAACTCTGTGAGTTGAATGCAGAGATCACAACGTGGTTTCTGCGAATGATTCTTTGTAGTTTTTACATGAAGATATTTCGTTGTCTACCGTAGGCTTCAAAGCACTCAAAGTATTCACTTGGAACTTTTACAAAAAGAGTGTTAGAAAACTGCTCTTTCCAAAGTAAGGTTCAACTCTGTGAGTTGAATGCACACATAACAAACAAGAAGTTTCTGAGAATTCTTCTGTCCTGGTTTATATGAAAAAATCCCGTTTCCAACGAAGGCCTCAAAGACGTTTAAATATCCACTTGCAGACTTCACAAACAGAGGGTTTCCAAACTGCTCTATGAAAAGAAAGGTTAAACTCTGTGAGTTTAATACACACATCACAAAGCAGTTTCTGAGAATGATACTGTCTAGTTTTTATACGAAGATATTTCCTTTCTACCATTGGCGTCAAAGCGCTAGAATTCTCCACTTGCAAATTCCACAAAAAGAGTGTTTCCAATCTGCTCTGTCTCAAGGAAGGTTCAACTCTGTGAGTTGAATACACACACACAAAGAAGCTACTGAGAATTCTTTTGTCAAGAATTATAAGAAGAAATCCCGTTTCCAAAGAAGGCCTCAAAGAGTTCCAAATATCCACTTGCACACTGCACAAACTAAGTCTTTCCAAACTGCTCTATGCAAAGAAATGTTCAACTCTGTGAGTTTAATACACACATCACAAAGCAGTTTCTGAGAATGATACTGTCTAGTTTTTATACGAAGATATTTCCTTTTGTACCATTGGCCTCATACTGCTAGAATTTTCCACTTGCAAATTCCACAAAAAGAGTGTTTCCAATCCGCTCTGTCTAAAGGAAGGTTCAACTCTCTGATTTGAATACATACATCCCAAAAGAAGTTACTGAGAATTCTTCTGTCTAGCATTATGTGAAGAAATCCCGTTTCCAACGAAAGCCTCAAAGAGGTCCAAATATCCAGTTGCAGAATTTACAAACTGACTGTTTCCAAACTCATCTATGAAAAGAAAGGTTAAACTCTGGGAGTTGAATGCACATATCACAAAGTAGTTCCTGAGAATGATTCTGTCTAGTTTTTATACGAAGATATTTCCTTTTCCACCAATGGCCTCAAAGTGCTTGAAATCTCCCCTTGCAAATTCCACAGACAAGTGTTTCAAATCTGCACTGTCTAAAGGAAGGTTCAACCCTGTGAGTTGAATACACACACACAGAAACAAATTCACTGAGAATTCTACTGTCTATCATTACACGAAGAAATCCCGTTTACTACGAAGGCCTCAAGGAGGTCCAAATATCCAGCTGCAGACATTACAAACTGAGTGTTTCCAAAGTGCTCTATGAAAAGAAGTGTTAAACACTGTGAGTTCAATGCACACATCCCAAAGCAGTTTCTGAGAATGATTCCGTCTATTTTTTCTACGAAGATATTTCCTTTTCTACCGTTGGCCTCAAAGCACTTGAATTCTCCACTTGCAAATACCACAAAAAGAGAGTTTCAAATCTGCTGTTTCTAAAGGAAGGTTCAACTCTGAGAGTTGAATACACACCAGAAAAAGCAGTTACTGAGAAGTCTTCTGTCTAGCATTATATGAAGAAATCCCATTTCCAACGAAGACTTCAAAGAGGTCCAAATATCCACTTGAAGATTCTGCAAAAAGAGTGTTTCGAAACAACTGTATGAAAAGAAAGGTTAAACACTGTGAGTTGAACGCACACATTGCAAAGCAGTTTCTGAGAATGATTCCGTCTAATTATTATACAAAGGTATTTCCTTTTCTATCATTGGCCTCAAAGCGCTTGATACCTCCACCTGAAAATTCCACAAAAAGAGTGTTTCCAATCTACTCTGTCTAAAGGAACGTTCAACTCGGTGAGTTGAATACACACACACAGAAAGAATTCACTGAGAATTCTTCTGTCTAGCATTATATGAAGAAATCCCGTTTCCAACGAAGGCCTCAAATACATCCAAATATCCAGTTGCTGACTTTACAAACTGAGTGTTTCCAAACTGCTCTATGAAAAGAAAGGTTAAACACTGTGAGTTGAACACACACGTACCAAAGTAGTTTCTGAGAATGATTCTGTCTAGTTTGCATACGAAGATATTTCCTTTTCTACCATTGGCCTCAAAGCTCTGAAATCTCCACTTGCAAATTCCACAAAAAGAGAGTTTCAAATCTGCTGTTTCTAAAGGAAAGTTCAACTCTGAGAGTTGAATACACACCAGAAAAAGCAGTTACTGAGAAGTCTTCTGTCTAGCATTATATGAAGAAATCCCATTTCCAACGAAGACTTCAAAGAGGTCCAAATATCCACTTGCAGATTCTGCAAAAAGAGTGTTTCGAAACAACTGTATGAAAAGAAAGGTTAAACACTGTGAGTTGAACGCACACATTGCAAAGCGGTTTCTGAGAATGATTCCGTCTAATTATTATACGAAGGTATTTCCTTTTCTATCATTGGCCTCAAAGCGCTTGATACCTCCACCTGAAAATTCCACAAAAAGAGTGTTTCCAATCTACTCTGTCTAAAGGAACGTTCAACTCTGTGAGTTGAATACACACACACAGAAAGAATTCACTGAGAATTCTTCTGTCTGGCATTACATGAAGAAATCCCGTTTCCAACGAAGGCCTCAAAGAGGTCCAAATATCCACTTGCAGATTCTGCAAAAAGAGTGTTTCAAAACCGCTCCATTTAAAGGAATGTTGAACTCTGTGAGTTGAATGCAAACATCACAACTCAGTTTCTGAGAATGCTTCTGACTAGATTTTATGGTAAGATATTTCCTTTTCTACCGTAGGCTTCAATGCCCTGTAAATACACCCTTGCAAATTCAACAAAGAGACTGTTTCATAACTGCTCTATAGGAGGAAAGGTTCAACTCTGTGAGTTGAATGCAGAGATCACAACGTGGTTTCTGCGAATGATTCTTTGTAGTTTTTACATGAAGATATTTCGTTGTCTACCGTAAGGCTTCAAAGCACTCAAAGTATTCACTTGGAACTTTTACAAAAAGAGTGTTAGAAAACTGCTCTTTCCAAAGTAAGGTTCAACTCTGTGAGTTGAATGCACACATAACAAACAAGAAGTTTCTGAGAATTCTTCTGTCCTGGTTTATATGAAGAAATCCCGTTTCCAACGAAGGCCTCAAAGACGTTTAAATATCCACTTGCAGACTTCACAAACAGAGTGTTTCCAAACTGCTCTATGAAAAGAAAGGGTAAACACTGTGAGTTGAACGCACACCTCACAAAGTAGTTTCTGAGAATGATAACTGTCTAGTTTTTATACGAAGATATTTCCTTTTGTACCATTGGCCTCATACTGCTAGAATTTTCCACTTGCAAATTCCACAAAAAGAGTGTTTCCAATCCGCTCTGTCTAAAGGAAGGTTCAACTCTCTGATTTGAATACATACATCCCAAAAGAAGTTACTGAGAATTCTTCTGTCTAGCATTATGTGAAGAAATCCCGTTTCCAACGAATGCCTCAAAGAGGTCCAAATATCCAGTTGCAGAATTTACAAACTGACTGTTTCCAAACTCATCTATGAAAAGAAAGGTTAAACTCTGGGAGTTGAATGCACATATCACAAAGTAGTTCCTGAGAATGATTCTGTCTAGTTTTTATACGAAGATATTTCCTTTTCCACCAATGGCCTCAAAGTGCTTGAAATCTCCCCTTGCAAATTCCACAGACAAGTGTTTCAAATCTGCACTGTCTAAAGGAAGGTTCAACCCTGTGAGTTGAATACACACACACAGAAAAAAATTCACTGAGAATTCTATTGTCTATCATTACACGAAGAAATCCCGTTTACTACGAAGGCCTCAAAGAGGTCCAAGTATCCAGCTGCAGACATTACAAACTGAGTGTTTCCAAAGTGCTCTATGAAAAGAAGTGTTAAACACTGTGAGTTCAATGCACACATCCCAAAGCAGTTTCTGAGAATGATTCCGTCTATTTTTTCTACGAAGATATTTCCTTTTCTGCCGTTGGCCTCAAAGCGCTTGAAATCTCCACTTGCAAATTCCACAAAAAGAGAGTTTCAAATCTGCTCTGTCTAAAGGAAGGTTCAACTCTGTGAGTTGAATACACACCACAAAAAGAAGTTACTGAGAATTCTTCTGTCTAGCATTATATGAAAAATCCCGTTTCCAACGAAGGCCACAAAGAGGTCCAAATATCCACTTGCAGATTCTGCAAAAAGAGTGTTTCCAAACTGCTCTATGAAAAGAAACGTTAAACTCTGTGAGTTGAACGCAAACATCACAAAGTAGTTTCTGAGAATGACTCCGTCTAGTTTTTATACGAAGATATTTCCTTTTCTACCATTCACTTCAAAGCGCTTGAAGTCTCCCCCTGAAAATTCCACAAAAAGTGTTTCCAATCTGCTCCGCCTAAAGGAAGCTTCAACTCTGTGAGTTGAATACCCACAACCCAAAGAAGTTACTGAGAATTCTTCTGTCTAGCATTATATGAAGAAATCCCGTTTCCAACGAAGGCCTCAAATACATCCAAATATCCAGTTGCTGACTTTACAAACTGAGTGTTTCCAAACTGCTCTATGAAAAGAAAGGTTAAACACTGTGAGTTGAACACACACGTACCAAAGTAGTTTCTGAGAATGATTCTGTCTAGTTTGCATACGAAGATATTTCCTTTTCTACCATTGGCCTCAAAGCTGTGAAATCTCCACTTGCAAATTCCACAAAAAGAGAGTTTCAAATCTGCTGTTTCTAAAGGAAAGTTCAACTCTGAGAGTTGAATACACACCAGAAAAAGTAGTTACTGAGAAGTCTTCTGTCTAGCATTATATGAAGAAATCCCATTTCCAACGAAGACTTCAAAGAGGTCCAAATATCCACTTGCAGATTCTGCAAAAAGAGTGTTTCGAAACAACTGTATGAAAAGAAAGGTTAAACACTGTGAGTTGAACGCACACATTGCAAAGCAGTTTCTGAGAATGATTCCGTCTAATTATTATACGAAGGTATTTCCTTTTCTATCATTGGCCTCAAAGCGCTTGATACCTCCACCTGAAAATTCCACAAAAAGAGTGTTTCCAATCTACTCTGTCTAAAGGAACGTTCAACTCTGTGAGTTGAATACACACACACAGAAAGAATTCACTGAGAATTCTTCTGTCTGGCATTACATGAAGAAATCCCGTTTCCAACGAAGGCCTCAAAGAGGTCCAAATATCCACTTACAGATTCTGCAAAAAGAGTGTTTGAAAACCGCTCCATTAAAAGGAATGTTGAACTCTGTGAGTTGAATGCAAACATCACAACTCAGTTTCTGAGAATGCTTCTGACTAGATTTTATGGTAAGATATTTCCTTTTCTACCGTAGGCTTCAATGCCCTGTAAATACACCCTTGCAAATTCTACAAAGAGACTGCTTCATAACTGCTCTATAGGAGGAAAGGTTCAACTCTGTGAGTTGAATGCAGAGATCAAAACGTGGTTTCTGCGAATGATTCTTTGTAGTTTTTACATGAAGATATTTCGTTGTCTACCGTAGGCTTCAAAGCACTCAAAGTATTCACTTGGAACTTTCACAAAAAGAGTGTTAGAAAACTGCTCTTTCCAAAGTAAGGTTCAACTCTGTGAGTTGAATGCACACATAACAAACAAGAAGTTTCTGAGAATTCTTCTGTCCTGGTTTATATGAAGAAATCCCGTTTCCAACGAAGGCCTCAAAGACGTTTAAATATCCACTTGCAGACTTCACAAACAGAGTGTTTCCAAACTGCTCTATGAAAAGAAAGGGTAAACACTGTGAGTTGAACGCACACCTCACAAAGTAGTTTCTGAGAATGATACTGTCTAGTTTTTATACGAAGATATTTCCTTTTGTACCATTGGCCTCATACTGCTAGAATTTTCCACTTGCAAATTCCACAAAAAGAGTGTTTCCAATCTGCTCTGTCTAAAGGAAGGTTCAACTCTGTGAGTTGAGTACACACACACAAAGAAGCTACTGAGAATTCTTTTGTCAAGAATTATAAGAAGAAATCCCGTTTCCAACCAAGGCCTCAAAGAGTTCCAAATATCCACTTGCACACTGCACAAACTAAGTCTTTCCATACTGCTCTATGCAAAGAAATGTTCAACTCTGTGAGTTTAATACACACATCACAAAGCAGTTTCTGAGAATGATACTGTCTAGTTTTTATACGAAGATATTTCCTTTTGTACCATTGGCCTCATACTGCTAGAATTTTCCACTTGCAAATTCCACAAAAAGAGTGTTTCCAATCCGCTCTGTCTAAAGGAAGGTTCAACTCTCTGATTTGAATACATACATCCCAAAAGAAGTTACTGAGAATTCTTCTGTCTAGCATTATGTGAAGAAATCCCGTTTCCAACGAAAGCCTCAAAGAGGTCCAAATATCCAGTTGCAGAATTTACAAACTGACTGTTTCCAAACTCATCTATGAAAAGAAAGGTTAAACTCTGTGAGTTGAATGCCCATATCACAAAGTAGTTCCTGAGAATGATTCTGTCTAGTTTTCATACGAAGATATTTCCTTTTCCACCAATGGCCTCAAAGTGCTTGAAATCTCCCCTTGCAAATTCCACAGACAAGTGTTTCAAATCTGCACTGTCTAAAGGAAGGTTCAACCCTGTGAGTTGAATACACACACACAGAAAAAAATTCACTGAGAATTCTATTGTCTATCATTACACGAAGTAAATCCCGTTTACTACGAAGGCCTCAAAGAGGTCCAAATATCCAGCTGCAGACATTACAAACTGAGTGTTTCCAAAGTGCTCTATGAAAAGAAGTGTTAAACACTGTGAGTTCAATGCACACATCCCAAAGCAGTTTCTGAGAATGATTCCGTCTATTTTTTCTACGAAGATATTTCCTTTTCTGCCGTTGGCCTCAAAGCGCTTGAAATCTCCACTTGCAAATTCCACAAAAAGAGAGTTTCAAATCTGCTCTGTCTAAAGGAAGGTTCAACTCTGTGAGTTGAATACACACCACAAAAAGAAGTTACTGAGAATTCTTCTGTCTAGCATTATATGAAAAATCCCGTTTCCAACGAAGGCCACAAAGAGGTCCAAATATCCACTTGCAGATTCTGCAAAAAGAGTGTTTCCAAACTGCTCTATGAAAAGAAACGTTAAACTCTGTGAGTTGAACGCAAACATCACAAAGTAGTTTCTGAGAATGACTCCGTCTAGTTTTTATACGACGATATTTCCTTTCCTACCATTCACTTCAAAGCGCTTGAAGTCTCCCCCTGAAAATTCCACAAAAAGTGTTTCCAATCTGCTCCGCCTAAAGGAAGCTTCAACTCTGTGACTTGAATACCCACAACCCAAAGAAGTTACTGAGAATTCTTCTGTCTAGCATTATATGAAGAAATCCCGTTTCCAACGAAGGCCTCAAATACATCCAAATATCCAGTTGCTGACTTTACAAACTGAGTGTTTCCAAACTGCTCTATGAAAAGAAAGGTTAAACACTGTGAGTTGAACACACACGTACCAAAGTAGTTTCTGAGAATGATTCTGTCTAGTTTGCATACGAAGATATTTCCTTTTCTACCATTGGCCTCAAAGCTCTGAAATCTCCACTTGCAAATTCCACAAAAAGAGAGTTTCAAATCAGCTGTTTCTAAAGGAAAGTTCAACTCTGAGAGTTGAATACACACCAGAAAAAGCAGTTACTGAGAAGTCTTCTGTCTAGCATTATATGAAGAAATCCCATTTCCAACGAAGTACTTCAAAGAGGTCCAAATATCCACTTGCAGATTCTGCAAAAAGAGTGTTTCGAAACAACTGTATGAAAAGAAAGGTTAAACACTGTGAGTTGAACGCACACATTGCAAAGCGGTTTCTGAGAATGATTCCGTCTAATTATTATACGAAGGTATTTCCTTTTCTATCATTGGCCTCAAAGCGCTTGATACCTCCACCTGAAAATTCCACAAAAAGAGTGTTTCCAATCTACTCTGTCTAAAGGAACGTTCAACTCTGTGAGTTGAATACACACACACAGAAAGAATTCACTGAGAATTCTTCTGTCTGGCATTACATGAAGAAATCCCGTTTCCAACGAAGGCCTCAAAGAGGTCCAAATATCCACTTGCAGATTCTGCAAAAAGAGTGTTTCAAAACCGCTCCATTAAAAGGAATGTTGAACTCTGTGAGTTGAATGCAAACATCACAACTCAGTTTCTGAGAATGCTTCTGACTAGATTTTATGGTAAGATATTTCCTTTTCTACCGTAGGCTTCAATGCCCTCTAAATACACCCTTGCAAATTCTACAAAGAGACTGTTTCATAACTGCTCTATAGGAAGAAAGGTTCAACTCTGTGAGTTGAATGCAGAGATCACAACGTGGTTTCTGCGAATGATTCTTTGTAGTTTTTACATGAAGATATTTCGTTGTCAACCGTAGGCTTCAAAGCACTCAAAGTATTCACTTGGAACTTTTACAAAAAGAGTGTTAGAAAACTGCTCTTTCCAAAGTAAGGTTCAACTCTGTGAGTTGAATGCACACATAACAATCAAGAAGTTTCTGAGAATTCTTCTGTCCTGGTTTATATGAAAAAATCCCGTTTCCAACGAAGGCCTCAAAGACGTTTAAATATCCACTTGCAGACTTCACAAACAGAGGGTTTCCAAACCGCTCTATGAAAAGAAAGGTTAAACTCTGTGAGTTGAACGCACACATCACAAAGTAGCTTCTGAGAATGATACTGTCTAGTTTTTATACGAAGATATTTCCTTTCTACCATTGGCGTCAAAGCGCTAGAATTCTCCACTTGCAAATTCCACAAAAAGAGTGTTTCCAATCTGCTCTGTCTAAAGGAAGGTTCAACTCTGTGAGTTGAATACACACACACAAAGAAGCTACTGAGAATTCTTTTGTCAAGAATTATAAGAAGAAATCCCGTTTCCAACGAAGGCCTCAAAGAGTTCCAAATATCCACTTGCACACTGCACAAACTAAGTCTTTCCAAACTGCTCTATGCAAAGAAATGTTCAACTCTGTGAGTTTAATACACACATCACAAAGCAGTTTCTGAGAATGATACTGTCTAGTTTTTATACGAAGATATTTCCTTTTGTACCATTGGCCTCATACTGCTAGAATTTTCCACTTGCAAATTCCACAAAAAGAGTGTTTCCAATCCGCTCTGTCTAAAGGAAGGTTCAACTCTCTGATTTGAATACATACATCCCAAAAGAAGTTACTGAGAATTCTTCTGTCTAGCATTATGTGAAGAAATCCCGTTTCCAACGAAAGCCTCAAAGAGGTCCAAATATCCAGTTGCAGAATTTACAAACTGACTGTTTCCAAACTCATCTATGAAAAGAAAGGTTAAACTCTGTGAGTTGAATGCACATATCACAAAGTAGTTCCTGAGAATGATTCTGTCTAGTTTTTATACGAAGATATTTCCTTTTCCACCAATGGCCTCAAAGTGCTTGAAATCTCCCCTTGCAAATTCCACAGAAAAGTGTTTCAAATCTGCACTGTCTGAAGGAAGGTTCAACCCTGTGAGTTGAATACACACACACAGAAAAAAATTCACTGAGAATTCTATTGTCTATCATTACACGAAGAAATCCCGTTTACTACGAAGGCCTCAAAGAGGTCCAAATATCCAGCTGCAGACATTACAAACTGAGTGTTTCCAAAGTGCTCTATGAAAAGAAGTGTTAAACACTGTGAGTTCAATGCACACATCCCAAAGCAGTTTCTGAGAATGATTCCGTCTATTTTTTCTACGAAGATATTTACTTTTCTACCGTTGGCCTCAAAGCGCTTGAAATCTCCACTTGCAAATTCCACAAAAAGAGAGTTTCAAATCTGCTCTGTCTAAAGGAAGGTTCAACTCTGTGAGTTGAATACACACCACAAAAAGAAGTTACTGAGAATTCTTCTGTCTAGCATTATATGAAAAATCCCGTTTCCAACGAAGGCCACAAAGAGGTCCAAATATCCACTTGCAGATTCTGCAAAAAGAGTGTTTCCAAACTGCTCTATGAAAAGAAACGTTAAACTCTGTGAGTTGAACGCAAACATCACAAAGTAGTTTCTGAGAATGACTCCGTCTAGTTTTTATACGAAGATATTTCCTTTCCTACCATTCACTTCAAAGCGCTTGAAGTCTCCCCCTGAAAATTCCACAAAAAGTGTTTCCAATCTGCTCCGCTAAAGGAAGCTTCAACTCTGTGAGTTGAATACCCACAACCCAAAGAAGTTACTGAGAATTCTTCTGTCTAGCACTATATGAAGAAATCCCGTTTCCAACGAAGGCCTCAAATACATCCAAATATCCAGTTGCTGACTTTACAAACTGAGTGTTTCCAAACTGCTCTATGAAAAGAAAGGTTAAACACTGTGAGTTGAACACACACGTACCAAAGTAGTTTCTGAGAATGATTCTGTCTAGTTTGCATACGAAGATATTTCCTTTTCTACCATTGGCCTCAAAGCTCTGAAATCTCCACTTGCAAATTCCACAAAAAGAGAGTTTCAAATCTGCTGTTTCTAAAGGAAAGTTCAACTCTGAGAGTTGAATACACACCAGAAAAAGCAGTTACTGAGAAGTCTTCTGTCTAGCATTATATGAAGAAATCCCATTTCCAACGAAGACTTCAAAGAGGTCCAAATATCCACTTGCAGATTCTGCAAAAAGAGTGTTTCGAAACAACTGTATGAAAAGAAAGGTTAAACACTGTGAGTTGAACGCACACATTGCAAAGCGGTTTCTGAGAATGATTCCGTCTAATTATTATACGAAGGTATTTCCTTTTCTATCATTGGCCTCAAAGCGCTTGATGCCTCCACCTGAAAATTCCACAAAAAGAGTGTTTCCAATCTACTCTGTCTAAAGGAACGTTCAACTCCGTGAGTTGAATACACACACACAGAAAGAATTCACTGAGAATTCTTCTGTCTGGCATTACATGAAGAAATCCCGTTTCCAACGAAGGCCTCAAAGAGGTCCAAATATCCACTTGCAGATTCTGCAAAAAGAGTGTTTCAAAACCGCTCCATTAAAAGGAATGTTGAACTCTGTGAGTTGAATGCAAACATCACAACTCAGTTTCTGAGAATGCTTCTGACTAGATTTTATGGTAAGATATTTCCTTTTCTACCGTAGGCTTCAATGCCCTCTAAATACACCCTTGCAAATTCTACAAAGAGACTGTTTCATAACTGCTCTATAGGAAGAAAGGTTCAACTCTGTGAGTTGAATGCAGAGATCACAACGTGGTTTCTGCGAATGATTCTTTGTAGTTTTTACATGAAGATATTTCGTTGTCAACCGTAGGCTTCAAAGCACTCAAAGTATTCACTTGGAACTTTTACAAAAAGAGTGTTAGAAAACTGCTCTTTCCAAAGTAAGGTTCAACTCTGTGAGTTGAATGCACACATAACAATCAAGAAGTTTCTGAGAATTCTTCTGTCCTGGTTTATATGAAAAAATCCCGTTTCCAACGAAGGCCTCAAAGACGTTTAAATATCCACTTGCAGACTTCACAAACAGAGGGTTTCCAAACCGCTCTATGAAAAGAAAGGTTAAACTCTGTGAGTTGAACGCACACATCACAAAGTAGCTTCTGAGAATGATACTGTCCAGTTTTTATACGAAGATATTTCCTTTCCTACCATTGGCGTCAAAGCGCTAGAATTCTCCACTTGCACATTCCACAAAAAGAGGGTTTCCACTCTGCTCTGCCTAAAGGCAGGTTCAACTCTGTGAGTTGAATACACACACACAAAGAAGCTACTGAGAATTCTTTTTTCAAGAAATTATAAGAAGAAATCCCGTTTCCAACGAAGGCCTCAAAGAGTTCCAAATATCCACTTGCACACTGCACAAACTAAGTCTTTCCAAACTGCTCTATGCAAAGAAATGTTCAACTCTGTGAGTTTAATCCACACATCACAAAGCAGTTTCTGAGAACTGATACTGTCTAGTTTTTATACGAAGATATTTCCTTTTGTACCATTGGCCTCATACTGCTAGAATTTTCCACTTGCAAATTCCACAAAAAGAGTGTTTCCAATCCGCTCTGTCTAAAGGAAAGTTCAACTCTCTGATTTGAATACATACATCCCAAAAGAAGTTACTGAGAATTCTTCTGTCTAGCATTATGTGAAGAAATCCCGTTTCCAACGAAAGCCTCAAAGAGGTCCAAATATCCAGTTGCAGAATTTACAAACTGACTGTTTCCAAACTCATCTATGAAAAGAAAGGTTAAACTCTGTGAGTTGAATGCCCATATCACAAAGTAGTTCCTGAGAATGATTCTGTCTAGTTTTCATACGAAGATATTTCCTTTTCCACCAATGGCCTCAAAGTGCTTGAAATCTCCCCTTGCAAATTCCACAGACAAGTGTTTCAAATCTGCACTGTCTAAAGGATGGTTCAACCCTGTGAGTTGAATACACACACACAGAAAAAAATTCACTGAGAATTCTATTGTCTATCATTACACGAAGAAATCCCGTTTACTACGAAGGCCTCAAAGAGGTCCAAATATCCAGCTGCAGACATTATAAACTGAGTGTTTCCAAAGTGCTCTATGAAAAGAAGTGTTAAACACTGTGAGTTCAATGCACACATCCCAAAGCAGTTTCTGAGAATGATTCCGTCTATTTTTTCTACGAAGATATTTCCTTTTCTACCGTTGGCCTCAAAGCGCTTGAAATCTCCACTTGCAAATTCCACAAAAAGAGAGTTTCAAATCTGCTCTGTCTAAAGGAAGGTTCAACTCTGTGAGTTGAATACACACCACAAAAAGAAGTTACTGAGAATTCTTCTGTCTAGCATTATATGAAAAATCCCGTTTCCAACGAAGGCCACAAAGAGGTCCAAATATCCACTTGCAGATTCTGCAAAAAGAGTGTTTCCAAACTGCTCTATGAAAAGAAACGTTAAACTCTGTGAGTTGAACGCAAACATCACAAAGTAGTTTCTGAGAATGACTCCGTCTAGTTTTTATACGAAGATATTTCCTTTTCTACCATTCACTTCAAAGCGCTTGAAGTCTCCCCCTGAAAATTCCACAAAAAGTGTTTCCAATCTGCTCCGCCTAAAGGAAGCTTCAACTCTGTGAGTTGAATACCCACAACCCAAAGAAGTTACTGAGAATTCTTCTGTCTAGCATTATATGAAGAAATCCCGTTTCCAACGAAGGCCTCAAATACATCCAAATATCCAGTTGCTGACTTTACAAACTGAGTGTTTCCAAACTGCTCTATGAAAAGAAAGGTTAAACACTGTGAGTTGAACACACACGTACCAAAGTAGTTTCTGAGAATGATTCTGTCTAGTTTGCATACGAAGATATTTCCTTTTCTACCATTGGCCTCAAAGCTCTGAAATCTCCACTTGCAAATTCCACAAAAAGAGAGTTTCAAATCTGCTGTTTCTAAAGGAAAGTTCAACTCTGAGAGTTGAATACACACCAGAAAAAGCAGTTACTGAGAAGTCTTCTGTCTAGCATTATATGAAGAAATCCCATTTCCAACGAAGACTTCAAAGAGGTCCAAATATCCACTTGCAGATTCTGCAAAAAGAGTGTTTCGAAACAACTGTATGAAAAGAAAGGTTAAACACTGTGAGTTGAACGCACACATTGCAAAGCAGTTTCTGAGAATGATTCCGTCTAATTATTATACGAAGGTATTTCCATTTCTATCATTGGTCTCAAAGCGCTTGATACCTCCACCTGAAAATTCCACAAAAAGAGTGTTTCCAATCTACTCTGTCTAAAGGAACGTTCAACTCTGTGAGTTGAATACACACACAGAAAGAATTCACTGAGAATTCTTCTGTCTGGCATTACATGAAGAAATCTCGTTTCCAACGAAGGCCTCAAAGAGGTCCAAATATCCACTTGCAGATTCTGCAAAAAGAGTGTTTCAAAACCGCTCCATTAAAAGGAATGTTGAACTCTGTGAGTTGAATGCAAACATCACAACTCAGTTGCTGAGAATGCTTCTGACTAGATTTTATGGTCAGATATTTCCTTTTCTACCGTAGGCTTCAATGCCCTCTAAATACACCCTTGCAAATTCTACAAAGAGACTGTTTAATAACTGCTCTATAGGAAGAAAGGTTGAACTCTGTGAGTTGAATGCAGAGATCACAACGTGGTTTCTGCGAATGATTCTTTGTAGTTTTTACATGAAGATATTTCGTTGTCTACCGTAGGCTTCAAAGCACTCAAAGTATTCACTTGGAACTTTTACAAAAAGAGTGTTAGAAAACTGCTCTTTCCAAAGTAAGGTTCAACTCTGTGAGTTGAATGCACACATAACAAACAAGAAGTTTCTGAGAATTCTTCTGTCCTGGTTTATAGGAAAAAATCCCGTTTCCAACGAAGGCCTCAAAGACGTTTAAATATCCACTTGCAGACTTCACAAACAGAGTGTTTCCAAACTGCTCTATGAAAAGAAAGGTTAAACTCTGTGAGTTGAACGCACACATCACAAAGTAGTTTCTGAGAATGATACTGTCCAGTTTTTATACGAAGATATTTCCTTTCCTACCATTGGCGTCAAAGCGCTAGAATTCTCCGCTTGCAAATTCCACAAAAAGAGGGTTTCCAATCTGCTCTGCCTAAAGGCAGGTTCAACTCTGTGAGTTGAATACACACACACAAAGAAGCTACTGAGAATTCTTTTGTCAAGAATTATAAGAAGAAATCCCGTTTCCAACGAAGGCCTCAAAGAGTTCCAAATATCCACTTGCACACTGTACAAACTAAGTCTTTCCAAACTGCTCTATGCAAAGAAATGTTCAACTCTGTGAGTTTAATGCACACATCACAAAGCAGTTTCTGAGAATGATTCCCTCTAGTTTTTATACGAAGATAGCCTTTTCTACCATTGGCCTCAAGGCTCTTGGAATCTCCACCTGAAAATTCCGCAAAAAGCGTGTTTCCAATCCGCTCTGTCTAAAGGAAGGTTCAACTCTCTGAGTTGAATACATACATCCCAAAACAAGTTACTGAGAATTCTTCTGTCTAGCATTATGTGAAGAAATCCCGTTTCCAACGAAAGCCTCAAAGAGGTCCAAATATCCAGTTGCAGAATTTACAAACTGACTGTTTCCAAACTCATCTATGAAAAGAAAGGTTAAACTCTGTGAGTTGAATGCACATATCACAAAGTAGTTCCTGACAATGACTCTGTCTAGTTTTTATACGAAGATATTTCCTTTTCCACCAATGGCCTCAAAGTGCTTGAAATCTCCCCTTGCAAATTCCACAGAAAAGTGTTTCAAATCTGCACTGTCTGAAGGAAGGTTCAACCCTGTGAGTTGAATACACACACACAGAAAGAAATTCACTGAGAATTACATTGTCTATCATTACACGAAGAAATCCCGTTTACTACGAAGGCCTCAAAGAGGTCCAAATATCCAGCTGCAGACATTACAAACTGAGTGTTTCCAAAGTGCTCTATGAAAAGAAGTGTTAAACACTGTGAGTTCAATGCACACATCCCAAAGCAGTTTCTGAGAATGATTCCGTCTATTTTTTCTACGAAGATATTTCCTTTTCTACCGTTGGCCTCAAAGCGCTTGAAATCTCCACTTGCAAATTCCACGAAAAGAGAGTTTCAAATCTGCTCTGTCTAAAGGAAGGTTCCACTCTGTGAGTTGAATACACACCACAAAAAGAAGTTACTGAGAATTCTTCTGTCTAGCATTATATGAAAAATCCCGTTTCCAACGAAGGCCACAAAGGAGGTCCAAATATCCACTTGCAGATTCTGCAAAAAGAGTGTTTCCAAACTGCTCTATGAAAAGAAACGTTAAACTCTGTGAGTTGAACGCAAACATCACAAAGTAGTTTCTGAGAATGACTCCGTCTAGTTTTTATACGAAGATATTTCCTTTCCTACCATTCACTTCAAAGCGCTTGAAGTCTCCCCCTGAAAATTCCACAAAAAGTGTTTCCAATCTGCTCCGCCTAAAGGAAGCTTCAACTCTGTGAGTTGAATACCCACAACCCAAAGAAGTTACTGAGAATTCTTCTGTCTAGCATTATATGAAGAAATCCCGTTTCCAACGAAGGCCTCAAATACATCCAAATATCCAGTTGCTGAATTTACAAACTGAGTGTTTCCAAACTGCTCTATGAAAAGAAAGGTTAAACACTGTGAGTTGAACACACACGTACCAAAGTAGTTTCTGAGAATGATTCTGTCTAGTTTGCATACGAAGATATTTCCTTTTCTACCATTGGCCTCAAAGCTCTGAAATCTCCACTTGCAAATTCCACAAAAAGAGAGTTTCAAATCTGCTGTTTCTAAAGGAAAGTTCAACTCTGAGAGTTGAATACACACCAGAAAAAGCAGTTACTGAGAAGTCTTCTGTCTAGCATTATATGAAGAAATCCCATTTCCAACGAAGACTTCAAAGAGGTCCAAATATCCACTTGCAGATTCTGCAAAAAGAGTGTTTCGAAACAACTGTATGAAAAGAAAGGTTAAACGCTGTGAGTTGAAGGCACACATTGCAAAGCAGTTTCTGAGAATGATTCCGTCTAATTATTATACGAAGGTATTTCCTTTTCTATCATTGGCCTCAAAGCGCTTGATACCTCCACCTGAAAATTCCACAAAAAGAGTGTTTCCAATCTACTCTGTCTAAAGGAACGTTCAACTCTGTGAGTTGAATACACACACACAGAAAGAATTCACTGAGAATTCTTCTGTCTGGCATTACATGAAGAAATCCCGTTTCCAACGAAGGCCTCAAAGAGGTCCAAATATCCACTTGCAGATTCTGCAAAAAGAGTGTTTCAAAACCGCTCCATTAAAAGGAATGTTGAACTCTGTGAGTTGAATGCAAACATCACAACTCAGTTGCTGAGAATGCTTCTGACTAGATTTTATGGTAAGATATTTCCTTTTCTACCGTAGGCTTCAATGCCCTCTAAATACACCCTTGCAAATTCTACAAAGAGACTGTTTCATAACTGCTCTATAGGAAGAAAGGTTGAACTCTGTGAGTTGACTGCAGAGATCACAACGTGGTTTCTGCGAATGATTCTTTGTAGTTTTTACATGAAGATATTTCGTTGTCTACCGTAAGGCTTCAAAGCACTCAAAGTATTCACTTGGAACTTTTACAAAAAGAGTGTTAGAAAACTGCTCTTTCCAAAGTAAGGTTCAACTCTGTGAGTTGAATGCACACATAACAAACAAGAAGTTTCTGAGAGTTCTTCTGTCCTGGTTTATATGAAGAAATCCCGTTTCCAACGAAGGCCTCAAAGACGTTTAAATATCCACTTGCAGACTTCACAAACAGAGTGTTTCCAAACTGCTCTATGAAAAGAAAGGGTAAACACTGTGAGTTGAACGCACACCTCACAAAGTAGTTTCTGAGAATGATACTGTCTAGTTTTTATACGAAGATATTTCCTTTTGTACCACTGGCCTCATACTGCTAGAATTTTCCACTTGCAAATTCCACAAAAAGAGTGTTTCCAATCTGCTCTGTCTAAAGGAAGGTTCAACTCTGTGAGTTGAGTACACACACACAAAGAAGCTACTGAGAATTCTTTTGTCAAGAATTATAAGAAGAAATCCCGTTTCCAACCAAGGCCTCAAAGAGTTCCAAATATCCACTTGCACACTGCACAAACTAAGTCTTTCCATACTGCTCTATGCAAAGAAATGTTCAAGTCTGTGAGTTTAATACACACATCACAAAGCAGTTTCTGAGAATGATACTGTCTAGTTTTTATACGAAGATATTTCCTTTTGTACCATTGGCCTCATACTGCTAGAATTTTCCACTTGCAAATTCCACAAAAAGAGTGTTTCCAATCCGCTCTGTCTAAAGGAAGGTTCAACTCTCTGATTTGAATACATACATCCCAAAAGAAGTTACTGAGAATTCTTCTGTCTAGCATTATGTGAAGAAATCCCGTTTCCAACTGAAAGCCTCAAAGAGGTCCAAATATCCAGTTGCAGAAT
The DNA here is from genome assembly GCF_000001405.40 of Homo sapiens. Classification (NCBI taxonomy): domain Eukaryota; kingdom Metazoa; phylum Chordata; class Mammalia; order Primates; family Hominidae; genus Homo; species Homo sapiens. The sequence continues at coordinate 93,265,384 of NC_000003.12, read as the reverse complement.
TTACAAACTGACTGTTTCCAAACTCATCTATGAAAAGAAAGGTTAAACTCTGTGAGTTGAATGCACATATCACAAAGTAGTTCCTGAGAATGATTCTGTCTAGTTTTCATACGAAGATATTTCCTTTTCCACCAATGGCCTCAAAGTGCTTGAAATCTCCCCTTGCAAATTCCACAGACAAGTGTTTCAAATCTGCACTGTCTAAAGGAAGGTTCAACCCTGTGAGTTGAATACACACACACAGAAAAAAATTCACTGAGAATTCTATTGTCGATCATTACACGAAGAAATCCCGTTTACTACGAAGGCCTCAAAGAGGTCCAAATATCCAGCTGCAGACATTATAAACTGAGTGTTTCCAAAGTGCTCTATGAAAAGAAGTGTTAAACACTGTGAGTTCAATGCACACATCCCAAAGCAGTTTCTGAGAATGATTCCGTCTATTTTTTCTACGAAGATATTTCCTTTTCTACCGTTGGCCTGAAAGCGCTTGAAATCTCCACTTGCAAATTCCACGAAAAGAGAGTTTCAAATCTGCTCTGTCTAAAGGAAGGTTCAACTCTGTGAGTTGAATACACACCACAAAAAGAAGTTACTGAGAATTCTTCTGTCTAGCATTATATGAAAAATCCCGTTTCCAACGAAGGCCACAAAGAGGTCCAAATATCCACTTGCAGATTCTGCAAAAAGAGTGTCTCCAAACTGCTCTATGAAAAGAAACGTTAAACTCTGTGAGTTGAACGCAAACATCACAAAGTAGTTTCTGAGAATGACCCGTCTAGTTTTTATACGAAGATATTTCCTTTCCTACCATTCACTTCAAAGCGCTTGAAGTCTCCCCCTGAAAATTCCACAAAAAGTGTTTCCAATCTGCTCCGCCTAAAGGAAGCTTCAACTCTGTGACTTGAATACCCACAACCCAAAGAAGTTACTGAGAATTCTTCTGTCTAGCATTATATGAAGAAATCCCGTTTCCAACGAAGGCCTCAAATACATCCAAATATCCAGTTGCTGACTTTACAAACTGAGTGTTTCCAAACTGCTCTATGAAAAGAAAGGTTAAACACTGTGAGTTGAACACACACGTACCAAAGTAGTTTCTGAGAATGATTCTGTCTAGTTTGCATACAAAGATATTTCCTTTTCTACCATTGGCCTCAAAGCTCTGAAATCTCCACTTGCAAATTCCACAAAAAGAGAGTTTCAAATCTGCTGTTTCTAAAGGAAAGTTCAACTCTGAGAGTTGAATACACACCAGAAAAAGTAGTTACTGAGAAGTCTTCTGTCTAGCATTATATGAAGAAATCCCATTTCCAACGAAGACTTCAAAGAGGTCCAAATATCCACTTGCAGATTCTGCAAAAAGAGTGTTTCGAAACAACTGTATGAAAAGAAAGGTTAAACACTGTGAGTTGAACGCACACATTGCAAAGCAGTTTCTGAGAATGATTCCGTCTAATTATTATCCGAAGGTATTTCCTTTTCTATCATTGGCCTCAAAGCGCTTGATACCTCCACCTGAAAATTCCACAAAAAGAGTGTTTCCAATCTACTCTGTCTAAAGGAACGTTCAACTCTGTGAGTTGAATACACACACACAGAAAGAATTCACTGAGAATTCTTCTGTCTGGCATTACATGAAGAAATCCCGTTTCCAACGAAGGCCTCAAAGAGGTCCAAATATCCACTTGCAGATTCTGCAAAAAGAGTGTTTCAAAACCGCTCCATTAAAAGGAATGTTGAACTCTGTGAGTTGAATGCAAACATCACAACTCAGTTTCTGAGAATGCTTCTGACTAGATTTTATGGTAAGATATTTCCTTTTCTACTGTAGGCTTCAATGCCCTCTAAATACACCCTTGCAAATTCTACAAAGAGACTGTTTCATAACTGCTCTATAGGAAGAAAGGTTCAACACTGTGAGTTGAATGCAGAGATCACAACGTGGTTTCTGCGAATGATTCTTTGTAGTTTTTACATGAAGATATTTCGTTGTCAACCGTAGGCTTCAAAGCACTCAAAGTATTCACTTGGAACTTTTACAAAAAGAGTGTTAGAAAACTGCTCTTTCCAAAGTAAGGTTCAACTCTGTGAGTTGAATGCACACATAACAATCAAGAAGTTTCTGAGAATTCTTCTGTCCTGGTTTATATGAAAAAATCCCGTTTCCAACGAAGGCCTCAAAGACGTTTAAATATCCACTTGCAGACTTCACAAACAGAGGGTTTCCAAACCGCTCTATGAAAAGAAAGGTTAAACTCTGTGAGTTGAACGCACACATCACAAAGTAGCTTCTGAGAATGATACTGTCTAGTTTTTATACGAAGATATTTCCTTTCTACCATTGGCGTCAAAGCGCTAGAATTCTCCACTTGCAAATTCCACAAAAAGAGTGTTTCCAATCTGCTCTGTCTAAAGGAAGGTTCAACTCTGTGAGTTGAATACACACACACAAAGAAGCTACTGAGAATTCTTTTGTCAAGAATTATAAGAAGAAATCCCGTTTCCAACGAAGGCCTCAAAGAGTTCCAAATATCCACTTGCACACTGTACAAACTAAGTCTTTCCAAACTGCTCTATGCAAAGAAATGTTCAACTCTGTGAGTTTAATGCACACATCACAAAGCAGTTTCTGAGAATGATTCCGTCTAGTTTTTATACGAAGATAGCCTTTTCTACCATGGGCCTCAAGGCTCTTGAAATCTCCACCTGAAAATTCCGCAAAAAGCGTGTTTTCAATCTGCTCTGTCTAAAGGAAGGTTCAACTCTCTGAGTTGAATACATACATCCCAAAAGAAGTTACTGAGAATTCTTCTGTCTAGCATTATGTGAAGAAATCCCGTTTCCAACGAAAGCCTCAAACAGGTCCAAATATCCAGTTGCAGAATTTACAAACTGACTGTTTCCAAACTCATCTATGAAAAGAAAGGTGAAACTCTGGGAGTTGAATGCACATATCACAAAGTAGTTCCTGAGAATGATTCTGTCTAGTTTTTATACGAAGATATTTCCTTTTCCACCAATGGCCTCAAAGTGCTTGAAATCTCCCCTTGCAAATTCCACAGACAAGTGTTTCAAATCTGCACTGTCTAAAGGAAGGTTCAACCCTGTGAGTTGAATACACACACACAGAAAAAAATTCACTCAGAATTCTATTGTCTATCATTACACGAAGAAATCCCGTTTACTACGAAGGCCTCAAAGAGGTCCAAATATCCAGCTGCAGACATTACAAACTGAGTGTTTCCAAAGTGCTCTATGAAAAGAAGTGTTAAACACTGTGAGTTCAATGCACACATCCCAAAGCAGTTTCTGAGAATGATTCCGTCTATTTTTTCTACGAAGATATTTCCTTTTCTGCCATTGGCCTCAAAGCGCTTGAAATCTCCACTTGCAAATTCCACAAAAAGAGAGTTTCAAATCTGCTCTGTCTAAAGGAAAGTTCAACTCTGTGAGTTGAATACACACCACAAAAAGAAGTTACTGAGAATTCTTCTGTCTAGCATTATATGAAAAATCCCGTTTCCAACGAAGGCCACAAAGAGGTCCAAATATCCACTTGCAGATTCTGCAAAAAGAGTGTTTCCAAACTGCTCTATGAAAAGAAACGTTAAACTCTGTGAGTTGAACGCAAACATCACAAAGTAGTTTCTGAGAATGACTCCGTCTAGTTTTTATACGAAGATATTTCATTTCCTACCATTCACTTCAAAGCGCTTGAAGTCTCCCCCTGAAAATTCCACAAAAAGTGTTTCCAATCTGCTCCGCCTAAAGGAAGCTTCAACTCTGTGACTTGAATACCCACAACCCAAAGAAGTTACTGAGAATTCTTCTGTCTAGCATTATATGAAGAAATCCCGTTTCCAACGAAGGCCTCAAATACATCCAAATATCCAGTTGCTGACTTTACAAACTGAGTGTTTCCAAACTGCTCTATGAAAAGAAAGGTTAAACACTGTGAGTTGAACACACACGTACCAAAGTAGTTTCTGAGAATGATTCTGTCTAGTTTGCATACGAAGATATTTCCTTTTCTTCCAGTGGCCTCAAAGCTCTGAAATCTCCACTTGCAAATTCCACAAAAAGAGAGTTTCAAATCTGCTGTTTCTAAAGGAAAGTTCAACTCGGAGAGTTGAATACACACCAGAAAAAGCAGTTACTGAGAAGTCTTCTGTCTAGCATTATATGAAGAAATCCCATTTCCAACGAAGACTTCAAAGAGGTCCAAATATCCACTTGCAGATTCTGCAAAAAGAGTGTTTCGAAACAACTGTATGAAAAGAAAGGTTAAACACTGTGAGTTGAACGCACACATTGCAAAGCAGTTTCTGAGAATGATTCCGTCTAATTATTATACGAAGGTATTTCCTTTTCTATCATTGGCCTCAAAGCGCTTGATACCTCCACCTGAAAATTCCACAAAAAGAGTGTTTCCAATCTACTCTGTCTAAAGGAACGTTCAACTCTGTGAGTTGAATACACACACACAGAAAGAATTCACTGAGAATTCTTCTGTCTGGCATTACATGAAGAAATCCCGTTTCCAACGAAGGCCTCAAAGAGGTCCAAATATCCACTTGCAGATTCTGCAAAAAGAGTGTTTCAAAACCGCTCCATTAAAAGGAATGTTGAACTCTGTGAGTTGAATGCAAACATCACAACTCAGTTGCTGAGAATGCTTCTGACTAGATTTTATGGTAAGATATTTCCTTTTCTACCGTAGGCTTCAATGCCCTCTAAATACACCCTTGCAAATTCTACAAAGAGACTGTTTCATAACTGCTCTATAGGAAGAAAGGTTGAACTCTGTGAGTTGAATGCAGAGATCACAACGTGGTTTCTGCGAATGATTCTTTGTAGTTTTTACATGAAGATATTTCGTTGTCAACCGTAGGCTTCAAAGCACTCAAAGTATTCACTTGGAACTTTTACAAAACGAGTGTTAGGAAACTGCTCTTTCCAAAGTAAGGTTCAACTCTGTGAGTTGAATGCACACATAACAATCAAGAAGTTTCTGAGAATTCTTCTGTCCTGGTTTATATGAAAAAATCCCGTTTCCAACGAAGGCCTCAAAGACGTTTAAATATCCACTTGCAGACTTCACAAACAGAGGGTTTCCAAACTGCTCTATGAAAAGAAAGGTTAAACTCTGTGAGTTGAACGCACACATCACAAAGTAGCTTCTGAGAATGATACTGTCTAGTTTTTATACGAAGATATTTCCTTTCTACCATTGGCGTCAAAGCGCTAGAATTCTCCACTTGCAAATTCCACAAAAAGAGTGTTTCCAATCTGCTCTGTCTAAAGGAAGGTTCAACTCTGTGAGTTGAATACACATACACAAAGAAGCTACTGAGAATTCTTTTGTCAAGAATTATAAGAAGAAATCCCGTTTCCAACGAAGGCCTCAAAGAGTTCCAAATATCCACTTGCACACTGCACAAACTAAGTCTTTCCAAACTGCTCTATGCAAAGAAATGTTCAACTCTGTGAGTTTAATACACACATCACAAAGCAGTTTCTGAGAATGATACTGTCTAGTTTTTATACGAAGATATTTCCTTTTGTACCATTGGCCTCATACTGCTAGAATTTTCCACTTGCAAATTCCACAAAAAGAGTGTTTCCAATCCGCTCTGTCTAAAGGAAGGTTCAACTCTCTGATTTGAATACATACATCCCAAAAGAAGTTACTGAGAATTCTTCTATCTAGCATTATGTGAAGAAATCCCGTTTCCAACGAAAGCCTCAAAGAGGTCCAAATATCCAGTTGCAGAATTTACAAACTGACTGTTTCCAAACTCATCTATGAAAAGAAAGGTTAAACTCTGGGAGTTGAATGCCCATATCACAAAGTAGTTCCTGAGAATGATTCTGTCTAGTTTTCATACGAAGATATTTCCTTTTCCACCAATGGCCTCAAAGTGCTTGAAATCTCCCCTTGCAAATTCCACAGACAAGTGTTTCAAATCTGCACTGTCTAAAGGATGGTTCAACCCTGTGAGTTGAATACACACACACAGAAAAAAATTCACTGAGAATTCTATTGTCTATCATTACACGAAGAAATCCCGTTTACTACGAAGGCCTCAAAGAGGTCCAAATATCCAGCTGCAGACATTACAACCTGAGTGTTTCCAAAGTGCTCTATGAAAAGAAGTGTTAAACACTGTGAGTTCAATGCACACATCCCAAAGCAGTTTCTGAGAATGATGCCGTCTATTTTTTCTACGAAGATATTTCCTTTTCTGCCGTTGGCCTCAAAGCGCTTGAAATCTCCACTTGCAAATTCCACAAAAAGAGAGTTTCAAATCTGCTCTGTCTAAAGGAAGGTTCAACTCTGTGAGTTGAATACACACCACAAAAAGAAGTTACTGAGAATTCTTCTGTCTAGCATTATATGAAAAATCCCGTTTCCAACGAAGGCCACAAAGAGGTCCAAATATCCACTTGCAGATTCTGCAAAAAGAGTGTTTCCAAACTGCTCTATGAAAAGAAACGTTAAACTCTGTGAGTTGAACGCAAACATCACAAAGTAGTTTCTGAGAATGACTCCGTCTAGTTTTTATACGAAGATATTTCCTTTCCTACCATTCACTTCAAAGCGCTTGAAGTCTCCCCCTGAAAATTCCACAAAAAGTGTTTCCAATCTGCTCCGCCTAAAGGAAGCTTCAACTCTGTGACTTGAATACCCACAACCCAAAGAAGTTACTGAGAATTCTTCTGTCTAGCATTATATGAAGAAATCCCGTTTCCAACGAAGGCCTCAAATACATCCAAATATCCAGTTGCTGACTTTACAAACTGAGTGTTTCCAAACTGCTCTATGAAAAGAAAGGTTAAACACTGTGAGTTGAACACACACGTACCAAAGTAGTTTCTGAGAATGATTCTGTCTAGTTTGCATACGAAGATATTTCCTTTTCTACCATTGGCCTCAAAGCTCTGAAATCTCCACTTGCAAATTCCACAAAAAGAGAGTTTCAAATCTGCTGTTTCTAAAGGAAAGTTCAACTCTGAGAGTTGAATACACACCAGAAAAAGCAGTTACTGAGAAGTCTTCTGTCTAGCATTATATGAAGAAATCCCATTTCCAACGAAGACTTCAAAGAGGTCCAAATATCCACTTGCAGATTCTGCAAAAAGAGTGTTTCGAAACAACTGTATGAAAAGAAAGGTTAAACACTGTGAGTTGAACGCACACATTGCAAAGCGGTTTCTGAGAATGATTCCGTCTAATTATTATACGAAGGTATTTCCTTTTCTATCATTGGCCTCAAAGCGCTTGATACCTCCACCTGAAAATTCCACAAAAAGAGTGTTTCCAATCTACTCTGTCTAAAGGAACGTTCAACTCTGTGAGTTGAATACACACACACAGAAAGAATTCACTGAGAATTCTTCTGTCTGGCATTACATGAAGAAATCCCGTTTCCAACGAAGGCCTCAAAGAGGTCCAAATATCCACTTGCAGATTCTGCAAAAAGAGTGTTTCAAAACCGCTCCATGAAAAGGAATGTTGAACTCTGTGAGTTGAATGCAAACATCACAACTCAGTTGCTGAGAATGCTTCTGACTAGATTTTATGGTCAGATATTTCCTTTTCTACCGTAGGCTTCAATGCCCTCTAAATACACCCTTGCAAATTCTACAAAGAGACTGTTTCATAACTGCTCTATAGGAAGAAAGGTTCAACTCTGTGAGTTGAATGCAGAGATCACAACGTGGTTTCTGCGAATGATTCTTTGTAGTTTTTACATGAAGATATTTCGTTGTCAACCGTAGGCTTCAAAGCACTCAAAGTATTCACTTGGAACTTTTACAAAAAGAGTGTTAGAAAACCGCTCTTTCCAAAGTAAGGTTCAACTCTGTGAGTTGAATGCACCCATAACAATCAAGAAGTTTCTGAGAATTCTTCTGTCCTGGTTTATATGAAAAAATCCCGTTTCCAACGAAGGCCTCAAAGACGTTTAAATATCCACTTCCAGACTTCACAAACAGAGGGTTTCCAAACTGCTCTATGAAAAGAAAGGTTAAACTCTGTGAGTTTAATACACACATCACAAATCAGTTTCTGAGAATGATACTGTCTAGTTTTTATACGAAGATATTTCCTTTTGTACCATTGGCCTCATACTGCTAGAATTTTCCACTTGCAAATTCCACAAAAAGAATGTTTCCAATCCGCTCTGTCTAAAGGAAGGTTCAACTCTCTGATTTGAATACATACATCCCAAAAGAAGTTACTGAGAATTCTTCTGTCTAGCATTATGTGAAGAAATCCCGTTTCCAACGAAAGCCTCAAAGAGGTCCAAATATCCAGTTGCAGAATTTACAAACTGACTGTTTCCAAACTCATCTATGAAAAGAAAGGTTAAACTCTGTGAGTTGAATGCACATATCACAAAGTAGTTCCTGAGAATGATTCTGTCTAGTTTTTATACGAAGATATTTCCTTTTCCACCAATGGCCTCAAAGTGCTTGAAATCTCCCCTTGCAAATTCCACAGACAAGTGTTTCAAATCTGCACTGTCTAAAGGAAGGTTCAACCCTGTGAGTTGAATACACACACACAGAAAAAAATTCACTGAGAATTCTATTGTCTATCATTACACGAAGAAATCCCGTTTACTACGAAGACCTCAAAGAGGTCCAAATATCCAGCTGCAGACATTACAAACTGAGTGTTTCCAAAGTGCTCTATGAAAAGAAGTGTTAAACACTGTGAGTTCAATGCACACATCCCAAAGCAGTTTCTGAGAATGATTCCGTCTATTTTCTCTACGAAGATATTTCCTTTTCTGCCGTTGGCCTCAAAGCGCTTGAAATCTCCACTTGCAAATTCCACAAAAAGAGAGTTTCAAATCTGCTCTGTCTAAAGGAAGGTTCAACTCTGTGAGTTGAATACACACCACAAAAAGAAGTTACTGAGAATTCTTCTGTCTAGCATTATATGAAAAATCCCGTTTCCAACGAAGGCCACAAAGAGGTCCAAATATCCACTTGCAGATTCTGCAAAAAGAGTGTTTCCAAACTGCTCTATGAAAAGAAACGTTAAACTCTGTGAGTTGAACGCAAACATCACAAAGTAGTTTCTGAGAATGACTCCGTCTAGTTTTTATACGAAGATATTTCCTTTTCTACTGTTGACCTCAAAGCGCTTGAAGTCTCCCCCTGAAAATTCCACAAAAAGTGTTTCCAATCTCCTCCGCCTAAAGGAAGCTTCAACTCTGTGAGTTGAATACCCACAACCCAAAGAAGTTACTGAGAATTCTTCTGTCTAGCATTATATGAAGAAATCCCGTTTCCAACGAAGGCCTCAAATACATCCAGATATCCAGTTGCTGACTTTACAAACTGAGTGTTTCCAAACTGCTCTCTGAAAGGAAAGGTTAAACACTGTGAGTTGAACACACACGTACCAAAGTAGTTTCTGAGAATGATTCTGTCTAGTTTGCATACGAAGATATTTCCTTTTCTACCATTGGCCTCAAAGCTTTGAAATCTCCACTTGCAAATTCCACAAAAAGAGAGTTTCAACTCTGCTGTTTCTAAAGGAAAGTTCAACTCTGAGGGTTGAATACACACCAGAAAAAGCAGTTACTGAGAAGTCTTCTGTCTAGCATTATATGAAGAAATCCCATTTCCAACGAAGACTTCAAAGAGGTCCAAATATCCACTTGCAGATTCTGCAAAAAGAGTGTTTCGAAACAACTGTATGAAAAGAAAGGTTAAACACTGTGAGTTGAACGCACACATTGCAAAGCGGTTTCTGAGAATGATTCCGTCTAATTATTATACGAAGGTATTTCCTTTTCTATCATTGGCCTCAAAGCGCTTGATACCTCCACCTGAAAATTCCACAAAAAGAGTGTTTCCAATCTACTCTGTCTAAAGGAACGTTCAACTCTGTGAGTTGAATACACACACACAGAAAGAATTCACTGAGAATTCTTCTGTCTGGCATTACATGAAGAAATCCCGTTTCCAACGAAGGCCTCAAAGAGGTCCAAATATCCACTTGCAGATTCTGCAAAAAGAGTGTTTCAAAACCGCTCCATTAAAAGGAATGTTGAACTCTGTGAGTTGAATGGAAACATCACAACTCAGTTGCTGAGAATGCTTCTGACTAGATTTTATGGTAAGATATTTCCTTTTCTACCGTAGGCTTCAATGCCCTCTAAATACACCCTTGCAAATTCTACAAAGAGACTGTTTCATAACTGCTCTATAGGAAGAAAGGTTCAACTCTGTGAGTTGAATGCAGAGATCACAACGTGGTTTCTGCGAATGATTCTTTGTAGTTTTTACAGGAAGATATTTCGTTGTCAACCGTAGGCTTCAAAGCACTCAAAGTATTCACTTGGAACTTTTACAAAAAGAGTGTTAGAAAACTGCTCTTTCCAAAGTAAGGTTCAACTCTGTGAGTTGAATGCACACATAACAATCAAGAAGTTTCTGAGAATTCTTCTGTCCTGGTTTATATGAAAAAATCCCGTTTCCAACGAAGGCCTCAAAGACGTTTAAATATCCACTTGCAGACTTCACAAACAGAGTGTTTCCAAACTGCTCTATGAAAAGAAAGGTTAAACTCTGTGAGTTGAACGCACACATCACAAAGTAGCTTCTGAGAATGATACTGTCTAGTTTTTATACGAAGATATTTCCTTTCTACCATTGGTGTCAAAGCGCTAGAATTCTCCACTTGCAAATTCCACAAAAAGAGTGTTTCCAATCTGCTCTGTCTAAAGGAAGGTTCAACTCTGTGAGTTGAATACACACACACAAAGAAGCTACTGAGAATTCTTTTGTCAAGAATTATAAGAAGAAATCCCGTTTCCAACGAAGGCCTCAAAGAGTTCCAAATATCCACTTGCACACTGCACAAACTAAGTCTTTCCAAACTGCTCTATGCAAAGAAATGTTCAACTCTGTGAGTTTAATACACACATCACAAAGCAGTTTCTGAGAATGATACTGTCTAGTTTTTATACGAAGATATTTCCTTTTGTACCATTGGCCTCATACTGCTAGAATTTTCCACTTGCAAATTCCACAAAAAGAGTGTTTCCAATCCGCTCTGTCTAAAGGAAGGTTCAACTCTCTGATTTGAATACATACATCCCAAAAGAAGTTCCTGAGAATTCTTCTGTCTAGCATTATGTGAAGAAATCCCGTTTCCAACGAAAGCCTCAAAGAGGTCCAAATATCCAGTTGCAGAATTTACAAACTGACTGTTTCCAAACTCATCTATGAAAAGAAAGGTTGAACTCTATGAGTTGAATGCATATATCACAAAGTAGTTCCTGAGAATGATTCTGTCTAGTTTTCATACGAAGATATTTCCTTTTCACCAATGGCCTCAAAGTGCTTGAAATCTCCCCTTGCAAATTCCACAGACAAGTGTTTCAAATCTGCACTGTCTAAAGGAAGGTTCAACCCTGTGAGTTGAATACACACACACAGAAAAAAATTCACTGAGAATTCTATTGTCTATCATTACACGAAGAAATCCCGTTTACTACGAAGGCCTCAAAGAGGTCCAAATATCCAGCTGCAGACATTACAAACTGAGTGTTTCCAAAGTGCTCTATGAAAAGAAGTGTTAAACACTGTGAGTTCAATGCACACATCCCAAAGCAGTTTCTGAGAATGATTCCGTCTATTTTTTCTACGAAGATATTTCCTTTTCTGCCGTTGGCCTCAAAGCGCTTGAAATCTCCACTTGCAAATTCCACAAAAAGAGAGTTTCAAATCTGCTCTGTCTAAAGGAAGGTTCAACTCTGTGAGTTGAATACACACCACAAAAAGAAGTTACTGAGAATTCTTCTGTCTAGCATTATATGAAAAATCCCGTTTCCAACGAAGGCCACAAAGAGGTCCAAATATCCACTTGCAGATTCTGCAAAAAGAGTGTTTCCAAACTGCTCTATGAAAAGAAACGTTAAACTCTGTGAGTTGAACGCAAACATCACAAAGTAGTTTCTGAGAATGACTCCGTCTAGTTTTTATACGAAGATATTTCCTTTCCTACCATTCACTTCAAAGCGCTTGAAGTCTCCCCCTGAAAATTCCACAAAAAGTGTTTCCAATCTGCTCCGCCTAAAGGAAGCTTCAACTCTGTGAGTTGAATACCCACAACCCAAAGAAGTTACTGAGAATTCTTCTGTCTAGCATTATATGAAGAAATCCCGTTTCCAACGAAGGCCTCAAATACATCCAAATATCCCGTTGCTGACTTTACAAACTGAGTGTTTCCAAACTGCTCTATGAAAAGAAAGGTTAAACACTGTGAGTTGAACACACACGTACCAAAGTAGTTTCTGAGAATGATTCTGTCTAGTTTGCATACGAAGATATTTCCTTTTCTACCAGTGGCCTCAAAGCTCTGAAATCTCCACTTGCAAATTCCACAAAAAGAGAGTTTCAAATCTGCTGTTTCTAAAGGAAAGTTCAACTCTGAGAGTTGAATACACACCAGAAAAAGCAGTTACTGAGAAGTCTTCTGTCTAGCATTATATGAAGAAATCCCATTTCCAACGAAGACTTCAAAGAGGTCCAAATATCCACTTGCAGATTCTGCAAAAAGAGTGTTTCGAAACAACTGTATGAAAAGAAAGGTTAAACACTGTGAGTTGAACGCACACATTGCAAAGCAGTTTCTGAGAATGATTCCGTCTAATTATTATACGAAGGTATTTCCTTTTCTATCATTGGCCTCAAAGCGCTTGATACCTCCACCTGAAAATTCCACAAAAAGAGTGTTTCCAATCTACTCTGTCTAAAGGAACGTTCAACTCTGTGAGTTGAATACACACACACAGAAAGAATTCACTGAGAATTCTTCTGTCTGGCATTACATGAAGAAATCCCGTTTCCAACAAAGGCCTCAAATAGGTCCAAATATCCACTTGCAGATTCTGCAAAAAGAGTGTTTCAAAACCGCTCCATTAAAAGGAATGTTGAACTCTGTGAGTTGAATGCAAATATCACAACTCAGTTGCTGAGAATGCTTCTGACTAGATTTTATGGTAAGATATTTCCTTTTCTACCGTAGGCTTCAATGCCCTCTAAATACACCCTTGCAAATTCTACAAAGAGACTGTTTCATAACTGCTCTATAGGAAGAAAGGTTCAACTCTGTGAGTTGAATGCAGAGATCACAACGTGGTTTCTGCGAATGATTCTTTGTAGTTTTTACATGAAGATATTTCGTTGTCAACCGTAGGCTTCAAAGCACTCAAAGTATTCACTTGGAACTTTTACAAAAAGAGTGTTAGAAAACTGCTTTTTCCAAAGTAAGGTTCAACTCTGTGAGTTGAATGCACACATAACAATCAAGAAGTTTCTGAGAATTCTTCTGTCCTGGTTTATATGAAAAAATCCCGTTTCCAACGAAGGCCTCAAAGACGTTTAAATATCCACTTGCAGACTTCACAAACAGAGGGTTTCCAAACTGCTTTATGAAAAGAAAGGTTAAACTCTGTGAGTTGAACGCACACATCACAAAGTAGCTTCTGAGAATGATACTGTCTAGTTTGCATACGAAGATATTTCCTTTCTACCATTGGCGTCAAAGCGCTAGAATTCTCCACTTGCAAATTCCACAAAAAGAGTGTTTCCAATCTGCTCTGTCTAAAGGAAGGTTCAACTCTGTGAGTTGAATACACACACACAAAGAAGCTACTGAGAATTCTTTTGTCAAGAATTATAAGAAGAAATCCCGTTTCCAACGAAGGCCTCAAAGAGTTCCAAATATCCACTTGCACACTGCACAAACTAAGTCTTTCCAAACTGCTCTATGCAAAGAAATGTTCAACTCTGTGAGTTTAATACACACATCACAAAGCAGTTTCTGAGAATGATACTGTCTAGTTTTTATACGAAGATATTTCCTTTTGTACCATTGGCCTCATACTGCTAGAATTTTCCACTTGCAAATTCCACAAAAAGAGTGTTTCCAATCCGCTCTGTCTAAAGGAAGGTTCAATTCTCTGATTTGAATACATACATCCCAAAAGAAGTTACTGAGAATTCTTCTGTCTAGCATTATGTGAAGAAATCCCGTTTCCAACGAAAGCCTCAAAGAGGTCCAAATATCCAGTTGCAGAATTTACAAACTGACTGTTTCCAAACTCATCTATGAAAAGAAAGGTTAAACTCTGTGAGTTGAATGCACATATCACAAAGTAGTTCCTGAGAATGATTCTGTCTAGTTTTTATACGAAGATATTTCCTTTTCCACCAATGGCCTCAAAGTGCTTGAAATCTCCCCTTGCAAATTCCACAGACAAGTGTCTCAAATCTGCACTGTCTAAAGGAAAGGTTCAACCCTGTGAGTTGAATACACACACACAGAAAAAAATTCACTGAGAATTCTATGGTCTATCATGACACGAAGAAATCCCGTTTACTACGAAGGCCTCAAAGAGGTCCAAATATCCAGCTGCAGACATTACAAACTGAGTGTTTCCAAAGTGCTCTATGAAAAGAAGTGTTAAACACTGTGAGTTCAATGCACACATCCCAAAGCAGTTTCTGAGAATGATTCCGTCTATTTTTTCTACGAAGATATTTCCTTTTCTGCCGTTGGCCTCAAAGCGCTTGAAATCTCCACTTGCAAATTCCACAAAAAGAGAGTTTCAAATCTGCTCTGTCTAAAGGAAGGTTCAACTCTGTGAGTTGAATACACACCACAAAAAGAAGTTACTGAGAATTCTTCTGTCTAGCATTATATGAAAAATCCCGTTTCCAACGAAGGCCACAAAGAGGTCCAAATATCCACTTGCAGATTCTGCAAAAAGAGTGTTTCCAAACTGCTCTATGAAAAGAAACGTTAAACTCTGTGAGTTGAACGCAAACATCACAAAGTAGTTTCTGAGAATGACTCCGTCTAGTTTTTATACGAAGATATTTCCTTTCCTACCATTCACTTCAAAGCGCTTGAAGTCTCCCCCTGAAAATTCCACAAAAGTGTTTCCAATCTGCTCCGCCTAAAGGAAGCTTCAACTCTGTGACTTGAATACCCACAACCCAAAGAAGTTACTGAGAATTCTTCTGTCTAGCACTATATGAAGAAATCCCGTTTCCAACGAAGGCCTCAAATACATCCAAATATCCAGTTGCTGACTTTACAAACTGAGTGTTTCCAAACTGCTCTATGAAAAGAAAGGTTAAACACTGTGAGTTGAACACACACGTACCAAAGTAGTTTCTGAGAATGATTCTGTCTAGTTTGCATACGAAGATATTTCCTTTTCTACCATTGGCCTCAAAGCTTTGAAATCTCCACTTGCAAATTCCACAAAAAGAGAGTTTCAACTCTGCTGTTTCTAAAGGAAAGTTCAACTCTGAGAGTTGAATACACACCAGGAAAAAGCAGTTACTGAGAAGTCTTCTGTCTAGCATTATATGAAGAAATCCCATTTCCAACGAAGACTTCAAAGAGGTCCAAATATCCACTTGCAGATTCTGCAAAAAGAGTGTTTCGAAACAACTGTATGAAAAGAAAGGTTAAACACTGTGAGTTGAACGCACACATTGCAAAGCAGTTTCTGAGAATGATTCCGTCTAATTATTATACGAAGGTATTTCCTTTTCTATCATTGGCCTCAAAGCGCTTGATACCTCCACCTGAAAATTCCACAAAAAGAGTGTTTCCAATCTACTCTGTCTAAAGGAACGTTCAACTCTGTGAGTTGAATACACACACACAGAAAGAATTCACTGAGAATTCTTCTGTCTGGCATTACATGAAGAAATCCCGTTTCCAACGAAGGCCTCAAAGAGGTCCAAATATCCACTTGCAGATTCTGCAAAAAGAGTGTTTCAAAACCGCTCCATTAAAAGGAATGTTGAACTCTGTGAGTTGAATGCAAACATCACAACTCAGTTGCTGAGAATGCTTCTGACTAGATTTTATGGTAAGATATTTCCTTTTCTACCGTAGGCTTCAATGCCCTGTAAATACACCCTTGCAAATTCTACAAAGAGACTGTTTCATAACTGCTCTATTGGAGGAAAGGTTCAACTCTGTGAGTTGAATGCAGAGATCACAACGTGGTTTCTGCGAATGATTCTTTGTAGTTTTTACATGAAGATATTTCGTTGTCTACCGTAGGCTTCAAAGCACTCAAAGTATTCACTTGGAACTTTTACAAAAAGAGTGTTAGAAAACTGCTCTTTCCAAAGTAAGGTTCAACTCTGTGAGTTGAATGCACACATAACAAACAAGAAGTTTCTGAGAATTCTTCTGTCCTGGTTTATATGAAGAAATCCCGTTTCCAACGAAGGCCTCAAAGACGTTTAAATATCCACTTGCAGACTTCACAAACAGAGTGTTTCCAAACTGCTCTATGAAAAGAAAGGGTAAACACTGTGAGTTGAACGCACACCTCACAAAGTAGTTTCTGAGAATGATACTGTCTAGTTTTTATACGAAGATATTTCCTTTCCACCATTGGCGTCAAAGCGCTAGAATTCTCCACTTGCAAATTCCACAAAAAGAGTGTTTCCAATCTGCTCTGTCTAAAGGAAGGTTCAACTCTGTGAGTTGAATACACACACACAAAGAAGCTACTGAGAATTCTTTTGTCAAGAATTATAAGAAGAAATCCCGTTTCCAACGAAGGCCTCAAAGAGTTCCAAATATCCACTTGCACACTGCACAAACTAAGTCTTTCCAAACTGCTCTATGCAAAGAAATGTTCAACTCTGTGAGTTTAATACACACATCACAAAGCAGTTTCTGAGAATGATTCCCTCTAGTTTTTATACGAAGATAGCCTTTTCTACCATTGGCCTCAAGGCTCTTGGAATCTCCACCTGAAAATTCCGCAAAAAGCGTGTTTCCAATCCGCTCTGTCTAAAGGAAGGTTCAACTCTATGAGTTGAATACATACATCCCAAAAGAAGTTACTGAGAATTCTTCTGTCTAGCATTATGTGAAGAAATCCCGTTTCCAACGAAAGCCTCAAAGAGGTCCAAATATCCAGTTGCAGAATTTACAAACTGACTGTTTCCAAACTCATCTATGAAAAGAAAGGTTAAACTCTGGGAGTTGAATGCACATATGACAAAGTAGTTCCTGAGAATGATTCTGTCTAGTTTTCATACGAAGATATTTCCTTTTCCACCAATGGCCTCAAAGTGCTTGAAATCTCCCCTTGCAAATTCCACAGACAAGTGTCTCAAATCTGCACTGTCTAAAGGAAGGTTCAACCCTGTGAGTTGAATACACACACACAGAAAAAAATTCACTGAGAATTCTATTGTCTATCATTACACGAAGAAATCCCGTTTACTACGAAGGCCTCAAAGAGGTCCAAATATCCAGCTGCAGACATTACAACCTGAGTGTTTCCAAAGTGCTCTAGGAAAAGAAGTGTTAAACACTGTGAGTTCAATGCACACATCCCAAAGCAGTTTCTGAGAATGATTCCGTCTATTTTCTCTACGAAGATATTTCCTTTTCTGCCGTTGGCCTCAAAGCGCTTGAAATCTCCACTTGCAAATTCCACAAAAAGAGAGTTTCAAATCTGCTCTGTCTAAAGGAAGGTTCAACTCTGTGAGTTGAATACACACCACAAAAAGAAGTTACTGAGAATTCTTCTGTCTAGCATTATATGAAAAATCCCGTTTCCAACGAAGGCCACAAAGAGGTCCAAATATCCACTTGCAGATTCTGCAAAAAGAGTGTTTCCAAACTGCTCTATGAAAAGAAACGTTAAACTCTGTGAGTTGAACGCAAACATCACAAAGTAGTTTCTGAGAATGACTCCGTCTAGTTTTTATACGAAGATATTTCCTTTCCTACCATTCACTTCAAAGCGCTTGAAGTCTCCCCCTGAAAATTCCACAAAAAGTGTTTCCAATCTGCTCCGCCTAAAGGAAGCTTCAACTCTGTGACTTGAATACCCACAACCCAAAGAAGTTACTGAGAATTCTTCTGTCTAGCATTATATGAAGAAATCCCGTTTCCAACGAAGGCCTCAAATACATCCAAATATCCAGTTGCTGACTTTACAAACTGAGTGTTTCCAAACTGCTCTATGAAAAGAAAGGTTAAACACTGTGAGTTGAACACACACGTACCAAAGTAGTTTCTGAGAATGATTCTGTCTAGTTTGCATACGAAGATATTTCCTTTTCTACCATTGGCCTCAAAGCTCTGAAATCTCCACTTGCAAATTCCACAAAAAGAGAGTTTCAACTCTGCTGTTTCTAAAGGAAAGTTCAACTCTGAGAGTTGAATACACACCAGAAAAAGCAGTTACTGAGAAGTCTTCTGTCTAGCATTATATGAAGAAATCCCATTTCCAACGAAGACTTCAAAGAGGTCCAAATATCCACTTGCAGATTCTGCAAAAAGAGTGTTTCGAAACAACTGTATGAAAAGAAAGGTTAAACACTGTGAGTTGAACGCACACATTGCAAAGCAGTTTACTGAGAATGATTCCGTCTAATTATTATACGAAGGTATTTCCTTTTCTATCATTGGCCTCAAAGCGCTTGATACCTCCACCTGAAAATTCCACAAAAAGAGTGTTTCCAATCTACTCTGTCTAAAGGAACGTTCAACTCCGTGAGTTGAATACACACACACAGAAAGAATTCACTGAGAATTCTTCTGTCTGGCATTACATGAAGAAATCCCGTTTCCAACGAAGGCCTCAAAGAGGTCCAAATATCCACTTGCAGATTCTGCAAAAAGAGTGTTTCAAAACCGCTCCATTAAAAGGAATGTTGAACTCTGTGAGTTGAATGCAAACATCACAACTCAGTTTCTGAGAATGCTTCTGACTAGATTTTATGGTAAGATATTTCCTTTTCTACCGTAGGCTTCAATGCCCTCTAAATACACCCTTGCAAATTCTACAAAGAGACTGTTTCATAACTGCTCTACAGGAAGAAAGGTTCAACTCTGTGAGTTGAATGCAGAGATCACAACGTGGTTTCTGCGAATGTTTCTTTGTAGTTTTTACATGAAGATATTTCGTTGTCAACCGTAGGCTTCAAAGCACTCAAAGTATTCACTTGGAACTTTTACAAAAAGAGTGTTAGAAAACTGCTCTTTCCAAAGTAAGGTTCAACTCTGTGAGTTGAATGCACACATAACAATCAAGAAGTTTCTGAGAATTCTTCTGTCCTGGGTTTATATGAAAAAATCCCGTTTCCAACGAAGAGGCCTCAAAGACGTTTAAATATCCACTTGCAGACTTCACAAACAGAGGGTTTCCAAACTGCTCTATGAAAAGAAAGGTTAAACTCTGTGAGTTGAACGCACACATCACAAAGTAGCTTCTGAGAATGATAACTGTCTAGTTTTTATACGAAGATATTTCCTTTTGTACCATTGGCCTCATACTGCTAGAATTTTCCACTTGCAAATTCCACAAAAAGAGTGTTTCCAATCCGCTCTGTCTAAAGGAAGGTTCAACTCTCTGATTTGAATACATACATCCCAAAAGAAGTTACTGAGAATTCTTCTGTCTAGCATTATGTGAAGAAATCCCGTTTCCAACGAAAGCCTCAAAGAGGTCCAAATATCCAGTTGCAGAATTTACAAACTGACTGTTTCCAAACTCATCTATGAAAAGAAAGGTTAAACTCTGTGAGTTGAATGCACATATCACAAAGTAGTTCCTGAGAATGATTCTGTCTAGTTTTCATACGAAGATATTTCCTTTTCCACCAATGGCCTCAAAGTGCTTGAAATCTCCCCTTGCAAATTCCACAGACAAGTGTTTCAAATCTGCACTGTCTAAAGGAAGGTTCAACCCTGTGAGTTGAATACACACACACAGAAAAAAATTCACTGAGAATTCTATTGTCTATCATTACACGAAGAAATCCCGTTTACTACGAAGGCCTCAAAGAGGTCCAAATATCCAGCTGCAGACATTACAAACTGAGTGTTTCCCAAGTGCTCTATGAAAAGAAGTGTTAAACACTGTGAGTTCAATGCACACATCCCAAAGCAGTTTCTGAGAATGATTCCGTCTATTTTTTCTACGAAGATATTTCCTTTTCTGCCGTTGGCCTCAAAGCGCTTGAAATCTCCACTTGCAAATTCCACAAAAAGAGAGTTTCAAATCTGCTCTGTCTAAAGGAAGGTTCAACTCTGTGAGTTGAATACACACCACAAAAAGAAGTTACTGAGAATTCTTCTGTCTAGCATTATATGAAAAATCCCGTTTCCAACGAAGGCCACAAAGAGGTCCAAATATCCACTTGCAGATTCTGCAAAAAGAGTGTTTCCAAACTGCTCTATGAAAAGAAACGTTAAACTCTGTGAGTTGAACGCAAACATCACAAAGTAGTTTCTGAGAATGACTCCGTCTAGTTTTTATACGAAGATATTTCCTTTCCTACCATTCACTTCAAAGCGCTTGAAGTCTCCCCCTGAAAATTCCACAAAAAGTGTTTCCAATCTGCTCCGCCTAAAGGAAGCTTCAACTCTGTGAGTTGAATACCCACAACCCAAAGAAGTTACTGAGAATTCTTCTGTCTAGCATTATATGAAGAAATCCCGTTTCCAACGAAGGCCTCAAATACATCCAAATATCCAGTTGCTGACTTTACAAACTGAGTGTTTCCAAACTGCTCTATGAAAAGAAAGGTTAAACACTGTGAGTTGAACACACACGTACCAAAGTAGTTTCTGAGAATGATTCTGTCTAGTTTGCATACGAAGATATTTCCTTTTCTACCATTGGCCTCAAAGCTTTGAAATCTCCACTTGCAAATTCCACAAAAAGAGAGTTTCAACTCTCCTGTTTCTAAAGGAAAGTTCAACTCTGAGAGTTGAATACACACCAGAAAAAGCAGTTACTGAGAAGTCTTCTGTCTAGCATTATATGAAGAAATCCCATTTCCAACGAAGACTTCAAAGAGGTCCAAATATCCACTTGCAGATTCTGCAAAAAGAGTGTTTCGAAACAACTGTATGAAAAGAAAGGTTAAACACTGTGAGTTGAACGCACACATTGCAAAGCAGTTTCTGAGAATGATTCCGTCTAATTATTATACGAAGGTATTTCCTTTTCTATCATTGGCCTCAAAGCGCTTGATACCTCCACCTGAAAATTCCACAAAAAGAGTGTTTCCAATCTACTCTGTCTAAAGGAACGTTCAACTCTGTGAGTTGAATACACACACACAGAAAGAATTCACTGAGAATTCTTCTGTCTAGCATTATATGAAGAAATCCCATTTCCAACGAAGACTTCAAAGAGGTCCAAATATCCACTTGCAGATTCTGCAAAAAGAGTGTTTCAAAACCGCTCCATGAAAAGGAATGTTGAACTCTGTGAGTTGAATGCAAACATCACAACTCAGTTTCTGAGAATGCTTCTGACTAGATTTTATGGTAAGATATTTCCTTTTCTACCGTAGGCTTCAATGCCCTCTAAATACACCCTTGCAAATTCTACAAAGAGACTGTTTCATAACTGCTCTATAGGAAGAAAGGTTCAACACTGTGAGTTGAATGCAGAGATCACAACGTGGTTTCTGCGAATGATTCTTTGTAGTTTTTACATGAAGATATTTCGTTGTCAACCGTAGGCTTCAAAGCACTCAAAGTATTCACTTGGAACTTTTACAAAAAGAGTGTTAGAAAACTGCTCTTTCCAAAGTAAGGTTCAACTCTGTGAGTTGAATGCACACATAACAATCAAGAAGTTTCTGAGAATTCTTCTGTCCTGGTTTATATGAAAAAATCCCGTTTCCAACGAAGGCCTCAAAGACGTTTAAATATCCACTTGCAGACTTCACAAACAGAGGGTTTCCAAACTGCTCTATGAAAAGAAAGGTTAAACTCTGTGAGTTTAATACACACATCACAAAGCAGTTTGCTGAGAATGATACTGTCTAGTTTTTATACGAAGATATTTCCTTTCTACCATTGGCGTCAAAGCGCTAGAATTCTCCACTTGCAAATTCCACAAAAAGAGTGTTTCCAATCTGCTCTGTCTAAAGGAAGGTTCAACTCTGTGAGTTGAATACACACACACAAAGGAAGCTACTGAGAATTCTTTTGTCAAGAATTATAAGAAGAAATCCCGTTTCCAACGAAGGCCTCAAAGAGTTCCAAATATCCACTTGCACACTGCAAAAACTAAGTTTTTCCAAACTGCTCTATGCAAAGAAATGTTCAACTCTGTGAGTTTAATTCACACATCACAAAGCAGTTTCTGAGAATGATTACTGTCTAGTTTTTATACGAAAGATATTTCCTTTTGTACCATTGGCCTCATACTGCTAGAATTTTCCACTTGCAAATTCCACAAAAAGAGTGTTTCCAATCCGCTCTGTCTAAAGGAAGGTTCAACTCTCTGATTTGAATACATACATCCCAAAAGAAGTTCCTGAGAATTCTTCTGTCTAGCATTATGTGAAGAAATCCCGTTTCCAACGAAAGCCTCAAAGAGGTCCAAATATCCAGTTGCAGAATTTACAAACTGACTGTTTCCAAACTCATCTATGAAAAGAAAGGTTAAACTCTGGGAGTTGAATGCCCATATCACAAAGTAGTTCCTGAGAATGATTCTGTATAGTTTTCATACGAAGATATTTCCTTTTCCACCAATGGCCTCAAAGTGCTTGAAATCTCCCCTTGCAAATTCCACAGACAAGTGTTTCAAATCTGCACTGTCTAAAGGATGGTTCAACCCTGTGAGTTGAATACACACACACAGAAAAAAATTCACTGAGAATTCTATTGTCTATCATTACACGAAGAAATCCCGTTTACTACGAAGGCCTCAAAGAGGTCCAAATATCCAGCTGCAGACATTATAAACTGAGTGTTTCCAAAGTGCTCTATGAAAAGAAGTGTTAAACACTGTGAGTTCAATGCACACATCCCAAAGCAGTTTCTGAGAATGATTCCGTCTATTTTTTCTACGAAGATATTTCCTTTTCTGCCGTTGGCCTCAAAGCGCTTGAAATCTCCACTTGCAAATTCCACAAAAAGAGAGTTTCAAATCTGCTCTGTCTAAAGGAAGGTTCAACTCTGTGAGTTGAATACACACCACAAAAAGAAGTTACTGAGAATTCTTCTGTCTAGCATTATATGAAAAATCCCGTTTCCAACGAAGGCCACAAAGAGGTCCAAATATCCACTTGCAGATTCTGCAAAAAGAGTGTTTCCAAACTGCTCTATGAAAAGAAACGTTAAACTCTGTGAGTTGAACGCAAACATCACAAAGTAGTTTCTGAGAATGACTCCGTCTAGTTTTTATACGAAGAATATTACCTTTCCTAACATTCACTTCAAAGCGCTTGAAGTCTCCCCCTGAAAATTCCACAAAAAGTGTTTCCAATCTGCTCCGCCTAAAGGAAGCTTCAACTCTGTGAGTTGAATACCCACAACCCAAAGAAGTTACTGAGAATTCTTCTGTCTAGCATTATATGAAGAAATCCCGTTTCCAACGAAGGCCTCAAATACATCCAAATATCCAGTTGCTGACTTTACAAACTGAGTGTTTCCAAACTGCTCTATGAAAAGAAAGGTTAAACACTGTGAGTTGAACACACACGTACCAAAGTAGTTTCTGAGAATGATTCTGTCTAGTTTGCATACGAAGATATTTCCTTTTCTACCATTGGCCTCAAAGCTCTGAAATCTCCACTTGCAAATTCCACAAAAAGAGAGTTTCAAATCTGCTGTTTCTAAAGGAAAGTTCAACTCTGAGAGTTGAATACACACCAGAAAAAGCAGTTACTGAGAAGTCTTCTGTCTAGCATTATATGAAGAAATCCCATTTCCAACGAAGACTTCAAAGAGGTCCAAATATCCACTTGCAGATTCTGCAAAAAGAGTGTTTCGAAACAACTGTATGAAAAGAAAGGTTAAACACTGTGAGTTGAACGCACACATTGCAAAGCGGTTTCTGAGAATGATTCCGTCTAATTATTATACGAAGGTATTTCCTTTTCTATCATTGGCCTCAAAGCGCTTGATACCTCCACCTGAAAATTCCACAAAAAGAGTGTTTCCAATCTACTCTGTCTAAAGGAACGTTCAACTCTGTGAGTTGAATACACACACACAGAAAGAATTCACTGAGAATTCTTCTGTCTGGCATTACATGAAGAAATCCCGTTTCCAACGAAGGCCTCAAAGAGGTCCAAATATCCACTTGCAGATTCTGCAAAAAGAGTGTTTCAAAACCGCTCCCATTAAAAGGAATGTTGAACTCTGTGAGTTGAATGCAAACATCACAACTCAGTTGCTGAGAATGCTTCTGACTAGATTTTATGGTAAGATATTTCCTTTTCTACCGTAGGCTTCAATGCCCTCTAAATACACCCTTGCAAATTCTACAAAGAGACTGTTTCATAACTGCTCTATAGGAAGAAAGGTTCAACTCTGTGAGTTGAATGCAGAGATCACAACGTGGTTTCTGCGAATGATTCTTTGTAGTTTTTACATGAAGATATTTCGTTGTCAACCGTAGGCTTCAAAGCACTCAAAGTATTCACTTGGAACTTTTACAAAAAGAGTGTTAGAAAACTGCTCTTTCCAAAGTAAGGTTCAACTCTGTGAGTTGAATGCACACATAACAATCAAGAAGTTTCTGAGAATTCTTCTGTCCTGGTTTATATGAAAAAATCCCGTTTCCAACGAAGGCCTCAAAGACGTTTAAATATCCACTTGCAGACTTCACAAACAGATTGTTTCCAAACTGCTCTATGAAAAGAAAGGTTAAACTCTGTGAGTTGAATGCACACATCACAAAGTAGCTTCTGAGAATGATACTGTCTAGTTTTTATACGAAGATATTTCCTTTCTACCATTGGCGTCAAAGCGCTAGAATTCTCCACTTGCAAATTCCACAAAAAGAGTGTTTCCAATCTGCTCTGTCTAAAGGAAGGTTCAACTCTGTGAGTTGAATACACACACACAAAGAAGCTACTGAGAATTCTTTTGTCAAGAATTATAAGAAGAAATCCCGTTTCCAACGAAGGCCTCAAAGAGTTCCAAATATCCACTTGCACACTGCACAAACTAAGTCTTTCCAAACTGCTCTATGCAAAGAAATGTTCAACTCTGTGAGTTTAATACGCACATCACAAAGCAGTTTCTGAGAATGATACTGTCTAGTTTTTATACGAAGATATTTCCTTTTGTACCATTGGCCTCATACTGCTAGAATTTTCCACTTGCAAATTCCACAAAAAGAGTGTTTCCAATCCGCTCTGTCTAAAGGAAGGTTCAACTCTCTGATTTGAATACATACATCCCAAAGAAGTTACTGAGAATTCTTCTGTCTAGCATTATGTGAAGAAATCCCGTTTCCAACGAAAGCCTCAAAGAGGTCCAAATATCCAGTTGCAGAATTTACAAACTGACTGTTTCCAAACTCATCTATGAAAAGAAAGGTTAAACTCTGTGAGTTGAATGCACATATCACAAAGTAGTTCCTGAGAATTATTCTGTCTAGTTTTTATACGAAGATATTTCCTTTTCCACCAATGGCCTCAAAGTGCTTGAAATCTCCCCTTGCAAATTCCACAGACAAGTGTTTCAAATCTGCACTGTCTAAAGGAAGGTTCAACCCTGTGAGTTGAATACACACACACAGAAAAAAATTCACTGAGAATTCTATTGTCTATCATTACACGAAGAAATCCCGTTTACCACGAAGGCCTCAAAGAGGTCCAAATATCCAGCTGCAGACATTACAACCTGAGTGTTTCCAAAGTGCTCTATGAAAAGAAGTGTTAAACACTGTGAGTTCAATGCACACATCCCAAAGCAGTTTCTGAGAATGATTCCGTCTATTTTTTCTACGAAGATATTTCCTTTTCTGCCGTTGGCCTCAAAGCGCTTGAAATCTCCACTTGCAAATTCCACAAAGAGAGAGTTTCAAATCTGCTCTGTCTAAAGGAAGGTTCAACTCTGTGAGTTGAATACACACCACAAAAAGAAGTTACTGAGAATTCTTCTGTCTAGCATTATATGAAAAATCCCGTTTCCAACGAAGGCCACAAAGAGGTCCAAATATCCACTTGCAGATTCTGCAAAAAGAGTGTTTCCAAACTGCTCTATGAAAAGAAACGTTAAACTCTGTGAGTTGAACGCAAACATCACAAAGTAGTTTCTGAGAATGACTCCGTCTAGTTTTTATACGAAGATATTTCCTTTCCTACCATTCACTTCAAAGCGCTTGAAGTCTCCCCCTGAAAATTCCACAAAAAGTGTTTCCAATCTGCTCCGCCTAAAGGAAGCTTCAACTCTGTGAGTTGAATACCCACAACCCAAAGAAGTTACTGAGAATTCTTCTGTCTAGCATTATATGAAGAAATCCCGTTTCCAACGAAGGCCTCAAATACATCCAAATATCCAGTTGCTGACTTTACAAACTGAGTGTTTCCAAACTGCTCTATGAAAAGAAAGGTTAAACACTGTGAGTTGAACACACACGTACCAAAGTAGTTTCTGAGAATGATTCTGTCTAGTTTGCATACGAAGATATTTCCTTTTCTACCATTGGCCTCAAAGCTTTGAAATCTCCACTTGCAAATTCCACAAAAAGAGAGTTTCAACTCTGCTGTTTCTAAAGGAAAGTTCAACTCTGAGAGTTGAATACACACCAGAAAAAGCAGTTACTGAGAAGTCTTCTGTCTAGCATTATATGAAGATATCCCATTTCCAACGAAGACTTCAAAGAGGTCCAAATATCCACTTGCAGATTCTGCAAAAAGAGTGTTTCGAAACAACTGTATGAAAAGAAAGGTTAAACACTGTGAGTTGAACGCACACATTGCAAAGCAGTTTCTGAGAATGATTCCGTCTAATTATTATACGAAGGTATTTCCTTTTCTATCATTGGCCTCAAAGCGCTTGATACCTCCACCTGAAAATTCCACAAAAAGAGTGTTTCCAATCTACTCTGTCTAAAGGAACGTTCAACTCTGTGAGTTGAATACACACACACAGAAAGAATTCACTGAGAATTCTTCTGTCTGGCATTACATGAAGAAATCCCGTTTCCAACGAAGGCCTCAAAGAGGTCCAAATATCCACTTGCAGATTCTGCAAAAAGAGTGTTTCAAAACCGCTCCATTAAAAGGAATGTTGAACTCTGTGAGTTGAATGCAAACATCACAACTCAGTTGCTGAGAATGCTTCTGACTAGATTTTATGGTAAGATATTTCCTTTTCTACCGTAGGCTTCAATGCCCTCTAAATACACCCTTGCAAATTCTACAAAGAGACTGTTTCATAACTGCTCTATAGGAAGAAAGGTTCAACTCTGTGAGTTGAATGCAGAGATCACAACGTGGTTTCTGCGAATGATTCTTTGTAGTTTTTACAGGAAGATATTTCGTTGTCAACCGTAGGCTTCAAAGCACTCAAAGTATTCACTTGGAACTTTTACAAAAAGAGTGTTAGAAAACTGCTCTTTCCAAAGTAAGGTTCAACTCTGTGAGTTGAATGCACACATAACAATCAAGAAGTTTCTGAGAATTCTTCTGTCCTGGTTTATATGAAAAAATCCCGTTTCCAACGAAGGCCTCAAAGACGTTTAAATATCCACTTGCAGACTTCACAAACAGAGGGTTTCCAAACTGCTCTATGAAAAGAAAGGTTAAACTCTGTGAGTTGAACGCACACATCACAAAGTAGCTTCTGAGAATGATACTGTCTAGTTTTTATACGAAGATATTTCCTTTCTACCATTGGCGTCAAAGCGCTAGAATTCTCCACTTGCAAATTCCACAAAAAGAGTGTTTCCAATCTGCTCTGTCTAAAGGAAGGTTCAACTCTGTGAGTTGAATACACATACACAAAGAAGCTACTGAGAATTCTTTTTTCAAGAAATTATAAGAAGAAATCCCGTTTCCAACGAAGGCCTCAAAGAGTTCCAAATATCCACTTGCACACTGCACAAACTAAGTCTTTCCAAACTGCTCTATGCAAAGAAATGTTCAACTCTGTGAGTTTAATACACACATCACAAAGCAGTTTCTGAGAATGGTACTGTCTAGTTTTTATACGAAGATATTTCCTTTTGTACCATTGGCCTCATACTGCTAGAATTTTCCACTTGCAAATTCCACAAAAAGAGTGTTTCCAATCCGCTCTGTCTAAAGGAAGGTTCAACTCTCTGATTTGAATACATACATCCCAAAAGAAGTTACTGAGAATTCTTCTGTCTAGCATTATGTGAAGAAATCCCGTTTCCAACGAAAGCCTCAAAGAGGTCCAAATATCCAGTTGCAGAATTTACAAACTGACTGTTTCCAAACTCATCTATGAAAAGAAAGGTTGAACTCTGTGAGTTGAATGCACATATCACAAAGTAGTTCCTGAGAATGATTCTGTCTAGTTTTCATACGAAGATATTTCCTTTTCCACCAGTGGCCTCAAAGTGCTTGAAATCTCCCCTTGCAAATTCCACAGACAAGTGTTTCAAATCTGCACTGTCTAAAGGAAGGTTCAACCCTGTGAGTTGAATACACACACACAGAAAAAAATTCACTGAGAATTCTATTGTCTATCATTACACGAAGAAATCCCGTTTACTACGAAGGCCTCAAAGAGGTCCAAATATCCAGCTGCAGACATTACAAACTGAGTGTTTCCAAAGTGCTCTATGAAAAGAAGTGTTAAACACTGTGAGTTCAATGCACACATCCCAAAGCAGTTTCTGAGAATGATTCCGTCTATTTTTTCTACAAAGATATTTCCTTTTCTACCGTTGGCCTCAAAGCGCTTGAAATCTCCACTTGCAAATTCCACAAAAAGAGAGTTTCAAATCTGCTCTGTCTAAAGGAAGGTTCCACTCTGTGAGTTGAATACACACCACAAAAAGAAGTTACTGAGAATTCTTCTGTCTAGCATTATATGAAAAATCCCGTTTCCAACGAAGGCCACAAAGAGGTCCAAATATCCACTTGCAGATTCTGCAAAAAGAGTGTTTCCAAACTGCTCTATGAAAAGAAACGTTAAACTCTGTGAGTTGAACGCAAACATCACAAAGTAGTTTCTGAGAATGACTCCGTCTAGTTTTTATACGAAGATATTTCCTTTTCTACCATTCACTTCAAAGCGCTTGAAGTCTCCCCCTGAAAATTCCACAAAAAGTGTTTCCAATCTGCTCCGCCTAAAGGAAGCTTCAACTCTGTGAGTTGAATACCCACAACCCAAAGAAGTTACTGAGAAATTCTTCTGTCTAGCATTATATGAAGAAATCCCGTTTCCAACGAAGGCCTCAAATACATCCAAATATCCAGTTGCTGACTTTACAAACTGAGTGTTTCCAAACTGCTCTATGAAAAGAAAGGTTAAACACTGTGAGTTGAACACACACGTACCAAAGTAGTTTCTGAGAATGATTCTGTCTAGTTTGCATACGAAGATATTTCCTTTTCTACCATTGTCCTCAAAGCTCTGAAAACTCCACTTGCAAATTCCACAAAAAGAGAGTTTCAAATCTGCTGTTTCTAAAGGAAAGTTCAACTCTGAGAGTTGAATACACACCAGAAAAAGCAGTTACTGAGAAGTCTTCTGTCTAGCATTATATGAAGAAATCCCATTTCCAACGAAGACTTCAAAGAGGTCCAAATATCCACTTGCAGATTCTGCAAAAAGAGTGTTTCGAAACAACTGTATGAAAAGGAAAGGTTAAACACTGTGAGTTGAACGCACACATTGCAAAGCAGTTTCTGAGAATGATTCCGTCTAATTATTATACGAAGGTATTTCCTTTTCTATCATTGGCCTCAAAGCGCTTGATACCTCCACCTGAAAATTCCACAAAAAGAGTGTTTCCAATCTACTCTGTCTAAAGGAACGTTCAACTCTGTGAGTTGAATACACACACACAGAAAGAATTCACTGAGAATTCTTCTGTCTGGCATTACATGAAGAAATCCCGTTTCCAACGAAGGCCTCAAAGAGGTCCAAATATCCACTTGCAGATTCTGCAAAAAGAGTGTTTCAAAACCGCTCCCATTAAAAGGAATGTTGAACTCTGTGAGTTGAATGCAAACATCACAACTCAGTTGCTGAGAATGCTTCTGACTAGATTTTATGGTAAGATATTTCCTTTTCTACCGTAGGCTTCAATGCCCTCTAAATACACCCTTGCAAATTCTACAAAGAGACTGTTTCATAACTGCTCTATAGGAAGAAAGGTTCAACTCTGTGAGTTGAATGCAGAGATCACAACGTGGTTTCTGCGAATGATTCTTTGTAGTTTTTACAGGAAGATATTTCGTTGTCAACCGTAGGCTTCAAAGCACTCAAAGTATTCACTTGGAACTTTTACAAAAAGAGTGTTAGAAAACTGCTCTTTCCAAAGTAAGGTTCAACTCTGTGAGTTGAATGCACACATAACAATCAAGAAGTTTCTGAGAATTCTTCTGTCCTGGTTTATATGAAAAAATCCCGTTTCCAACGAAGGCCTCAAAGACGTTTAAATATCCACTTCCAGACTTCACAAACAGAGGGTTTCCAAACTGCTCTATGAAAAGAAAGGTTAAACTCTGTGAGTTTAATACACACATCACAAATCAGTTTCTGAGAATGATACTGTCTAGTTTTTATACGAAGATATTTCCTTTTGTACCATTGGCCTCATACTGCTAGAATTTTCCACTTGCAAATTCCACAAAAAGAGTGTTTCCAATCCGCTCTGTCTAAAGGAAGGTTCAACTCTCTGATTTGAATACATACATCCCAAAAGAAGTTACTGAGAATTCTTCTGTCTAGCATTATGTGAAGAAATCCCGTTTCCAACGAAAGCCTCAAAGAGGTCCAAATATCCAGTTGCAGAATTTACAAACTGACTGTTTCCAGACTCATCTATGAAAAGAAAGGTTAAACTCTGGGAGTTGAATGCACATATCACAAAGTAGTTCCTGAGAATGATTCTGTCTAGTTTTTATACGGAAGATATTTCCTTTTCCACCAATGGCCTCAAAGTGCTTGAAATCTCCCCTTGCAAATTCCACAGACAAGTGTTTCAAATCTGCACTGTCTAAAGGAAGGTTCAACCCTGTGAGTTGAATACACACACACAGAAAAAAATTCACTGAGAATTCTATTGTCTATCATTACACGAAGAAATCCCGTTTACTACGAAGGCCTCAAAGAGGTCCAAATATCCAGCTGCAGACATTACAAACTGAGTGTTTCCAAAGTGCTCTATGAAAAGAAGTGTTAAACACTGTGAGTTCAATGCACACATCCCAAAGCAGTTTCTGAGAATGATTCCGTCTATTTTTTCTACGAAGATATTTCCTTTTCTACCGTTGGCCTCAAAGCGCTTGAAATCTCCACTTGCAAATTCCACAAAAAGAGAGTTTCAAATCTGCTCTGTCTAAAGGAAGGTTCAACTCTGTGAGTTGAATACACACCACAAAAAGAAGTTACTGAGAATTCTTCTGTCTAGCATTATATGAAAAATCCCGTTTCCAACGAAGGCCACAAAGAGGTCCAAATATCCACTTGCAGATTCTGCAAAAAGAGTGTTTCCAAACTGCTCTATGAAAAGAAACGTTAAACTCTGTGAGTTGAACGCAAACATCACAAAGTAGTTTCTGAGAATGACTCCGTCTAGTTTTTATACGAAGATATTTCCTTTCCTACCATTCACTTCAAAGCGCTTGAAGTCTCCCCCTGAAAATTCCACAAAAAGTGTTTCCAATCTGCTCCGCCTAAAGGAAGCTTCAACTTCTGTGACTTGAATACCCACAACCCAAAGAAGTTACTGAGAATGTTTCTGTCTAGCATTACATGAAGAAATCCCGTTTCCAACGAAGGCCTCAAATACATCCAGATATCCAGTTGCTGACTTTACAAACTGAGTGTTTCCAAACTGCTCTATGAAAGGAAAGGTTAAACACTGTGAGTTGAACAGACACGTACCAAAGTAGTTTCTGAGAATGATTCTGTCTCGTTTGCATACGAAGATATTTCCTTTTCTACCATTGGCCTCAAAGCTTTGAAATCTCCACTTGCAAATTCCACAAAAAGAGAGTTTCAAATCTGCTGTTTCTAAAGGAAAGTTCAACTCTGAGAGTTGAATACACACCAGAAAAAGCAGTTACTGAGAAGTCTTCTGTCTAGCATTATATGAAGAAATCCCGTTTCCAACGAAGACTTCAAAGAGGTCCAAATATCCACTTGCAGATTCTGCAAAAAGAGTGTTTCGAAACAACTGTATGAAAAGAAAGGTTAAACGCTGTGAGTTGAAGGCACACATTGCAAAGCAGTTTCTGAGAATGATTCCGTCTAATTATTATACGAAGGTATTTCCTTTTCTATCATGGGCCTCAAAGCGCTTGATACCTCCACCTGAAACTTCCAGAAAAAGAGTGTTTCCAATCTACTCTGTCTAAAGGAACGTTCAACTCTGTGAGTTGAATACAAACACACAGAAAGAATTCACTGAGAGTTCTTCTGTCTGGCATTACATGAAGAAATCCCGTTTTCAACGAAGGCCTCAAAGAGGTCCAAATATCCACTTGCAGATTCTGCAAAAAGAGTGTTTCAAAACCGCTCCATGAAAAGGAATGTTGAACTCTGTGAGTTGAATGCAAACATCACAACTCAGTTTCTGAGAATGCTTCTGACTAGATTTTATGGTCAGATATTTCCTTTTCTACCGTAGGCTTCAATGCCCTCTAAATACACCCTTGCAAATTCTACAAAGAGACTGTTTAATAACTGCTCTATAGGAAGAAAGGTTGATCTCTGTGAGTTGAATGCAGAGATCACAACGTGGTTTCGGCGAATCATTCTTTGTAGTTTTTACATGAAGATATTTCGTTGTCTACCGTAGGCTTCAAAGCACTCAAAGTATTCACTTGGAACTTTTACAAGAAGAGTGTTAGAAAACTGCTCTTTCCAAAGTAAGGTTCAACTCTGTGAGTTGAATGCACACATAACAAACAAGAAGTTTCTGAGAATTCTTCTGTCCTGGTTTATATGAAAAAATCCCGTTTCCAACGAAGGCCTCAAAGACGTTTAAATATCCACTTGCAGACTTCACAAACAGAGTGTTTCCAAACTGCTCTATGAAAACAAAGGTTAAACTCTGTGAGTTGAACGCACACATCACAAAGTAGTTTCTGAGAATGATACTGTCCAGTTTTTATACGAAGATATTTCCTTTCCTACCATTGGCGTCAAAGGGCTCGAATTCTCCACTTGCAAATTCCTCAAAAAGAGGGTTTCCAATCTGCTCTGCCTAAAGGCAGGTTCAACTCTGTGAGTTGAATACACACACACAAGGAAGCTACTGAGAATTCTTTTGTCAAGAATTATAAGAAGAAATCCCGTTTCCAACGAAGGCCTCAAAGAGTTCCAAATATCCACTTGCACACTGTACAAAATAAGTCTTTCCAAACTGCTCTATGCAAAGAAATGTTCAACCTTGTGAGTTTAATGCACACATCACAAAGCAGTTTCTGAGAATGATTCCCTCTAGTTTTTATAGGAAGATAGCCTTTTCTACCATTGGCCTCAAGGCTCTTGGAATCTCCACCTGAAAATTCCGCAAAAAGCGTGTTTCCAATGCGCTCTGTCTAAAGGAAGGTTCAACTCTCTGAGTTGAATACATACATCCCAAAAGAAGTTACTGCGAATTCTTCTGTCTAGCATTATGTGAAGAAATCCCGTTTCCAACGAAAGCCTCAAAGAGGTCCTAATATCCAGTTGCAGAATTTACAAACTGACTGTTTCCAAACTCATCTATGAAAAGAAAGGTTAAACCCTGTGAGTTGAATGCACATATCACAAAGTAGTTCCTGAGAATGATTCTGTCTAGTTTTTATACGAAGATATTTCCTTTTCCACCAATGGCCTCAAAGTGCTTGAAATCTCCCCTTGCAAATTCCACAGAAAAGTGTTTCAAATCTGCACTGTCTGAAGGAAGGTTCAACCCTGTGAGTTGAATACACACACACAGAAAAAAATTCACTGAGAATTCTATTGTCTATCATTACACGAAGAAATCCCGTTTACTACGAAGGCCTCAAAGAGGTCCAAATATCTAGCTGCAGACATTACAAACTGAGTGTTTCCAAAGTGCTCTATGAAAAGAAGTGTTAAACACTGTGAGTTCAATGCACACATCCCAAAGCAGTTTCTGAGAATGATTCCGTCTATTTTTTCTACGAAGATATTTCCTTTTCTACCGTTGGCCTCAAAGCGCTTGAAATCTCCACTTGCAAATTCCACGAAAAGAGAGTTTCAAATCTGCTCTGTCTAAAGGAAGGTTCAACTCTGTGAGTTGAATACACACCACAAAAAGAAGTTACTGAGAATTCTTCTGTCTAACATTATATGAAAAATCCAGTTTCCAACGAAGGCCACAAAGAGGTCAAAATATCCACATGCAGATTCTGCAAAAAGAGTGTTTCCAAACTGCTCTATGAAAAGAAACGTTAAACTCTGTGAATTGAACGAAAACATCACAAAGTAGTTTCTGAGAATGACTCCGTCTAGTTTTTATACGAAGATATTTCCTTTCCTACCATTCACTTCAAAGCGCTTGAAGTCTCCCCCTGAAAATTCCACAAAAAGTGTTTCCAATCTGCTCCGCCTAAAGGAAGCTTCAACTCTGTGAGTTGAATACCCACAACCCAATGAAGTTACTGAGAATTCTTCTGTCTAGCATTATATGAAGAAATCCCGTTTCCAACGAAGGCCTCAAATACATCCAAATATCCAGTTGCTGACTTTACAAACTGAGTGTTTCCAAACTGCTCTATGAAAAGAAAGGTTAAACACTGTGAGTTGAACACACACGTACCAAAGTAGTTTCTGAGAATGATTCTGTCTGGTTTGCATACGAAGATATTTCCTTTTCTACCAGTGGCCTCAAAGCTCTGAAATCTCCACTTGCAAATTCCACAAAAAGAGAGTTTCAAATCTGCTGTTTCTAAAGGAAAGTTCAACTCTGAGAGTTGAATACACACCAGAAAAAGCAGTTACTGAGAAGTCTTCTGTCTAGCATTATATGAAGAAATCCCATTTCCAACGAAGACTTCAAAGAGGTCCAAATATCCACTTGCAGATTCTGCAAAAAGAGTGTTTCGAAACAACTGTATGAAAAGAAAGGTTAAACACTGTGAGTTGAACGCACACATTGCAAAGCAGTTTCTGAGAATGATTCCGTCTAATTATTATACGAAGGTATTTCCTTTTCTATCATTGGCCTCAAAGCGCTTGATACCTCCACCTGAAAATTCCACAAAAAGAGTGTTTCCAATCTACTCTGTCTAAAGGAACGTTCAACTCTGTGAGTTGAATACACACACACAGAAAGAATTCACTGAGAATTCTTCTGTCTGGCATTACATGAAGAAATCCCGTTTCCAACGAAGGCCTCAAAGAGGTCCAAATATCCACTTGCAGATTCTGCAAAAAGAGTGTTTCAAAACCGCTCCCATTAAAAGGAATGTTGAACTCTGTGAGTTGAATGCAAACATCACAACTCAGTTGCTGAGAATGCTTCTGACTAGATTTTATGGTAAGATATTTCCTTTTCTACCGTAGGCTTCAATGCCCTCTAAATACACCCTTGCAAATTCTACAAAGAGACTGTTTCATAACTGCTCTATAGGAAGAAAGGTTGAACTCTGTGAGTTGAATGCAGAGATCACAACGTGGTTTCTGCGAATGATTCTTTGTAGTTTTTACATGAAGATATTTCGTTGTCAACCGTAGGCTTCAAAGCACTCAAAGTATTCACTTGGAACTTTTACAAAAAGAGTGTTAGAAAACTGCTCTTTCCAAAGTAAGGTTCAACTCTGTGAGTTGAATGCACACATAACAATCAAGAAGTTTCTGAGAATTCTTCTGTCCTGGTTTATATGAAAAAATCCCGTTTCCAACGAAGGCCTCAAAGACGTTTAAATATCCACTTGCAGACTTCACAAACAGAGGGTTTCCAAACCGCTCTATGAAAAGAAAGGTTAAACTCTGTGAGTTGAACGCACACATCACAAAGTAGCTTCTGAGAATGATACTGTCTAGTTTTTATACGAAGATATTTCCTTTTGTACCATTGGCCTCATACTGCTAGAAATTTCCACTTGCAAATTCCACAAAAAGAGTGTTTCCAATCTGCTCTGTCTAAAGGAAGGTTCAACTCTGTGAGTTGAGTACACACACACAAAGAAGCTACTGAGAATTCTTTTGTCAAGAATTATAAGAAGAAATCCCGTTTCCAAAGAAGACCTCAAAGAGTTCCAAATATCCTCTTGCACACTACACAAACTAAGTCTTTCCAAACTGCTCTAGGAAAAGAAATGTTCAACTCTGTGAGTTTAATACACACATCACAAAGCAGTTTCTGAGAATGATACTGTCTAGTTTTTATACGAAGATATTTCCTTTTGTACCATTGGCCTCATACTGCTAGAATTTTCCACTTGCAAATTCCACAAAAAGAGTGTTTCCAATCCGCTCTGTCTAAAGGAAGGTTCAACTCTCTGATTTGAATACATACATCCCAAAAGAAGTTACTGAGAATTCTTCTGTCTAGCATTATGTGAAGAAATCCCGTTTCCAACGAAAGCCTCAAAGAGGTCCAAATATCCAGTTGCAGAATTTACAAACTGACTGTTTCCAAACTCATCTATGAAAAGAAAGGTTAAACCCTGTGAGTTGAATGCACATATCACAAAGTAGTTCCTGAGAATGATTCTGTCTAGTTTTTATACGAAGATATTTCCTTTTCCACCAATGGCCTCAAAATGCTTGAAATCTCCCCTTGCAATCCCACAGAAAAGTGTTTCAAATCTGCACTGTCTGAAGGAAGGTTCAACCCTGTGAGTTGAATACACACACACAGAAAAAAATTCACTGAGAATTCTATTGTCTATCATTACACGAAGAAATCCCGTTTACTACGAAGGCCTCAAAGAGGTCCAAATATCCAGCTGCAGACATTACAAACTGAGTGTTTCCAAAGTGCTCTATGAAAAGAAGTGTTAAACACTGTGAGTTCAATGCACACATCCCAAAGCAGTTTCTGAGAATGATTCCGTCTATTTTTTCTACGAAGATATTTCCTTTTCTACCGTTGGCCCCAAAGCGCTTGAAATCTCCACTTGCAAATTCCACGAAAAGAGAGTTTCAAATCTGCTC
The DNA here is from genome assembly GCF_000001405.40 of Homo sapiens. Taxonomy (NCBI): domain Eukaryota; kingdom Metazoa; phylum Chordata; class Mammalia; order Primates; family Hominidae; genus Homo; species Homo sapiens. The sequence goes on along the minus strand of NC_000003.12, from coordinate 93,228,264 downwards.
TGTCTAAAGGAAGGTTCAACTCTCTGAGTTGAATACACACCACAAAAAGAAGTTACTGAGAATTCTTCTGTCTAGCATTATATGAAAAATCCCGTTTCCAACGAAGGCCACAAAGAGGTCCAAATATCCACTTGCAGATTCTGCAAAAAGAGTGTTTCCAAACTGCTCTATGAAAAGAAACGTTAAACTCTGTGAGTTGAACGCAAACATCACAAAGTAGTTTCTGAGAATGACTCCGTCTAGTTTTTATACGAAGATATTTCCTTTCCTACCATTCACTTCAAAGCGCTTGAAGTCTCCCCCTGAAAATTCCACAAAAAGTGTTTCCAATCTGCTCCGCCTAAAGGAAGCTTCAACTCTGTGACTTGAATACCCACAACCCAAAGAAGTTACTGAGAATTCTTCTGTCTAGCATTATATGAAGAAATCCCGTTTCCAACGAAGGCCTCAAATACATCCAAATATCCAGTTGCTGACTTTACAAACTGAGTGTTTCCAAACTGCTCTATGAAAAGAAAGGTTAAACACTGTGAGTTGAACACACACGTACCAAAGTAGTTTCTGAGAATGATTCTGTCTAGTTTGCATACGAAGATATTTCCTTTTCTACCATTGGCCTCAAAGCTCTGAAATCTCCACTTGCAAATTCCACAAAAAGAGAGTTTCAAATCAGCTGTTTCTAAAGGAAAGTTCAACTCTGAGAGTTGAATACACACCAGAAAAAGCAGTTACTGAGAAGTCTTCTGTCTAGCATTATATGAAGAAATCCCATTTCCAACGAAGACTTCAAAGAGGTCCAAATATCCACTTGCAGATTCTGCAAAAAGAGTGTTTCGAAACAACTGTATGAAAAGAAAGGTTAAACACTGTGAGTTGAACGCACACATTGCAAAGCAGTTTCTGAGAATGATTCCGTCTAATTATTATACGAAGGTATTTCCTTTTCTATCATTGGCCCCAAAGCGCATGATACCTCCACCTGAAAATTCCACAAAAAGAGTGTTTCCAATCTACTCTGTCTAAAGGAACGTTCAACTCTGTGAGTTGAATACACACACACAGAAAGAATTCACTGAGAATTCTTCTGTCTGGCATTACATGAAGAAATCCCGTTTCCAACGAAGGCCTCAAAGAGGTCCAAATATCCACTTGCAGATTCTGCAAAAAGAGTGTTTCAAAACCGCTCCATTAAAAGGAATGTTGAACTCTGTGAGTTGAATGCAAACATCACAACTCAGTTTCTGAGAATGCTTCTGACTAGATTTTATGGTAAGATATTTCCTTTTCTACCGTAGGCTTCAATGCCCTCTAAATACACCCTTGCAAATTCTACAAAGAGACTGTTTCATAACTGCTCTATAGGAAGAAAGGTTCAACTCTGTGAGTTGAATGCAGAGATCACAACGTGGTTTCTGCGAATGATTCTTTGTAGTTTTTACAGGAAGATATTTCATTGTCAACCGTAGGCTTCAAAGCACTCAAAGTATTCACTTGGAACTTTTACAAAAAGAGTGTTAGAAAACTGCTCTTTCCAAAGTAAGGTTCAACTCTGTGAGTTGAATGCACACATAAGAATGAAGAAGTTTCTGAGAATTCTTCTGTCCTGGTTTATATGAAAAAATCCCGTTTCCAACGAAGGCCTCAAAGACGTTTAAATATCCACTTGCAGACTTCACAAACAGAGGGTTTCCAAACCGCTCTATGAAAAGAAAGGTTAAACTCTGTGAGTTGAACGCACACATCACAAAGTAGCTTCTGAGAATGATTACTGTCTAGTTTTTATACGAAGATATTTCCTTTCTACCATTGGCGTCAAAGCGCTAGAATTCTCCACTTGCAAATTCCACAAAAAGAGTGTTTCCAATCTGCTCTGTCTAAAGGAAGGTTCAACTCTGTGAGTTGAATACACACACACAAAGAAGCTACTGAGAATTCTTTTGTCAAGAATTATAAGAAGAAATCCCGTTTCCAACGAAGGCCTCAAAGAGTTCCAAATATCCACTTGCACACTGCACAAACTAAGTCTTTCCAAACTGCTCTATGCAAAGAAATGTTCAACTCTGTGAGTTTAATACACACATCACAAAGCAGTTTCTGAGAATGATACTGTCTAGTTTTTATACGAAGATATTTCCTTTTGTACCATTGGCCTCATACTGCTAGAATTTTCCACTTGCAAATTCCACAAAAAGAGTGTTTCCAATCCGCTCTGTCTAAAGGAAGGTTCAACTCTCTGATTTGAATACATACATCCCAAAAGAAGTTCCTGAGAATTCTTCTGTCTAGCATTATGTGAAGAAATCACGTTTCCAACGAAAGCCTCAAAGAGGTCCAAATATCCAGTTGCAGAATTTACAAACTGACTGTTTCCAAACTCATCTATGAAAAGAAAGGTTAAACTCTGTGAGTTGAATGCACATATCACAAAGTAGTTCCTGAGAATGATTCTGTCTAGTTTTCATACGAAGATATTTCCTTTTCCACCAATGGCCTCAAAGTGCTTGAAATCTCCCCTTGCAAATTCCACAGACAAGTGTCTCAAATCTGCACTGTCTAAAGGAAGGTTCAACCCTGTGAGTTGAATACACACACACAGAAAAAAATTCACTGAGAATTCTATTGTCTATCATTACACGAAGAAATCCCGTTTACTACGAAGGCCTCAAAGAGGTCCAAATATCCAGCTGCAGACATTACAACCTGAGTGTTTCCAAAGTGCTCTAGGAAAAGAAGTGTTAAACACTGTGAGTTCAATGCACACATCCCAAAGCAGTTTCTGAGAATGATTCCGTCTATTTTTTCTACGAAGATATTTCCTTTTCTGCCGTTGGCCTCAAAGCGCTTGAAATCTCCACTTGCAAATTCCACAAAAAGAGAGTTTCAAATCTGCTCTGTCTAAAGGAAGGTTCAACTCTGTGAGTTGAATACACACCACAAAAAGAAGTTACTGAGAATTCTTCTGTCTAGCATTATATGAAAAATCCCGTTTCCAACGAAGGCCACAAAGAGGTCCAAATATCCACTTGCAGATTCTGCAAAAACAGTGTCTCCAAACTGCTCTATGAAAAGAAACGTTAAACTCTGTGAGTTGAACGCAAACATCACAAAGTAGTTTCTGAGAATGACTCCGTCTAGTTTTTATACGAAGATATTTCCTTTTCTACCGTTGGCCTGAAAGCGCTTGAAGTCTCCCCCTGAAAATTCCACAAAAAGTGTTTCCAATCTGCTCCGCCTAAAGGAAGCTTCAACTCTGTGAGTTGAATACCCACAACCCAAAGAAGTTACTGAGAATTCTTCTGTCTAGCATTATATGAAGAAATCCCGTTTCCAACGAAGGCCTCAAATACATCCAAATATCCAGTGGCTGACTTTACAAACTGAGTGTTTCCAAACTGCTCTATGAAAGGAAAGGTTAAACACTGTGAGTTGAACACACACGTACCAAAGTAGTTTCTGAGAATGATTCTGTCTAGTTGGCATACGAAGATATTTCCTTTTCTACCATTGGCCTCAAAGCTTTGAAATCTCCACTTGCAAATTCCACAAAAAGAGAGTTTCAAATCTGCTGTTTCTAAAGGAAAGTTCAACTCTGAGAGTTGAATACACACCAGAAAAAGCAGTTATTGAGAATTCTTCTGTCTAGCATTATATGAAGAAATCCCATTTCCAAAGAAGACTTCAAACAGGTCCAAATATCCACTTGCAGATTCTGCAAAAAGAGTGTTTCGAAACAACTGTATGAAAAGAAAGGTTAAACACTGTGAGTTGAACGCACCCATTGCAAAGCATTTTCTGACAATGATTCCGTCTAATTATTATACGAAGGTATTTCCTTTTCTATCATGGGCCTCAAAGCGCTTGATACCTCCACCTGAAAATTCCACAAAAAGAGTGTTTCCAATCTACTCTGTCTAAAGGAACGTTCAACTCTGTGAGTTGAATACACACACACAGAAAGAATTCACTGAGAATTCTTCTGTCTGGCATTACATGAAGAAATCCCGTTTCCAACGAAGGCCTCAAAGAGGTCCAAATATCCACTTGCAGATTCTGCAAAAAGAGTGTTTCAAAACCGCTCCATTAAAAGGAATGTTGAACTCTGTGAGTTGAATGCAAACATCACAACTCAGTTTCTGAGAATGCTTCTGACTAGATTTTATGGTAAGATATTTCCTTTTCTACCGTAGGCTTCAATGCCCTCTAAATACACCCTTGCAAATTCTACAAAGAGACTGTTTCATAACTGCTCTATAGGAAGAAAGGTTGAACTCTGTGAGTTGAATGCAGAGATCACAACGTGGTTTCTGCGAATGATTCTTTGTAGTTTTTACATGAAGATATTTCGTTGTCAACCGTAGGCTTCAAAGCACTCAAAGTATTCACTTGGAACTTTTACAAAAAGAGTGTTAGGAAACTGCTCTTTCCAAAGTAAGGTTCAACTCTGTGAGTTGAATGCACACATAACAATCAAGAAGTTTCTGAGAATTCTTCTGTCCTGGTTTATATGAAAAAATCCCGTTTCCAACGAAGGCCTCAAAGACGTTTAAATATCCACTTGCAGACTTCACAAACAGAGGGTTTCCAAACTGCTCTATGAAAAGAAAGGTTAAACTCTGTGAGTTGAACGCACACATCACAAAGTAGCTTCTGAGAATGATACTGTCTAGTTTTTATACGAAGATATTTCCTTTCTACCATTGGTGTCAAAGCGCTAGAATTCTCCACTTGCAAATTCCACAAAAAGAGTGTTTCCAATCTGCTCTGTCTAAAGGAAGGTTCAACTCTGTGAGTTGAATACACACACACAAAGAAGCTACTGAGAATTCTTTTGTCAAGAATTATAAGAAGAAATCCCGTTTCCAACGAAGGCCTCAAAGAGTTCCAAATATCCACTTGCACACTGCACAAACTAAGTCTTTCCAAACTGCTCTATGCAAAGAAATGTTCAACTCTGTGAGTTTAATACACACATCACAAAGCAGTTTCTGAGAATGATACTGTCTAGTTTTTATACGAAGATATTTCCTTTTGTACCATTGGCCTCATACTGCTAGAATTTTCCACTTGCAAATTCCACAAAAAGAGTGTTTCCAATCCGCTCTGTCTAAAGGAAGGTTCAACTCTCTGATTTGAATACATACATCCCAAAAGAAGTTCCTGAGAATTCTTCTGTCTAGCATTATGTGAAGAAATCCCGTTTCCAACGAAAGCCTCAAAGAGGTCCAAATATCCAGTTGCAGAATTTACAAACTGACTGTTTCCAAACTCATCTATGAAAAGAAAGGTTAAACTCTGGGAGTTGAATGCACATATCACAAAGTAGTTCCTGAGAATGATTCTGTCTAGTTTTTATACGAAGATATTTCCTTTTCCACCAATGGCCTCAAAGTGCTTGAAATCTCCCCTTGCAAATTCCACAGACAAGTGTTTCAAATCTGCACTGTCTAAAGGAAGGTTCAACCCTGTGAGTTGAATACACACACACAGAAAAAAATTCACTGAGAATTCTATTGTCTATCATTACACGAAGAAATCCCGTTTACTACGAAGGCCTCAAAGAGGTCCAAATATCCAGCTGCAGACATTACAACCTGAGTGTTTCCAAAGTGCTCTATGAAAAGAAGTGTTAAACACTGTGAGTTCAATGCACACATCCCAAAGCAGTTTCTGAGAATGATTCCGTCTATTTTTTCTACGAAGATATTTCCTTTTCTGCCGTTGGCCTCAAAGCGCTTGAAATCTCCACTTGCAAATTCCACAAAAAGAGAGTTTCAAATCTGCTCTGTCTAAAGGAAGGTTCAACTCTGTGAGTTGAATACACACCACAAAAAGAAGTTACTGAGAATTCTTCTGACTAGCATTATATGAAAAATCCCGTTTCCAACGAAGGCCACAAAGAGGTCCAAATATCCACTTGCAGATTCTGCAAAAAGAGTGTTTCCAAACTGCTCTATGAAAAGAAACGTTAAACTCTGTGAGTTGAACGCAAACATCACAAAGTAGTTTCTGAGAATGACTCCGTCTAGTTTTTATACGAAGCATATTTCCTTTCCTACCATTCACTTCAAAGCGCTTGAAGTCTCCCCCTGAAAATTCCACAAAAAGTGTTTCCAATCTGCTCCGCCTAAAGGAAGCTTCAACTCTGTGACTTGAATACCCACAACCCAAAGAAGTTACTGAGAATTCTTCTGTCTAGCATTATATGAAGAAATCCCGTTTCCAACGACGGCCTCAAATACATCCAAATATCCAGTTGCTGACTTTACAAACTGAGTGTTTCCAAACTGCTCTATGAAAAGAAAGGTTAAACACTGTGAGTTGAACACACACGTACCAAAGTAGTTTCTGAGAATGATTCTGTCTAGTTTGCATACGAAGATATTTCCTTTTCTACCATTGGCCTCAAAGCTCTGAAATCTCCACTTGCAAATTCCACAAAAAGAGAGTTTCAACTCTGCTGTTTCTAAAGGAAAGTTCAACTCTGAGAGTTGAATACACACCAGAAAAAGCAGTTACTGAGAAGTCTTCTGTCTAGCATTATATGAAGAAATCCCATTTCCAACGAAGACTTCAAAGAGGTCCAAATATCCACTTGCAGATTCTGCAAAAAGAGTGTTTCGAAACAACTGTATGAAAAGAAATGTTAAACACTGTGAGTTGAACGCACACATTGCAAAGCAGTTTCTGAGAATGATTCCGTCTAATTATTATACGAAGGTATTTCCTTTTCTATCATTGGCCTCAAAGCGCTTGATACCTCCACCTGAAAATTCCACAAAAAGAGTGTTTCCAATCTACTCTGTCTAAAGGAACGTTCAACTCTGTGAGTTGAATACACACACACAGAAAGAATTCACTGAGAATTCTTCTGTCTGGCATTACATGAAGAAATCCCGTTTCCAACGAAGACCTCAAAGAGGTCCAAATATCCACTTGCAGATTCTGCAAAAAGAGTGTTTCAAAACCGCTCCATTAAAAGGAATGTTGAACTCTGTGAGTTGAATGCAAACATCACAACTCAGTTGCTGAGAATGCTTCTGACTAGATTTTATGGTAAGATATTTCCTTTTCTACCGTAGGCTTCAATGCCCTCTAAATACACCCTTGCAAATTCTACAAAGAGACTGTTTCATAACTGCTCTATAGGAAGAAAGGTTGAACTCTGTGAGTTGAATGCAGAGATCACAACGTGGTTTCTGCGAATGATTCTTTGTAGTTTTTACATGAAGATATTTCGTTGTCAACCGTAGGCTTCAAAGCACTCAAAGTATTCACTTGGAACTTTTACAAAAAGAGTGTTAGAAAACTGCTCTTTCCAAAGTAAGGTTCAACTCTGTGAGTTGAATGCACACATAACAATCAAGAAGTTTCTGAGAATTCTTCTGTCCTGGTTTATATGAAGAAATCCCGTTTCCTACGAAGGCCTCAAAGACGTTTAAATATCCACTTGCAGACTTCACAAACAGAGGGTTTCCAAACTGCTCTATGAAAAGAAAGGTTAAACTCTGTGAGTTGAACGCACACATCACAAAGTAGCTTCTGAGAATGATACTGTCTAGTTTTTATACGAAGATATTTCCTTTCTACCATTGGCGTCAAAGCGCTAGAATTCTCCACTTGCAAATTCCACAAAAAGAGTGTTTCCAATCTGCTCTGTCTAAAGGAAGGTTCAACTCTGTGAGTTGAATACACACACACAAAGAAGCTACTGAGAATTCTTTTGTCAAGAATTATAAGAAGAAATCCCGTTTCCAACGAAGGCCTCAAAGAGTTCCAAATATCCACTTGCACACTGCACAAACTAAGTCTTTCCAAACTGCTCTATGCAAAGAAATGTTCAACTCTGTGAGTTTAATACACACATCACAAAGCAGTTTCTGAGAATGATACTGTCTAGTTTTTATACGAAGATATTTCCTTTTGTACCATTGGCCTCATACTGCTAGAATTTTCCACTTGCAAATTCCACAAAAAGAGTGTTTCCAATCCGCTCTGTCTAAAGGAAGGTTCAACTCTCTGATTTGAATACATACATCCCAAAAGAAGTTACTGAGAATTCTTCTGTCTAGCATTATGTGAAGAAATCCCGTTTCCAACGAAAGCCTCAAAGAGGTCCAAATATCCAGTTGCAGAATTTACAAACTGACTGTTTCCAAACTCATCTATGAAAAGAAAGGTTAAACTCTGTGAGTTGAATGCCCATATCACAAAGTAGTTCCTGAGAATGATTCTGTCTAGTTTTCATACGAAGATATTTCCTTTTCCACCAATGGCCTCAAAGTGCTTGAAATCTCCCCTTGCAAATTCCACAGACAAGTGTTTCAAATCTGCACTGTCTAAAGGATGGTTCAACCCTGTGAGTTGAATACACACACACAGAAAAAAATTCACTGAGAATTCTATTGTCTATCATTACACGAAGAAATCCCGTTTACTACGAAGGCCTCAAAGAGGTCCAAATATCCAGCTGCAGACATTATAAACTGAGTGTTTCCAAAGTGCTCTATGAAAAGAAGTGTTAAACACTGTGAGTTCAATGCACACATCCCAAAGCAGTTTCTGAGAATGATTCCGTCTATTTTTTCTACGAAGTTATTTCCTTTTCTGCCGTTGGCCTCAAAGCGCTTGAAATCTCCACTTGCAAATTCCACAAAAAGAGAGTTTCAAATCTGCTCTGTCTAAAGGAAGGTTCAACTCTGTGAGTTGAATACACACCACAAAAAGAAGTTACTGAGAATTCTTCTGTCTAGCATTATATGAAAAATCCCGTTTCCAACGAAGGCCACAAAGAGGTCCAAATATCCACTTGCAGATTCTGCAAAAAGAGTGTTTCCAAACTGCTCTATGAAAAGAAACGTTAAACTCTGTGAGTTGAACGCAAACATCACAAAGTAGTTTCTGAGAATGACTCCGTCTAGTTTTTATACGAAGATATTTCCTTTCCTACCATTCACTTCAAAGCGCTTGAAGTCTCCCCCTGAAAATTCCACAAAAAGTGTTTCCAATCTGCTCCGCCTAAAGGAAGCTTCAACTCTGTGAGTTGAATACCCACAACCCAAAGAAGTTACTGAGAATTCTTCTGTCTAGCATTATATGAAGAAATCCCGTTTCCAACGAAGGCCTCAAATACATCCAAATATCCAGTTGCTGACTTTACAAACTGAGTGTTTCCAAACTGCTCTATGAAAAGAAAGGTTAAACACTGTGAGTTGAACACACACGTACCAAAGTAGTTTCTGAGAATGATTCTGTCTAGTTTGCATACGAAGATATTTCCTTTTCTACCATTGGCCTCAAAGTTTGAAATCTCCACTTGCAAATTCCAAAAAAAGAGAGTTTCAAATCTGCTGTTTGTAAAGGAAAGTTCAACTCTGAGAGTTGAATACACACCAGAAAAAGCAGTTACTGAGAAGTCTTCTGTCTAGCATTATATGAAGAAATCCCATTTCCAACGAAGACTTCAAAGAGGTCCAAATATCCACTTGCAGATTCTGCAAAAAGAGTGTTTCGAAACAACTGTATGAAAAGAAATGTTAAACACTGTGAGTTGAACGCACACATTGCAAAGCAGTTTCTGAGAATGATTCCGTCTAATTATTATACGAAGGTATTTCCTTTTCTATCATTGGCCTCAAAGCGCTTGATACCTCCACCTGAAAATTCCACAAAAAGAGTGTTTCCAATCTACTCTGTCTAAAGGAACGTTCAACTCTGTGAGTTGAATACACACACACAGAAAGAATTCACTGAGAATTCTTCTGTCTGGCATTACATGAAGAAATCCCGTTTCCAACGAAGGCCTCAAAGAGGTCCAAATATCCACTTGCAGATTCTGCAAAAAGAGTGTTTCAAAACCGCTCCATGAAAAGGAATGTTGAACTCTGTGAGTTGAATGCAAACATCACAACTCAGTTGCTGAGAATGCTTCTGACTAGATTTTATGGTAAGATATTTCCTTTTCTACCGTAGGCTTCAATGCCCTCTAAATACACCCTTGCAAATTCTACAAAGAGACTGTTTCATAACTGCTCAATAGGAAGAAAGGTTCAACTCTGTGAGTTGAATGCAGAGATCACAACGTGGTTTCTGCGAATGATTCTTTGTAGTTTTTACATGAAGATATTTCGTTGTCAACTGTAGGCTTCAAAGCACTCAAAGTATTCACTTGGAACTTTTACAAAAAGAGTGTTAGAAAACTGCTCTTTCCAAAGTAAGGTTCAAATCTGTGAGTTGAATGCACCCATAACAATCAAGAAGTTTCTGAGAATTCTTCTGTCCTGGTTTATATGAAGAAATCCCGTTTCCAACGAAGGCCTCAAAGACGTTTAAATATCCACTTGCAGACTTCACAAACAGAGTGTTTCCAAACTGCTCTATGAAAAGAAAGGTTAAACTCTGTGAGTTGAACGCACACATCACAAAGTAGTTTCTGAGAATGATACTGTCAATTTTTTATACGAAGATATTTCCTTTCTACCATTGGCGTCAAAGCGCTAGAATTCTCCACTTGCAAATTCCACAAAAAGAGTGTTTCCAATCTGCTCTGTCTAAAGGAAGGTTCAACTCTGTGAGTTGAATACACACACACAAAGAAGCTACTGAGAATTCTTTTGTCAAGAATTATAAGAAGAAATCCCGTTTCCAACGAAGGCCTCAAAGAGTTCCAAATATCCACTTGCACACTGCACAAACTAAGTCTTTCCAAACTGCTCTATGCAAAGAAATGTTCAACTCTGTGAGTTTAATACACACATCACAAAGCAGTTTCTGAGAATGATACTGTCTAGTTTTTATACGAAGATATTTCCTTTTGTACCATTGGCCTCATACTGCTAGAATTTTCCACTTGCAAATTCCACAAAAAGAGTGTTTCCAATCTGCTCTGTCTAAAGGAAGGTTCAACTCTCTGATTTGAATACATACATCCCAAAAGAAGTTACTGAGAATTCTTCTGTCTAGCATTATGTGAAGAAATCCCGTTTCCAACGAAAGCCTCAAAGAGGTCCAAATATCCAGTTGCAGAATTTACAAACTGACTGTTTCCAAACTCATCTATGAAAAGAAAGGTTAAACTCTGGGAGTTGAATGCACATATCACAAAGTAGTTCCTGAGAATGATTCTGTCTAGTTTTCAAACGAAGATATTTCCTTTTCCACCAATGGCCTCAAAGTGCTTGAAATCTCCCCTTGCAAATTCCACAGACAAGTGTTTCAAATCTGCACTGTCTAAAGGAAGGTTCAACCCTGTGAGTTGAATACACACACACAGAAAAAAATTCACTGAGAATTCTATTGTCTATCATTACACGAAGAAATCCCGTTTACTACGAAGGCCTCAAAGAGGTCCAAATATCCAGCTGCAGACATTACAAACTGAGTGTTTCCAAAGTGCTCTATGAAAAGAAGTGTTAAACACTGTGAGTTCAATGCACACATCCCAAAGCAGTTTCTGAGAATGATTCCGTCTATTTTTTCTACGAAGATATTTCCTTTTCTGCCGTTGGCCTCAAAGCGCTTGAAATCTCCACTTGCAAATTCCACAAAAAGAGAGTTTCAAATCTGCTCTGTCTAAAGGAAGGTTCAACTCTGTGAGTTGAATACACACCACAAAAAGAAGTTACTGAGAATTCTTCTGTCTAGCATTATATGAAAAATCCCGTTTCCAACGAAGGCCACAAAGAGGTCCAAATATCCACTTGCAGATTCTGCAAAAAGAGTGTTTCCAAACTGCTCTATGAAAAGAAACGTTAAACTCTGTGAGTTGAACGCAAACATCACAAAGTAGTTTCTGAGAATGACTCCGTCTAGTTTTTATACGAAGATATTTCCTTTTCTACCGTTGGCCTCAAAGCGCTTGAAGTCTCCCCCTGAAAATTCCACAAAAAGTGTTTCCAATCTGCTCCGCCTAAAGGAAGCTTCAGCTCTGTGAGTTGAATACCCACAACCCAAAGAAGTTACTGAGAATTCTTCTGTCTAGCACTACATGAAGAAATCCCGTTTCCAACGAAGGCCTCAAATACATCGAGATATCCAGTTGCTGACTTTACAAACTGAGTGTTTCCAAACTGCTCTATGAAAGGAAAGGTTAAACGCTGTGAGTTGAACACACACGTACCAAAGTAGTTTCTGAGAATGATTCTGTCTAGTTTGCATACGAAGATATTTCCTTTTCTACCATTTTCCTCAAAGCTTTGAAATCTCCACTTGCAAATTCCACAAAAAGAGAGTTTCAAATCTGCTGTTTCTAAAGGAAAGTTCAACTCTGAGAGTTGAATACACACCAGAAAAAGCAGTTACTGAGAAGTCTTCTGTCTAGCATTATATGAAGAAATCCCATTTCCAAAGAAGACTTCAAACAGGTCCAAATATCCACTTGCAGATTCTGCAAAAAGAGTGTTTCGAAACAACTGTATGAAAAGAAAGGTTAAACGCTGTGAGTTGAAGGCACACATTGCAAAGCAGTTTCTGAGAATGATTCCGTCTAATTATTATACGAAGGTATTTCTTTTTCTATCATGGGCCTCAAAGCGCTTGATACCTCCACCTGAAAATTCCACAAAAAGAGTGTTTCCAATCTACTCTGTCTAAAGGAACGTTCAACTCTGTGAGTTGAATACACACACACAGAAAGAATTCACTGAGAGTTCTTCTGTCTGGCATTACATGAAGAAATCCCGTTTTCAACGAAGGCCTCAAAGAGGTCCAAATATCCACTTGCAGATTCTGCAAAAAGAGTGTTTCAAAACCGCTCCATGAAAAGGAATGTTGAACTCTGTGAGTTGAATGCAAACATCACAACTCAGTTTCTGAGAATGCTTCTGACTAGATTTTATGGTAAGATATTTCCTTTTATACCGTAGGCTTCAATGCCCTCTAAATACACCCTTGCAAATTCTACAAAGAGACTGTTTCATAACTGCTCTATAGGAAGAAAGGTTCAACTCTGTGAGTTGAATGCAGAGATCACAACGTGGTTTCTGCGAATGATTCTTTGTAGTTTTTACATGAAGATATTTCGTTGTCTATCGTAGGCTTCAAAGCACTCAAAGTATTCACTTGGAACTTTTACAAAAAGAGTGTTAGAAAACTGCTCTTTCCAAAGTAAGGTTCAACTCTGTGAGTTGAATGCACACATAACAAACAAGAAGTTTCTGAGAATTCTTCTGTCCTGGTTTATATGAAGAAATCCCGTTTCCAACGAAGGCCTCAAAGACGTTTAAATATCCACTTGCAGACGTCACAAACAGAGTGTTTCCAAACTGCTCTATGAAAAGAAAGGGTAAACACTGTGAGTTGAACGCACACATCACAAAGTAGTTTCTGAGAATGATACTGTCTAGTTTTTATACGAAGATATTTCCTTTCTACCATTGGCGTCAAAGCGCTAGAATTCTCCACTTGCAAATTCCACAAAAAGAGTGTTTTCAATCTGCTCTGTCTAAAGGAAGGTTCAACTCTGTGAGTTGAATACACACACACAAAGAAGCTACTGAGAATTCTTTTGTCAAGAATTATAAGAAGAAATCCCGTTTCCAACGAAGGCCTCAAAGAGTTCCAAATATCCACTTGCACACTGCACAAACTAAGTCTTTCCAAACTGCTCTATGCAAAGAAATGTTCAACTCTGTGAGTTTAATACACACATCACAAAGCAGTTTCTGAGAATGATACTGTCTAGTTTTTATACGAAGATATTTCCTTTTGTACCATTGGCCTCATACTGCTAGAATTTTCCACTTGCAAATTCCACAAAAAGAGAGTTTCCAATCCGCTCTGTCTAAAGGAAGGTTCAACTCTCTGATTTGAATACATACATCCCAAAAGAAGTTACTGAGAATTCTTCTGTCTAGCATTATGTGAAGAAATCCCGTTTCCAACGAAAGCCTCAAAGAGGTCCAAATATCCAGTTGCAGAATTTACAAACTGACTGTTTCCAAACTCATCTATGAAAAGAAAGGTTAAACTCTGTGAGTTGAATGCACATATCACAAAGTAGTTCCTGAGAATGATTCTGTCTAGTTTTTATACGAAGATATTTCCTTTTCCACCAATGGCCTCAAAGTGCTTGAAATCTCCCCTTGCAAATTCCACAGACAAGTGTTTCAAATCTGCACTGTCTAAAGGAAGGTTCAACCCTGTGAGTTGAATACACACACACAGAAAAAAATTCACTGAGAATTCTATTGTCTATCATTACACGAAGAAATCCCGTTTACTACGAAGGCCTCAAAGAGGTCCAAATATCCAGCTGCAGACATTACAAACTGAGTGTTTCCAAAGTGCTCTATGAAAAGAAGTGTTAAACACTGTGAGTTCAATGCACACATCCCAAAGCAGTTTCTGAGAATGATTCCGTCTATTTTTTCTACGAAGATATTTCCTTTTCTGCCGTTGGCCTCAAAGCGCTTGAAATCTCCACTTGCAAATTCCACAAAAAGAGAGTTTCAAATCTGCTCTGTCTAAAGGAAGGTTCAACTCTGTGAGTTGAATACACACCACAAAAAGAAGTTACTGAGAATTCTTCTGTCTAGCATTATATGAAAAATCCCGTTTCCAACGAAGGCCACAAAGAGGTCCAAATATCCACTTGCAGATTCTGCAAAAAGAGTGTTTCCAAACTGCTCTATGAAAAGAAACGTTAAACTCTGTGAGTTGAACGCAAACATCACAAAGTAGTTTCTGAGAATGACTCCTGTCTAGTTTATATACGAAGATATTTCCTTTTCTACCATTCACTTCAAAGCGCTTGAAGTCTCCCCCTGAAAATTCCACAAAAAGTGTTTCCAATCTGCTCCGCCTAAAGGAAGCTTCAACTCTGTGAGTTGAATACCCACAACCCAAAGAAGTTACTGAGAATTCTTCTGTCTAGCATTATATGAAGAAATCCCGTTTCCAACGAAGGCCTCAAATACATCCAAATATCCAGTTGCTGACTTTACAAACTGAGTGTTTCCAAACTGCTCTATGAAAAGAAAGGTTAAACACTGTGACTTGAACACACACGTACCAAAGTAGTTTCTGAGAATGATTCTGTCTAGTTTGCATACGAAGATATTTCCTTTTCTACCATTGGCCTCAAAGCTCTGAAATCTCCACTTGCAAATTCCACAAAAAGAGAGTTTCAAATCTGCTGTTTCTAAAGGAAAGTTCAACTCTGAGAGTTGAATACACACCAGAAAAAGCAGTTACTGAGAAGTCTTCTGTCTAGCATTATATGAAGAAATCCCATTTCCAACGAAGACTTCAAAGAGGTCCAAATATCCACTTGCAGATTCTGCAAAAAGAGTGTTTTGAAACAACTGTATGAAAAGAAAGGTTAAACACTGTGAGTTGAACGCACACATTGCAAAGCAGTTTCTGAGAATGATTCCGTCTAATTATTATACGAAGGTATTTCCTTTTCTATCATTGGCCTCAAAGCGCTTGATACCTCCACCTGAAAATTCCACAAAAAGAGTGTTTCCAATCTACTCTGTCTAAAGGAACGTTCAACTCTGTGAGTTGAATACACACACACAGAAAGAATTCACTGAGAATTCTTCTGTCTGGCATTACATGAAGAAATCCCGTTTCCAACGAAGGCCTCAAAGAGGTCCAAATATCCACTTGCAGATTCTGCAAAAAGAGTGTTTCAAAACCGCTCCATGAAAAGGAATGTTGAACTCTGTGAGTTGAATGCAAACATC
Source organism: Homo sapiens (assembly GCF_000001405.40). NCBI lineage: Eukaryota > Metazoa > Chordata > Mammalia > Primates > Hominidae > Homo > Homo sapiens. The sequence continues at coordinate 93,212,578 of NC_000003.12, read as the reverse complement.
ACAACTCAGTTTCTGAGAATGCTTCTGACTAGATTTTATGGTCAGATATTTCCTTTTCTACCGTAGGCTTCAATGCCCTCTAAATACACCCTTGCAAATTCTACAAAGAGACTGTTTAATAACTGCTCTATAGGAAGAAAGGTTGAACTCCTGTGAGTTGAATGCAGAGATCACAACGTGGTTTCGGCGAATGATTCTTCGCAGTTTTTACATGAAGATATTTCGTTCTCTACCGTAGGCTTCAAAGCACTCAAAGTATTCACTTGGAACTTTTACAAAAAGAGGTTAGAAAACTGCTCTTTCCAAAGTAAGGTTCAACTCTGTGAGTTGAATGCACACATAACAAACAAGAAGTTTCTGAGAATTCTTCTGTCCTGGTTTATATGAAAAAATCCCGTTTCCAACGAAGGCCTCAAAGACGTTTAAATATCCACTTGCAGACTTCACAAACAGAGTGTTTCCAAACTGCTCTATGAAAAGAAAGGTTAAACTCTGTGAGTTGAACGCACACATCAAAAAGTAGTTTCTGAGAATGATACTGTCTAGTTTTTATACGAAGATATTTCCTTTCTACCATTGGCGTCAAAGCGCTAGAATTCTCCACTTGCAAATTCCACAAAAAGAGTGTTTCCAATCTGCTCTGTCTAAAGGAAGGTTCAACTCTGTGAGTTGAATACACACACACAAAGAAGCTACTGAGAATTCTTTTGTCAAGAATTATAAGAAGAAATCCCGTTTCCAACGAAGGCCTCAAAGAGTTCCAAATATCCACTTGCACACTGCACAAACTAAGTCTTTCCAAACTGCTCTATGCAAAGAAATGTTCAACTCTGTGAGTTTAATACACACATCACAAAGCAGTTTCTGAGAATGATACTGTCTAGTTTTTATACGAAGATATTTCCTTTTGTACCATTGGCCTCATACTGCTAGAATTTTCCACTTGCAAATTCCACAAAAAGAGTGTTTCCAATCCGCTCTGTCTAAAGGAAGGTTCAACTCTCTGATTTGAATACATACATCCCAAAAGAAGTTACTGAGAATTCTTCTGTCTAGCATTATGTGAAGAAATCCCGTTTCCAACGAAAGCCTCAAAGAGGTCCAAATATCCAGTTGCAGAATTTACAAACTGACTGTTTCCAAACTCATCTATGAAAAGAAAGGTTAAACTCTGGGAGTTGAATGCACATATCACAAAGTAGTTCCTGAGAATGATTCTGTCTAGTTTTTATACGAAGATATTTCCTTTTCCACCAATGGCCTCAAAGTGCTTGAAATCTCCCCTTGCAAATTCCACAGACAAGTGTTTCAAATCTGCACTGTCTAAAGGAAGGTTCAACCGTGTGAGTTGAATACACACACACAGAAAAAAATTCACTGAGAATTCTATTGTCTATCATTACACGAAGAAATCCCGTTTACTACGAAGGCCTCAAAGAGGTCCAAATATCCAGCTGCAGACATTACAAACTGAGTGTTTCCAAAGTGCTCTATGAAAAGAAGTGTTAAACACTGTGAGTTCAATGCACACATCCCAAAGCAGTTTCTGAGAATGATTCCGTCTATTTTTCTACGAAGATATTTCCTTTTCTGCCGTTGGCCTCAAAGCGCTTGAAATCTCCACTTGCAAATTCCACAAAAAGAGAGTTTCAAATCTGCTCTGTCTAAAGGAAGGTTCAACTCTGTGAGTTGAATACACACCACAAAAAGAAGTTACTGAGAATTCTTCTGTCTAGCATTATATGAAAAATCCCGTTTCCAACGAAGGCCACAAAGAGGTCCAAATATCCACTTGCAGATTCTGCAAAAAGAGTGTTTCCAAACTGCTCTATGAAAAGAAACGTTAAACTCTGTGAGTTGAACGCAAACATCACAAAGTAGTTTCTGAGAATGACTCCGTCTAGTTTTTATACGAAGATATTTCCTTTCCTACCATTCACTTCAAAGCGCTTGAAGTCTCCCCCTGAAAATTCCACAAAAAGTGTTTCCAATCTGCTCCGCCTAAAGGAAGCTTCAACTCTGTGACTTGAATACCCACAACCCAAAGAAAGAAGTTACTGAGAATTCTTCTGTCTAGCATTATATGAAGAAATCCCGTTTCCAACGAAGGCCTCAAATACATCCAAATATCCAGTTGCTGACTTTACAAACTGAGTGTTTCCAAACTGCTCTATGAAAAGAAAGGTTAAACACTGTGAGTTGAACACACACGTACCAAAGTAGTTTCTGAGAATGATTCTGTCTAGTTTGCATATGAAGATATTTCCTTTTCTACCATTGGCCTCAAAGCTCTGAAATCTCCACTTGCAAATTCCACAAAAAGAGAGTTTCAAATCTGCTGTTTCTAAAGGAAAGTTCAACTCTGAGAGTTGAATACACACCAGAAAAAGCAGTTACTGAGAAGTCTTCTGTCTAGCATTATATGAAGAAATCCCATTTCCAACGAAGACTTCAAAGAGGTCCAAATATCCACTTGCAGATTCTGCAAAAAGAGTGTTTCGAAACAACTGTATGAAAAGAAAGGTTAAACACTGTGAGTTGAACGCACACATTGCAAAGCGGTTTCTGAGAATGATTCCGTCTAATTATTATACGAAGGTATTTCCTTTTCTATCATTGGCCTCAAAGCGCTTGATACCTCCACCTGAAAATTCCACAAAAAGAGTGTTTCCAATCTACTCTGTCTAAAGGAACGTTCAACTCTGTGAGTTGAATACACACACACAGAAAGAATTCACTGAGAATTCTTCTGTCTGGCATTACATGAAGAAATCCCGTTTCCAACGAAGGCCTCAAAGAGGTCCAAATATCCACTTGCAGATTCTGCAAAAAGAGTGTTTCAAAACCGCTCCATTAAAAGGAATGTTGAACTCTGTGAGTTGAATGCAAACATCACAACTCAGTTTCTGAGAATGCTTCTGACTAGATTTTATGGTAAGATATTTCCTTTTATACCGTAGGCTTCAATGCCCTCTAAATACACCCTTGCAAATTCTACAAAGAGACTGTTTCATAACTGCTCTATAGGAAGAAAGGTTCAACTCTGTGAGTTGAATGCAGAGATCACAACGTGGTTTCTGCGAATGATTCTTTGTAGTTTTTACATGAAGATATTTCGTTGTCAACCGTAGGCTTCAAAACACTCAAAGTATTCACTTGGAACTTTTACAAAAAGAGTGTTAGAAAACTGCTCTTTCCAAAGTAAGGTTCAACTCTGTGAGTTGAATGCACCCATAACAATCAAGAAGTTTCTGAGAATTCTTCTGTCCTGGTTTATATGAAAAAATCCCGTTTCCAACGAAGGCCTCAAAGACGTTTAAATATCCACTTGCAGACTTCACAAAGAGAGTGTTTCCAAACTGCTCTATGAAAAGAAAGGTTAAACTCTGTGAGTTGAACGCACACATCACAAAGTAGTTTCTGAGAATGATACTGTCTAGTTTTTATACGAAGATATTTCCTTTCTACCATTGGCGTCAAAGCGCTAGAATTCTCCACTTGCAAATTCCACAAAAAGAGTGTTTCCAATCTGCTCTGTCTAAAGGAAGGTTCAACTCTGTGAGTTGAATACACACACACAAAGAAGCTACTGAGAATTCTTTTGTCAAGAATTATAAGAAGAAATCCCGTTTCCAACGAAGGCCTCAAAGAGTTCCAAATATCCACTTGCACACTGCACAAACTAAGTCTTTCCAAACTGCTCTATGCAAAGAAATGTTCAACTCTGTGAGTTTAATACACACATCACAAAGCAGTTTCTGAGAATGATACTGTCTAGTTTTTATACGAAGATATTTCCTTTTGTACCATTGGCCTCATACTGCTAGAATTTTCCACTTGCAAATTCCACAAAAAGAGTGTTTCCAATCCGCTCTGTCTAAAGGAAGGTTCAACTCTCTGATTTGAATACATACATCCCAAAAGAAGTTACTGAGAATTCTTCTGTCTAGCATTATGTGAAGAAATCCCGTTTCCAACGAAAGCCTCAAAGAGGCCCAAATATCCAGTTGCAGCATTTACAAACTGACTGTTTCCAAACTCATCTATGAAAAGAAAGGTTAAACTCTGTGAGTTGAATGCACATATCACAAAGTAGTTCCTGAGAATGATTCTGTCTAGTTTTTATACGAAGATATTTCCTTTTCCACCAATGGCCTCAAAGTGCTTGAAATCTCCCCTTGCAAATTCCACAGACAAGTGTCTCAAATCTGCACTGTCTAAAGGAAGGTTCAACCCTGTGAGTTGAATACACACACACAGAAAAAATTCACTGAGAATTCTATTGTCTATCATTACACGAAGAAATCCCGTTTACTACGAAGGCCTCAAAGAGGTCCAAATATCCAGCTGCAGACATTACAAACTGAGTGTTTCCAAAGTGCTCTATGAAAAGAAGTGTTAAACACTGTGAGTTCAATGCACACATCCCAAAGCAGTTTCTGAGAATGATTCCGTCTATTTTTTCTACGAAGATATTTCCTTTTCTGCCGTTGGCCTCAAAGCGCTTGAAATCTCCACTTGCAAATTCCACAAAAAGAGAGTTTCAAATCTGCTCTGTCTAAAGGAAGGTTCAACTCTGTGAGTTGAATACACACCACAAAAAGAAGTTACTGAGAAGTCTTCTGTCTAGCATTATATGAAGAAATCCCATTTCCAACGAAGTACTTCAAAGAGGTCCAAATATCCACTTGCAGATTCTGCAAAAAGAGTGTTTCGAAACAACTGTATGAAAAGAAAGGTTAAACACTGTGAGTTGAACGCACACATTGCAAAGCGGTTTCTGAGAATGATTCCGTCTAATTATTATACGAAGGTATTTCCTTTTCTATCATTGGCCTCAAAGCGCTTGATACCTCCACCTGAAAATTCCACAAAAAGAGTGTTTCCAATCTACTCTGTCTAAAGGAACGTTCAACTCTGTGAGTTGAATACACACACACAGAAAGAATTCACTGAGAATTCTTCTGTCTGGCATTATATGAAGAAATCCCGTTTCCAACGAAGGCCTCAAAGAGGTCCAAATATCCACTTGCAGATTCTGCAAAAAGAGTGTTTCAAAACCGCTCCATTAAAAGGAATGTTGAACTCTGTGAGTTGAATGCAAACATCACAACTCAGTTGCTGAGAATGCTTCTGACTAGATTTTATGGTAAGATATTTCCTTTTCTACCGTAGGCTTCAATGCCCTCTAAATACACCCTTGCAAATTCTACAAAGAGACTGTTTCATAACTGCTCTATAGGAAGAAAGGTTCAACTCTGTGAGTTGAATGCAGAGATCACAACGTGGTTTCTGTGAATGATTCTTTGTAGTTTTTACATGAAGATATTTCGTCGTCAACCGTAGGCTTCAAAGCACTCAAAGTATTCACTTGGAACTTTTACAAAAAGAGTGTTAGAAAACTGCTCTTTCCAAAGTAAGGTTCAACTCTGTGAGTTGAATGCACACATAACAATCAAGAAGTTTCTGAGAATTCTTCTGTCCTGGTTTATATGAACAAATCCCGTTTCCAACGAAGGCCTCAAAGACGTTTAAATATCCACTTGCAGACTTCACAAACAGAGTGTTTCCAAACTGCTCTATGAAAAGAAAGGTTAAGCTCTGTGAGTTGAACGCACACATCACAAAGTAGTTTCTGAGAATGATACTGTCTAGTTTTTATACGAAGATATTTCCTTTCTACCATTGGCGTCAAAGCGCTAGAATTCTCCACTTGCAAATTCCACAAAAAGAGTGTTTCCAATCTGCTCTGTCTAAAGGAAGGTTCAACTCTGTGAGTTGAATACACACACACAAAGAAGCTACTGAGAATTCTTTTTTCAAGAAATTATAAGAAGAAATCCCGTTTCCAACGAAGGCCTCAAAGAGTTCCAAATATCCACTTGCACACTGCACAAACTAAGTCTTTCCAAACTGCTCTATGCAAAGAAATGTTCAACTCTGTGAGTTTAATACACACATCACAAAGCAGTTTCTGAGAATGATACTGTCTAGTTTTTATACGAAGATATTTCCTTTTGTACCATTGGCCTCATACTGCTAGAATTTTCCACTTGCAAATTCCACAAAAAGAGTGTTTCCAATCCGCTCTGTCTAAAGGAAGGTTCAACTCTCTGATTTGAATACATACATCCCAAAAGAAGTTACTGAGAATTCTTCTGTCTAGCATTATGTGAAGAAATCCCGTTTCCAACGAAAGCCTCAAAGAGGTCCAAATATCCAGTTGCAGAATTTACAAACTGACTGTTTCCAAACTCATCTATGAAAAGAAAGGTTAAACTCTGGGAGTTGAATGCACATATCACAAAGTAGTTCCTGAGAATGATTCTGTCTAGTTTTTATACGAAGATATTTCCTTTTCCACCAATGGCCTCAAAGTGCTTGAAATCTCCCCTTGCAAATTCCACAGACAAGTGTTTCAAATCTGCACTGTCTAAAGGAAGGTCCAACCCTGTGAGTTGAATACACACACACAGAAAAAAATTCACTGAGAATTCTATTGTCTATCATTACACGAAGAAATCCCGTTTACTACGAAGGCCTCAAAGAGGTCCAAATATCCAGCTGCAGACATTACAAACTGAGTGTTTCCAAAGTGCTCTATGAAAAGAAGTGTTAAACACTGTGAGTTCAATGCACACATCCCAAAGCAGTTTCTGAGAATGATTCCGTCTATTTTTTCTACGAAGATATTTCCTTTTCTGCCGTTGGCCTCAAAGCGCTTGAAATCTCCACTTGCAAATTCCACAAAAAGAGAGTTTCAAATCTGCTCTGTCTAAAGGAAGGTTCAACTCTGTGAGTTGAATACACACCACAAAAAGAAGTTACTGAGAATTCTTCTGTCTAGCATTATATGAAAAATCCCGTTTCCAACGAAGGCCACAAAGAGGTCCAAATATCCACTTGCAGATTCTGCAAAAAGAGTGTTTCCAAACTGCTCTATGAAAAGAAACGTTAAACTCTGTGAGTTGAACGCAAACATCACAAAGTAGTTTCTGAGAATGACTCCGTCTAGTTTTTATACGAAGATATTTCCTTTCCTACCATTCACTTCAAAGCGCTTGAAGTCTCCCCCTGAAAATTCCACAAAAAGTGTTTCCAATCTGCTCCGCCTAAAGGAAGCTTCAACTCTGTGACTTGAATACCCACAACCCAAAGAAGTTACTGAGAATTCTTCTGTCTAGCATTATATGAAGAAATCCCGTTTCCAACGAAGGCCTCAAATACATCCAAATATCCAGTTGCTGACTTTACAAACTGAGTGTTTCCAAACTGCTCTATGAAAAGAAAGGTTAAACACTGTGAGTTGAACACACACGTACCAAAGTAGTTTCTGAGAATGATTCTGTCTAGTTTGCATACGAAGGATATTTCCTTTTCTACCATTGGCCTCAAAGCTCTGAAATCTCCACTTGCAAATTCCACAAAAAGAGAGTTTCAACTCTGCTGTTTCTAAAGGAAAGTTCAACTCTGAGAGTTGAATACACACCAGAAAAAGCAGTTACTGAGAAGTCTTCTGTCTAGCATTATATGAAGAAATCCCATTTCCAACGAAGACTTCAAAGAGGTCCAAATATCCACTTGCAGATTCTGCAAAAAGAGTGTTTTGAAACAACTGTATGAAAAGAAAAGTTAAACACTGTGAGTTGAACGCACACATTGCAAAGCAGTTTCTGAGAATGATTCCGTCTAATTATTATACGAAGGTATTTCCTTTTCTATCATTGGCCTCAAAGCGCTTGATACCTCCACCTGAAAATTCCACAAAAAGAGTGTTTCCAATCTACTCTGTCTAAAGGAACGTTCAACTCTGTGAGTTGAATACACACACACAGAAAGAATTCACTGAGAATTCTTCTGTCTGGCATTACATGAAGAAATCCCGTTTCCAACGAAGGCCTCAAAGAGGTCCAAATATCCACTTGCAGATTCTGCAAAAAGAGTGTTTCAAAACCGCTCCATTAAAAGGAATGTTGAACTCTGTGAGTTGAATGCAAACATCACAACTCAGTTGCTGAGAATGCTTCTGACTAGATTTTATGGTAAGATATTTCCTTTTCTACCGTAGGCTTCAATGCCCTCTAAATACACCCTTGCAAATTCTACAAAGAGACTGTTTCATAACTGCTCTATAGGAAGAAAGGTTGAACTCTGTGAGTTGAATGCAGAGATCACAACGTGGTTTCTGCGAATGATTCTTTGTAGTTTTTACATGAAGATATTTCGTTGTCAACCGTAGGCTTCAAAGCACTCAAAGTATTCACTTGGAACTTTTACAAAAAGAGTGTTAGAAAACTGCTCTTTCCAAAGTAAGGTTCAACTCTGTGAGTTGAATGCACACATAACAATCAAGAAGTTTCTGAGAATTCTTCTGTCCTGGTTTATATGAAAAAATCCCGTTTCCAACGAAGGCCTCAAAGACGTTTAAATATCCACTTGCAGACTTCACAAACAGAGGGTTTCCAAACTGCTCTATGAAAAGAAAGGTTAAACTCTGTGAGTTGAACGCACACATCACAAAGTAGCTTCTGAGAATGATACTGTCTAGTTTTTATACGAAGATATTTCCTTTCTACCATTGGCGTCAAAGCGCTAGAATTCTCCACTTGCAAATTCCACAAAAAGAGTGTTTCCAATCTGCTCTGTCTCAAGGCAGGTTTCAACTCTGTGAGTTGAATACACACACACAAAGAAGCTACTGAGAATTCTTTTGTCAAGAATTATAAGAAGAAATCCCGTTTCCAACGAAGGCCTCAAAGAGTTCCAAATATCCACTTGCACACTGCACAAACTAAGTCTTTCCAAACTGCTCTATGCAAAGAAATGTTCAACTCTGTGAGTTTAATACACACATCACAAAGCAGTTTCTGAGAATGATACTGTCTAGTTTTTATACGAAGATATTTCCTTTTGTACCATTGGCCTCATACTGCTAGAATTTTCCACTTGCAAATTCCACAAAAAGAGTGTTTCCAATCCGCTCTGTCTAAAGGAAGGTTCAACTCTCTGATTTGAATACATACATCCCAAAAGAATTTACTGAGAATTCTTCTGTCTAGCATTATGTGAAGAAATCCCGTTTCCAACGAAAGCCTCAAAGAGGTCCAAATATCCAGTTGCAGAATTTACAAACTGACTGTTTCCAAACTCATCTATGAAAAGAAAGGTTAAACTCTGTGAGTTGAATGCACATATCACAAAGTAGTTCCTGAGAATGATTCTGTCTAGTTTTTATATGAAGATATTTCCTTTTCCACCAATGGCCTCAAAGTGCTTGAAATCTCCCCTTGCAAATTCCACAGACAAGTGTTTCAAATCTGCACTGTCTAAAGGAAGGTTCAACCCTGTGAGTTGAATACACACACACAGAAAAAAATTCACTGAGAATTCTATTGTCTATCATTACACGAAGAAATCCCGTTTACTACGAAGGCCTCAAAGAGGTCCAAATATCCAGCTGCAGACATTACAAACTGAGTGTTTCCAAAGTGCTCTATGAAAAGAAGTGTTAAACACTGTGAGTTCAATGCACACATCCCAAAGCAGTTTCTGAGAATGATTCCGTCTATTTTTTCTACGAAGATATTTCCTTTTCTACCGTTGGCCTCAAAGCGCTTGAAATCTCCACTTGCAAATTCCACAAAAAGAGAGTTTCAAATCTGCTCTGTCTAAAGGAAGGTTCAACTCTGTGAGTTGAATACACACCACAAAAGGAAGTTACTGAGAATTCTTCTGTCTAGCATTATATGAAAAATCCCGTTTCCAACGAAGGCCACAAAGAGGTCCAAATATCCACTTGCAGATTCTGCAAAAAGAGTGTTTCCAAACTGCTCTATGAAAAGAAACGTTAAACTCTGTGAGTTGAACGCAAACATCACAAAGTAGTTTCTGAGAATGACTCCGTCTAGTTTTTATACGAAGATATTTCCTTTTCTACCGTTGGCCTCAAAGCGCTTGAAGTCTCCCCCTGAAAATTCCACAAAAAGTGTTTCCAATCTGCTCCGCCTAAAGGAAGCTTCAGCTCTGTGAGTTGAATACCCACAACCCAAAGAAATTACTGAGAATTCTTCTGTCTAGCATTACATGAAGAAATCCCGTTTCCAACGAAGGCCTCAAATACATCCAGATATCCAGTTGCTGACTTTACAAACTGAGTGTTTCCAAACTGCTCTATGAAAGGAAAGGTTAAACACTGTGAGTTGAACACACACGTACCAAAGTAGTTTCTGAGAATGATTCTGTCTAGTTTGCATACGAAGATATTTCCTTTTCAACCATTGGCCTCAAAGCTTTGAAATCTCCACTTGCAAATTCCACAAAAAGAGAGTTTCAAATCTGCTGTTTCTAAAGGAAAGTTCAACTCTGAGAGTTGAATACACACCAGAAAAAGCAGTTACTGAGAAGTCTTCTGTCTAGCATTATATGAAGAAATCCCGTTTCCAACGAAGACTTCAAAGAGGTCCAAATATCCACTTGCAGATTCTGCAGAAAGAGTGTTTCGAAACAACTGTATGAAAAGAAAGGTTAAACGCTGTGAGTTGAAGGCACACATTGCAAAGCAGTTTCTGAGAATGATTCCGTCTAATTATTATACGAAGGTATTTCCTTTTCTATCATGGGCCTCAAAGCGCTTGATACCTCCACCTGAAAATTCCACAAAAAGAGTGTTTCCAATCTACTCTGTCTAAAGGAACGTTCAACTCTGTGAGTTGAATACACACACACAGAAAGAATTCACTGAGAGTTCTTCTGTCTGGCATTACATGAAGAAATCCCGTTTTCAACGAAGGCCTCAAAGAGGTCCAAATATCCACTTGCAGATTCTGCAAAAAGAGTGTTTCAAAACCGCTCCATGAAAAGGAATGTTGAACTCTGTGAGTTGAATGCAAACATCACAACTCAGTTTCTGAGAATGCTTCTGACTAGATTTTATGGTAAGATATTTCCTTTTCTACCGTAGGCTTCAATGCCCTCTAAATACACCCTTGCAAATTCTACAAAGAGACTGTTTCATAACTGCTCTATAGGAAGAAAGATTCAACTCTGTGAGTTGAATGCAGAGATCACAACGTGGTTTCTGCGAATGATTCTTTGTAGTTTTTACATGAAGATATTTCGTTGTCAACCGTAGGCTTCAAAGCACTCAAAGTATTCACTTGGAACTTTTACAAAAAGAGTGTTAGAAAACTGCTCTTTCCAAAGTAAGGTTCAACTCTGTGAGTTGAATGCACACATAACAATCAAGAAGTTTCTGAGAATTCTTCTGTCCTGGTTTATATGAAGAAATCCCGTTTCCAACGAAGGCCTCAAAGACGTTTAAATATCCACTTGCAGACTTCACAAACAGAGGGTTTCCAAACTGCTCTATGAAAAGAAAGGTTAAACTCTGTGAGTTGAACGCACACATCACAAAGTAGCTTCTGAGAATGATACTGTCTAGTTTTTATACGAAGATATTTCCTTTCTACCATTGGCGTCAAAGCGCTAGAATTCTCCACTTGCAAATTCCACAAAAAGAGTGTTTCCAATCTGCTCTGTCTAAAGGAAGGTTCAACTCTGTGAGTTGAATACACACACACAAAGAAGCTACTGAGAATTTCTTTGTCAAGAATTACAAGAAGAAATCCCGTTTCCAACGAAGGCCTCAAAGAGTTCCAAATATCCACTTGCACACTGTACAAACTAAGTCTTTCCAAACTGCTCTATGCAAAGAAATGTTCAACTCTGTGAGTTTAATGCACACATCACAAAGCAGTTTCTGAGAATGATTCCCTCTAGTTTTTATACGAAGATAGCCTTTTCTACCATTGGCCTCAAGGCTCTTGGAATCTCCACCTGAAAATTCCGCAAAAAGCGTGTTTCCAATCCGCTCTGTCTAAAGGAAGGTTCAACTCTCTGAGTTGAATACATACATCCCAAAAGAAGTTACTGAGAATTCTTCTGTCTAGCATTATGTGAAGAAATCCCGTTTCCAACGAAAGCCTCAAAGAGGTCCAAATATCCAGTTGCAGAATTTACAAACTGACTGTTTCCAAACTCATCTATGAAAAGAAAGGTTAAACTCTGTGAGTTGAATGCACATATCACAAAGTAGTTCCTGAGAATGATTCTGTCTAGTTTTCATACGAAGATATTTCCTTTTCCACCAATGGCCTCAAAGTGCTTGAAATCTCCCCTTGCAAATTCCACAGACAAGTGTCTCAAATCTGCACTGTCTAAAGGAAGGTTCAACCCTGTGAGTTGAATACACACACACAGAAAAAAATTCACTGAGAATTCTATTGTCTATCATTACACGAAGAAATCCCGTTTACTACGAAGGCCTCAAAGAGGTCCAAATATCCAGCTGCAGACATTACAAACTGAGTGTTTCCAAAGTGCTCTATGAAAAGAAGTGTTAAACACTGTGAGTTCAATGCACACATCCCAAAGCAGTTTCTGAGAATGATTCCGTCTATTTTTTCTACGAAGATATTTCCTTTTCTGCCGTTGGCCTCAAAGCGCTTGAAATCTCCACTTGCAAATTCCACAAAAAGAGAGTTTCAAATCTGCTCTGTCTAAAGGAAGGTTCAACTCTGTGAGTTGAATACACACCACAAAAAGAAGTTACTGAGAATTCTTCTGTCTAGCATTATATGAAAAATCCCTTTTCCAACGAAGGAAACAAAGAGGTCCAAATATCCACTTGCAGATTCTGCAAAAAGAGTGTTTCCAAACTGCTCTATGAAAAGAAACGTTAAACTCTGTGAGTTGAACGCAAACATCACAAAGTAGTTTCTGAGAATGACTCCGTCTAGTTTTTATACGAAGATATTTCCTTTCCTACCATTCACTTCAAAGCGCTTGAAGTCTCTCCCTGAAAATTCCACAAAAAGTGTTTCCAATCTGCTCCGCCTAAAGGAAGCTTCAACTCTGTGAGTTGAATACCCACAACCCAAAGAAGTTACTGAGAATTCTTCTGTCTAGCATTATATGAAGAAATCCCGTTTCCAACGAAGGCCTCAAATACATCCAAATATCCAGTTGCTGACTTTACAAACTGAGTGTTTCCAAACTGCTCTATGAAAAGAAAGGTTAAACACTGTGAGTTGAACACACACGTACCAAAGTAGTTTCTGAGAATGATTCTGTCTAGTTTGCATACGAAGATATTTCCTTTTCTACCATTGGCCTCAAAGCTTTGAAATCTCCACTTGCAAATTCCACAAAAAGAGAGTTTCAACTCTGCTGTTTCTAAAGGAAAGTTCAACTCTGAGAGTTGAATACACACCAGAAAAAGCAGTTACTGAGAAGTCTTCTGTCTAGCATTATATGAAGAAATCCCATTTCCAACGAAGACTTCAAAGAGGTCCAAATATCCACTTGCAGATTCTGCAAAAAGAGTGTTTCGAAACAACTGTATGAAAAGAAACGTTAAACACTGTGAGTTGAACGCACACATTGCAAAGCAGTTTCTGAGAATGATTCCGTCTAATTATTATACGAAGGTATTTCCTTTTCTATCATTGGCCTCAAAGCGCTTGATACCTCCACCTGAAAATTCCACAAAAAGAGTGTTTCCAATCTACTCTGTCTAAAGGAACGTTCAACTCTGTGAGTTGAATACACACACACAGAAAGAATTCACTGAGAATTCTTCTGTCTGGCATTACATGAAGAAATCCCGTTTCCAACGAAGGCCTCAAAGAGGTCCAAATATCCACTTGCAGATTCTGCAAAAAGAGTGTTTCAAAACCGCTCCATTAAAAGGAATGTTGAACTCTGTGAGTTGAATGGAAACATCACAACTCAGTTGCTGAGAATGCTTCTGACTAGATTTTATGGTAAGATATTTCCTTTTCTACCGTAGGCTTCAATGCCCTCTAAATACACCCTTGCAAATTCTACAAAGAGACTGTTTCATAACTGCTCTATAGGAAGAAAGGTTCAACTCTGTGAGTTGAATGCAGAGATCACGACGTGGTTTCTGCGAATGATTCTTTGTAGTTTTTACATGAAGATATTTCGTTGTCAACCGTAGGCTTCAAAGCACTCAAAGTATTCACTTGGAACTTTTACAAAAAGAGTGTTAGAAAACTGCTCTTTCCAAAGTAAGGTTCAACTCTGTGAGTTGAATGCACACATAACAATCAAGAAGTTTCTGAGAATTCTTCTGTCCTGGTTTATATGAACAAATCCCGTTTCCAACGAAGGCCTCAAAGACGTTTAAATATCCACTTGCAGACTTCACAAACAGAGTGTTTCCAAACTGCTCTATGAAAAGAAAGGTTAAACTCTGTGAGTTGAACGCACACATCACAAAGTAGTTTCTGAGAATGATACTGTCTAGTTTTTATACGAAGATATTTCCTTTCTACCATTGGCGTCAAAGCGCTAGAATTCTCCACTTGCAAATTCCACAAAAAGAGTGTTTCCAATCTGCTCTGTCTAAAGGAAGGTTCAACTCTGTGAGTTGAATACACACACACAAAGAAGCTACTGAGAATTCTTTTGTCAAGAATTATAAGAAGAAATCCCGTTTCCAACGAAGGCCTCAAAGAGTTCCAAATATCCACTTGCACACTGCACAAACTAAGTCTTTCCAAACTGCTCTATGCAAAGAAATGTTCAACTCTGTGAGTTTAATACACACATCACAAAGCAGTTTCTGAGAATGATACTGTCTAGTTTTTATACGAAGATATTTCCTTTTGTACCATTGGCCTCATACTGCTAGAATTTTCCACTTGCAAATTCCACAAAAAGAGTGTTTCCAATCCGCTCTGTCTAAAGGAAGGTTCAACTCTCTGATTTGAATACATACATCCCAAAAGAAGTTACTGAGAATTCTTCTGTCTAGCATTATGTGAAGAAATCCCGTTTCCAACGAAAGCCTCCAAGAGGTCCAAATATCCAGTTGCAGAATTTACAAACTGACTGTTTCCAAACTCATCTATGAAAAGAAAGGTTAAACTCTGTGAGTTGAATGCACATATCACAAAGTAGTTCCTGAGAATGATTCTGTCTAGTTTTTATACGAAGATATTCCCTTTTCCACCAATGGCCACAAAGTGCTTGAAATCTCCCCTTGCAAATTCCACAGAAAAGTGTTTCAAATCTGTACTGTCTGAAGGAAGGTTCAACCCTGTGAGTTGAATACACACACACAGAAAAAAATTCACTGAGAATTCTATTGTCTATCATTACACGAAGAAATCCCGTTTACTACGAAGGCCTCAAAGAGGTCCAAATATCCAGCTGCAGACATTACAAACTGAGTGTTTCCAAAGTGCTCTATGAAAAGAAGTGTTAAACACTGTGAGTTCAATGCACACATCCCAAAGCAGTTTCTGAGAATGATTCCGTCTATTTTTTCTACGAAGATATTTCCTTTTCTGCCGTTGGCCTCAAAGCGCTTGAAATCTCCACTTGCAAATTCCACAAAAAGAGAGTTTCAAATCTGCTCTGTCTAAAGGAAGGTTCAACTCTGTGAGTTGAATACACACCACAAAAAGAAGTTACTGAGAATTCTTCTGTCTAGCATTATATGAAAAATCCCGTTTCCAACGAAGGCCACAAAGAGGTCCAAATATCCACTTGCAGATTCTGCAAAAAGAGTGTTTCCAAACTGCTCTATGAAAAGAAACGTTAAACTCTGTGAGTTGAACGCAAACATCACAAAGTAGTTTCTGAGAATGACTCCGTCTAGTTTTTATACCGAAGATATTTCCTTTCCTACCATTCACTTCAAAGCGCTTGAAGTCTCCCCCTGAAAATTCCACAAAAAGTGTTTCCAATCTGCTCCGCCTAAAGGAAGCTTCAACTCTGTGACTTGAATACCCACAACCCAAAGAAGTTACTGAGAATTCTTCTGTCTAGCATTATATGAAGAAATCCCGTTTCCAACGAAGGCCTCAAATACATCCAAATATCCAGTTGCTGACTTTACAAACTGAGTGTTTCCAAACTGCTCTATGAAAAGAAAGGTTAAACACTGTGAGTTGAACACACACGTACCAAAGTAGTTTCTGAGAATGATTCTGTCTAGTTTGCATACGAAGATATTTCCTTTTCTACCATTGGCCTCAAAGCTCTGAAATCTCCACTTGCAAATTCCACAAAAAGAGAGTTTCAAATCTGCTGTTTCTAAAGGAAAGTTCAACTCTGAGAGTTGAATACACACCAGAAAAAGCAGTTACTGAGAAGTCTTCTGTCTAGCATTATATGAAGAAATCCCATTTCCAACGAAGACTTCAAAGAGGTCCAAATATCCACTTGCAGATTCTGCAAAAAGAGTGTTTCGAAACAACTGTATGAAAAGAAAGGTTAAACACTGTGAGTTGAACGCACACATTGCAAAGCGGTTTCTGAGAATGATTCCGTCTAATTATTATACGAAGGTATTTCCTTTTCTATCATTGGCCTCAAAGCGCTTGATACCTCCACCTGAAAATTCCACAAAAAGAGTGTTTCCAATCTACTCTGTCTAAAGGAACGTTCAACTCTGTGAGTTGAATACACACACACAGAAAGAATTCACTGAGAATTCTTCTGTCTGGCATTACATGAAGAAATCCCGTTTCCAACGAAGGCCTCAAAGAGGTCCAAATATCCACTTGCAGATTCTGCAAAAAGAGTGTTTCAAAACCGCTCCATTAAAAGGAATGTTGAACTCTGTGAGTTGAATGGAAACATCACAACTCAGTTGCTGAGAATGCTTCTGACTAGATTTTATGGTAAGATATTTCCTTTTCTACCGTAGGCTTCAATGCCCTCTAAATACACCCTTGCAAATTCTACAAAGAGACTGTTTCATAACTGCTCTATAGGAAGAAAGGTTCAACTCTGTGAGTTGAATGCAGAGATCACAACGTGGTTTCTGCGAATGATTCTTTGTAGTTTTTACAGGAAGATATTTCGTTGTCAACCGTAGGCTTCAAAGCACTCAAAGTATTCACTTGGAACTTTTACAAAAAGAGTGTTAGAAAACTGCTCTTTCCAAAGTAAGGTTCAACTCTGTGAGTTGAATGCACACATAACAATCAAGAAGTTTCTGAGAATTCTTCTGTCCTGGTTTATATGAACAAATCCCGTTTCCAACGAAGGCCTCAAAGACGTTTAAATATCCACTTGCAGACTTCACAAACAGAGGGTTTCCAAACTGCTCTATGAAAAGAAAGGTTAAACTCTGTGAGTTGAACGCACACATCACAAAGTAGCTTCTGAGAATGATACTGTCTAGTTTTTATACGAAGATATTTCCTTTTGTACCATTGGCCTCATACTGCTAGAATTTTCCACTTGCAAATTCCACAAAAAGAATATTTCCAATCTGCTCTGTCTAAAGGAAGGTTCAACTCTGTGAGTTGAGTACACACACACAAAGAAGCTACTGAGAATTCTTTTGTCAAGAATTATAAGAAGAAATCCCATTTCCAACGAAGGCCTCAAAGAGTTCCAAATATCCACTTGCACACTGCACAAACTAAGTCTTTCCAAACTGCTCTATGCAAAGAAATGTTCAACTCTGTGAGTTTAATACACACATCACAAAGCAGTTTCTGAGAATGATACTGTCTAGTTTTTATACGAAGATATTTCCTTTTGTACCATTGGCCTCATACTGCTAGAATTTTCCACTTGCAAATTCCACAAAAAGAGTGTTTCCAATCCGCTCTGTCTAAAGGAAGGTTCAACTCTCTGATTTGAATACATACATCCCAAAAGAAGTTACTGAGAATTCTTCTGTCTAGCATTATGTGAAGAAATCCCGTTTCCAACGAAAGCCTCAAAGAGGTCCAAATATCCAGTTGCAGAATTTACAAACTGACTGTTTCCAAACTCATCTATGAAAAGAAAGGTTAAACTCTGTGAGTTGAATGCACATATCACAAAGTAGTTCCTGAGAATGATTCTGTCTAGTTTTCATACGAAGATATTTCCTTTTCCACCAATGGCCTCAAAGTGCTTGAAATCTCCCCTTGCAAATTCCACAGACAAGTGTCTCAAATCTGCACTGTCTAAAGGAAGGTTCAACCCTGTGAGTTGAATACACACACACAGAAAAAAATTCACTGAGAATTCTATTGTCTATCATTACACGAAGAAATCCCGTTTACCACGAAGGCCTCAAAGAGGTCCAAATATCCAGCTGCAGACATTACAAACTGAGTGTTTCCAAAGTGCTCTATGAAAAGAAGTGTTAAACACTGTGAGTTCAATGCACACATCCCAAAGCAGTTTCTGAGAATGATTCCGTCTATTTTTTCTACGAAGATATTTCCTTTTCTGCCGTTGGCCTCAAAGCGCTTGAAATCTCCACTTGCAAATTCCACAAAAAGAGAGTTTCAAATCTGCTCTGTCTAAAGGAAGGTTCAACTCTGTGAGTTGAATACACACCACAAAAAGAAGTTACTGAGAATTCTTCTGTCTAGCATTATATGAAAAATCCCGTTTCCAACGAAGGCCACAAAGAGGTCCAAATATCCACTTGCAGATTCTGCAAAAAGAGTGTTTCCAAACTGCTCTATGAAAAGAAACGTTAAACTCTGTGAGTTGAACGCAAACATCACAAAGTAGTTTCTGAGAATGACTCCGTCTAGATTTTATACGAAGATATTTCCTTTCCTACCATTCACTTCAAAGCGCTTGAAGTCTCCCCCTGAAAATTCCACAAAAAGTGTTTCCAATCTGCTCCGCCTAAAGGAAGCTTCAACTCTGTGACTTGAATACCCACAACCCAAAGAAGTTACTGAGAATTCTTCTGTCTAGCATTATATGAAGAAATCCCGTTTCCAACGAAGGCCTCAAATACATCCAAATATCCAGTTGCTGACTTTGCAAACTGAGTGTTTCCAAACTGCTCTATGAAAAGAAAGGTTAAACACTGTGAGTTGAACACACACGTACCAAAGTAGTTTCTGAGAATGATTCTGTCTAGTTTGCATACGAAGATATTTCCTTTTCTACCATTGGCCTCAAAGCTCTGAAATCTCCACTTGCAAATTCCACAAAAAGAGAGTTTCAAATCTGCTGTTTCTAAAGGAAAGTTCAACTCTGAGAGTTGAATACACACCAGAAAAAGCAGTTACTGAGAAGTCTTCTGTCTAGCATTATATGAAGAAATCCCATTTCCAACCGAAGACTTCAAAGAGGTCCAAATATCCACTTGCAGATTCTGCAAAAAGAGTGTTTCGAAACAACTCTATGAAAAGAAAGGTTAAACACTGTGAGTTGAACGCACACATTGCAAAGCGGTTTCTGAGAATGATTCCGTCTAATTATTATACGAAGGTATTTCCTTTTCTATCATTGGCCTCAAAGCGCTTGATACCTCCACCTGAAAATTCCACAAAAAGAGTGTTTCCAATCTACTCTGTCTAAAGGAACGTTCAACTCTGTGAGTTGAATACACACACACAGAAAGAATTCACTGAGAATTCTTCTGTCTGGCATTACATGAAGAAATCCCGTTTCCAACGAAGGCCTCAAAGAGGTCCAAATATCCACTTGCAGATTCTGCAAAAAGAGTGTTTCAAAACCGCTCCATTAAAAGGAATGTTGAACTCTGTGAGTTGAATGCAAACATCACAACTCAGTTGCTGAGAATGCTTCTGACTAGATTTTATGGTAAGATATTTCCTTTTCTACCGTAGGCTTCAATGCCCTCTAAATACACCCTTGCAAATTCTACAAAGAGACTGTTTCATAACTGCTCTATAGGAAGAAAGGTTCAACACTGTGAGTTGAATGCAGAGATCACAACGTGGTTTCTGCGAATGATTCTTTGTAGTTTTTACATGAAGATATTTCGTTGTCAACCGTAGGCTTCAAAGCACTCAAAGTATTCACTTGGAACTTTTACAAAAAGAGTGTTAGAAAACCGCTCTTTCCAAAGTAAGGTTCAACTCTGTGAGTTGAATGCACACATAACAATCAAGAAGTTTCTGAGAATTCTTCTGTCCTGGTTTATATGAAAAAATCCCGTTTCCAACGAAGGCCTCAAAGACGTTTAAATATCCACTTGCAGACTTCACAAACAGAGGGTTTCCAAACTGCTCTATGAAAAGAAAGGTTAAACTCTGTGAGTTTAATACACACATCACAAAGCAGTTTCTGAGAATGATACTGTCTAGTTTTTATACGAAGATATTTCCTTTTGTACCATTGGCCTCATACTGCTAGAATTTTCCACTTGCAAATTCCACAAAAAGAGTGTTTCCAATCCGCTCTGTCTAAAGGAAGGTTCAACTCTCTGATTTGAATACATACATCCCAAAAGAAGTTACTGAGAATTCTTCTGTCTAGCATTATGTGAAGAAATCCCGTTTCCAACGAAAGCCTCAAAGAGGTCCAAATATCCAGTTGCAGAATTTACAAACTGACTGTTTCCAAACTCATCTATGAAAAGAAAGGTTAAACTCTGGGAGTTGAATGCACATATCACAAAGTAGTTCCTGAGAATGATTCTGTCTAGTTTTTATACGAAGATATTTCCTTTTCCACCAATGGCCTCAAAGTGCTTGAAATCTCCCCTTGCAAATTCCACAGACAAGTGTTTCAAATCTGCACTGTCTAAAGGAAGGTTCAACCCTGTGAGTTGAATACACACACACAGAAAAAAATTCACTGAGAATTCTATTGTCTATCATTACACGAAGAAATCCCGTTTACTACGAAGGCCTCAAAGAGGTCCAAATATCCAGCTGCAGACATTACAAACTGAGTGTTTCCAAAGTGCTCTATGAAAAGAAGTGTTAAACACTGTGAATTCAATGCACACATCCCAAAGCAGTTTCTGAGAATGATTCCGTCTATTTTTTCTACGAAGATATTTCCTTTTCTACCGTTGGCCTCAAAGCGCCTGAAATCTCCACTTGCAAATTCCACAAAAAGAGAGTATCAAATCTGCTCTGTCTAAAGGAAGGTTCAACTCTGTGAGTTGAATACACACCACAAAAAGAAGTTACTGAGAATTCTTCTGTCTAGCATTATATGAAAAATCCCGTTTCCAACGAAGGCCACAAAGAGGTCCAAATATCCACTTGCAGATTCTGCAAAAAGAGTGTTTCCAAACTGCTCTATGAAAAGAAACGTTAAACTCTGTGAGTTGAACGCAAACATCACAAAGTAGTTTCTGAGAATGACTCCGTCTAGTTTTTATACGAAGATATTTCCTTTCCTACCATTCACTTCAAAGCGCTTGAAGTCTCCCCCTGAAAATTCCACAAAAAGTGTTTCCAATCTGCTCCGCCTAAAGGAAGCTTCAACTCTGTGACTTGAATACCCACAACCCAAAGAAGTTACTGAGAATTCTTCTGTCTAGCATTATATGAAGAAATCCCGTTTCCAACGAAGGCCTCAAATACATCCAAATATCCAGTTGCTGACTTTACAAACTGAGTGTTTCCAAACTGCTCTATGAAAAGAAAGGTTAAACACTGTGAGTTGAACACACACGTACCAAAGTAGTTTCTGAGACTGATTCTGTCTAGTTTGCATACGAAGATATTTCGTTTTCTACCATTGGCCTCAAAGCTCCGAAATCTCCACTTGCAAATTCCACAAAAAGAGAGTTTCAAATCTGCTGTTTCTAAAGGAAAGTTCAACTCTGAGAGTTGAATACACACCAGAAAAAGCAGTTACTGAGAAGTCTTCTGTCTAGCATTATATGAAGAAATCCCATTTCCAACGAAGACTTCAAAGAGGTCCAAATATCCACTTGCAGATTCTGCAAAAAGAGTGTTTCGAAACAACTGTATGAAAAGAAAGGTTAAACACTGTGAGTTGAACGCACACATTGCAAAGCGGTTTCTGAGAATGATTCCGTCTAATTATTATACGAAGGTATTTCCTTTTCTATCATTGGCCTCAAAGCGCTTGATACCTCCACCTGAAAATTCCACAAAAAGAGTGTTTCCAATCTACTCTGTCTAAAGGAACGTTCAACTCTGTGAGTTGAATACACACACACAGAAAGAATTCACTGAGAATTCTTCTGTCTGGCATTACATGAAGAAATCCCGTTTCCAACGAAGGCCTCAAAGAGGTCCAAATATCCACTTGCAGATTCTGCAAAAAGAGTGTTTCAAAACCGCTCCATTAAAAGGAATGTTGAACTCTGTGAGTTGAATGCAAACATCACAACTCAGTTTCTGAGAATGCTTCTGACTAGATTTTATGGTAAGATATTTCCTTTTCTACCGTAGGCTTCAATGCCCTCTAAATACACCCTTGCAAATTCTACAAAGAGACTGTTTCATAACTGCTCTATAGGAAGAAAGGTTGAACTCTGTGAGTTGAATGCAGAGATCACAACTTGGTTTCTGCGAATGATTCTTTGTAGTTTTTACATGAAGATATTTCGTTGTCAACCGTAGGCTTCAAAGCACTCAAAGTATTCACTTGGAACTTTTACAAAAAGAGTGTTAGAAAACTGCTCTTTCCAAAGTAAGGTTCAACTCTGTGAGTTGAATGCACACATAACAATCAAGAAGTTTCTGAGAATTCTTCTGTCCTGGTTTATATGAAGAAATCCCGTTTCCAACGAAGGCCTCAAAGACGTTTAAATATCCACTTGCAGACTTCACAAACAGAGTGTTTCCAAACTGCTCTATGAAAAGAAAGGTTAAACTACTGTGAGTTGAACGCACACATCACAAAGTAGTTTACTGAGAATGATAACTGTCTAGTTTTTATACGAAGATATTTCCTTTCTACCATTGGCGTCAAAGCGCTAGAATTCTCCACTTGCAAATTCCACAAAAAGAGTGTTTCCAATCTGCTCTGTCTAAAGGAAGGTTCAACTCTGTGAGTTGAGTACACACACACAAAGAAGCTACTGAGAATTCTTTTGTCAAGAATTATAAGAAGAAATCCCGTTTCCAACGAAGGCCTCAAAGAGTTCCAAATATCCACTTGCACACTGCACAAACTAAGTCTTTCCAAACTGCTCTATGCAAAGAAATGTTCAACTCTGTGAGTTTAATACACACATCACAAAGCAGTTTCTGAGAATGATACTGTCTAGTTTTTATACGAAGATATTTCCTTTTGTACCATTGACCTCATACTGCTAGAATTTTCCACTTGCAAATTCCACAAAAAGAGTGTTTCCAATCCGCTCTGTCTAAAGGAAGGTTCAACTCTCTGATTTGAATACATACATCCCAAAAGAAGTTACTGAGAATTCTTCTGTCTAGCATTATGTGAAGAAATCCCGTTTCCAACGAAAGCCTCAAAGAGGTCCAAATATCCAGTTGCAGAATTTACAAACTGACTGTTTCCAAACTCATCTATGAAAAGAAAGGTTAAACTCTGTGAGTTGAATGCACATATCACAAAGTAGTTCCTGAGAATGATTCTGTCTAGTTTTTATACGAAGATATTTCCTTTTCCACCAATGGCCTCAAAGTGCTTGAAATCTCCCCTTGCAAATTCCACAGACAAGTGTTTCAAATCTGCACTGTCTAAAGGAAGGTTCAACCCTGTGAGTTGAATACACACACACAGAAAAAAATTCACTGAGTATTCTATTGTCTATCATTACACGAAGAAATCCCGTTTACTACGAAGGCCTCAAAGAGGTCCAAATATCCAGCTGCAGACATTACAAACTGAGTGTTTCCAAAGTGCTCTATGAAAAGAAGTGTTAAACACTGTGAGTTCAATGCACACATCCCAAAGCAGTTTCTGAGAATGATTCCGTCTATTTTTTCTACGAAGATATTTCCTTTTCTGCCGTTGGCCTCAAAGCGCTTGAAATCTCCACTTGCAAATTCCACAAAAAGAGAGTTTCAAATCTGCTCTGTCTAAAGGAAGGTTCAACTCTGTGAGTTGAATACACACCACAAAAAGAAGTTACTGAGAATTCTTCTGTCTAGCATTATATGAAAAATCCCGTTTCCAACGAAGGCCACAAAGAGGTCCAAATATCCACTTGCAGATTCTGCAAAAAGAGTGTTTCCAAACTGCTCTATGAAAAGAAACGTTAAACTCTGTGAGTTGAACGCAAACATCACAAAGTAGTTTCTGAGAATGACTCCGTCTAGTTTTTATACGAAGATATTTCCTTTCCTACCATTCACTTCAAAGCGCTTGAAGTCTCCCCCTGAAAATTCCACAAAAAGTGTTTCCAATCTGCTCCGCCTAAAGGAAGCTTCAACTCTGTGAGTTGAATACCCACAACCCAAAGAAGTTACTGAGAATTCTTCTGTCTAGCATTATATGAAGAAATCCCGTTTCCAACGAAGGCCTCAAATACATCCAAATATCCAGTTGCTGACTTTACAAACTGAGTGTTTCCAAACTGCTCTATGAAAAGAAAGGTTAAACACTGTGAGTTGAACACACACGTACCAAAGTAGTTTCTGAGAATGATTCTGTCTAGTTTGCATACGAAGATATTTCCTTTTCTACCATTGGCCTCAAAGCTCCGAAATCTCCACTTGCAAATTCCACAAAAAGAGAGTTTCAAATCTGCTGTTTCTAAAGGAAAGTTCAACTCTGAGAGTTCAATACACACCAGAAAAAGCAGTTACTGAGAAGTCTTCTGTCTAGCATTATATGAAGAAATCCCATTTCCAACGAAGACTTCAAAGAGGTCCAAATATCCACTTGCAGATTCTGCAAAAAGAGTGTTTCGAAACAACTGTATGAAAAGAAAGGTTAAACACTGTGAGTTGAACGCACACATTGCAAAGCGGTTTCTGAGAATGATTCCGTCTAATTATTATACGAAGGTATTTCCTTTTCTATCATTGGCCTCAAAGCGCTTGATACCTCCACCTGAAAATTCCACAAAAAGAGTGTTTCCAATCTACTCTGTCTAAAGGAACGTTCAACTCTGTGAGTTGAATACACACACACAGAAAGAATTCACTGAGAATTCTTCTGTCTGGCATTACATGAAGAAATCCCGTTTCCAACGAAGGCCTCAAAGAGGTCCAAATATCCACTTGCAGATTCTGCAAAAAGAGTGTTTCAAAACCGCTCCATTAAAAGGAATGTTGAACTCTGTGAGTTGAATGCAAACATCACAACTCAGTTGCTGAGAATGCTTCTGACTAGATTTTATGGTAAGATATTTCCTTTTCTACCGTAGGCTTCAATGCCCTCTAAATACACCCTTGCAAATTCTACAAAGAGACTGTTTCATAACTGCTCTATAGGAAGAAAGGTTCAACTCTGTGAGTTGAATGCAGAGATCACAACGTGGTTTCTGCGAATGATTCTTTGTAGTTTTTACATGAAGATATTTCGTTGTCAACCGTAGGCTTCAAAGCACTCAAAGTATTCACTTGGAACTTTTACAAAAAGAGTGTTAGAAAACTGCTCTTTCCAAAGTAAGGTTCAACTCTGTGAGTTGAATGCACACATAACAATCAAGAAGTTTCTGAGAATTCTTCTGTCCTGGTTTATATGAAAAAATCCCGTTTCCAACGAAGGCCTCAAAGACGTTTAAATATCCACTTGCAGACTTCACAGAGTGTTTCCAAACTGCTCTATGAAAAGAAAGGTTAAACTCTGTGAGTTGAACGCACACATCACAAAGTAGTTTCTGAGAATGATACAGTCTAGTTTTTATACGAAGATATTTCCTTTCTACCATTGGCGTCAAAGCGCTAGAATTCTCCACTTGCAAATTCCACAAAAAGAGTGTTTCCAATCTGCTCTGTCTAAAGGAAGGTTCAACGCTGTGAGTTGAATACACACACACAAAGAAGCTACTGAGAATTCTTTTGTCAAGAATTATAAGAAGAAATCCCTTTTCCAACGAAGGCCTCAAAGAGTTCCAAATATCCACTTGCACACTGCACAAACTAAGTCTTTCCAAACTGCTCTATGCAAAGAAATGTTCAACTCTGTGAGTTTAATACACACATCACAAAGCAGTTTCTGAGAATGATACTGTCTAGTTTTTATACGAAGATATTTCCTTTTGTACCATTGGCCTCATACTGCTAGAATTTTCCACTTGCAAATTCCACAAAAAGAGTGTTTCCAATCCGCTCTGTCTAAAGGAAGGTTCAACTCTCTGATTTGAATACATACATCCCAAAAGAAGTTACTGAGAATTCTTCTGTCTAGCATTATGTGAAGAAATCCCGTTTCCAACGAATGCCTCAAAGAGGTCCAAATATCCAGTTGCAGAATTTACAAACTGACTGTTTCCAAACTCATCTATGAAAAGAAAGGTTAAACTCTGGGAGTTGAATGCACATATCACAAAGTAGTTCCTGAGAATGATTCTGTCTAGTTTTTATACGAAGATATTTCCTTTTCCACCAATGGCCTCAAAGTGCTTGAAATCTCCCCTTGCAAATTCCACAGACAAGTGTTTCAAATCTGCACTGTCTAAAGGAAGGTTCAACCCTGTGAGTTGAATACACACACACAGAAAAAAATTCACTGAGAATTCTATTGTCTATCATTACACGAAGAAATCCCGTTTACTACGAAGGCCTCAAAGAGGTCCAAATATCCAGCTGCAGACATTACAAACTGAGTGTTTCCAAAGTGCTCTATGAAAAGAAGTGTTAAACACTGTGAGTTCAATGCACACATCCCAAAGCAGTTTCTGAGAATGATTCCGTCAATTTTTTCTACGAAGATATTTCCTTTTCTGCCGTTGGCCTCAAAGCGCTTGAAATCTCCACTTGCAAATTCCACAAAAAGAGAGTTTCAAATCTGCTCTGTCTAAAGGAAGGTTCAATTCTGTGAGTTGAATACACACCACAAAAAGAAGTTACTGAGAATTCTTCTGTCTAGCATTATATGAAAAATCCCGTTTCCAACGAAGGCCACAAAGAGGTCCAAATATCCACTTGCAGATTCTGCAAAAAGAGTGTTTCCAAACTGCTCTATGAAAAGAAACGTTAAACTCTGTGAGTTGAACGCAAACATCACAAAGTAGTTTCTGAGAATGACTCCGTCTAGTTTTTATACGAAGATATTTCCTTTCCTACCATTCACTTCAAAGCGCTTGAAGTCTCCCCCTGAAAATTCCACAAAAAGTGTTTCCAATCTGCTCCGCCTAAAGGAAGCTTCAACTCTGTGACTTGAATACCCACAACCCAAAGAAAGAAGTTACTGAGAATTCTTCTGTCTAGCATTATATGAAGAAATCCCGTTTCCAACGAAGGCCTCAAATACATCCAAATATCCAGTTGCTGACTTTACAAACTGAGTGTTTCCAAACTGCTCTATGAAAAGAAAGGTTAAACACTGTGAGTTGAACACACACGTACCAAAGTAGTTTCTGAGAATGATTCTGTCTAGTTTGCATACGAAGATATTTCCTTTTCTACCATTGGCCTCAAAGCTCTGAAATCTCCACTTGCAAATTCCACAAAAAGAGAGTTTCAAATCTGCTGTTTCTAAAGGAAAGTTCAACTCTGAGAGTTGAATACACACCAGAAAAAGCAGTTACTGAGAAGTCTTCTGTCTAGCATTATATGAAGAAATCCCATTTCCAACGAAGACTTCAAAGAGGTCCAAATATCCACTTGCAGATTCTGCAAAAAGAGTGTTTCGAAACAACTGTATGAAAAGAAAGGTTAAACACTGTGAGTTGAACGCACACATTGCAAAGCAGTTTCTGAGAATGATTCCGTCTAATTATTATACGAAGGTATTTCCTTTTCTATCATTGGCCTCAAAGCGCTTGATACCTCCACCTGAAAATTCCACAAAAAGAGTGTTTCCAATCTACTCTGTCTAAAGGAACGTTCAACTCCGTGAGTTGAATACACACACACAGAAAGAATTCACTGAGAATTCTTCTGTCTGGCATTACATGAAGAAATCCCGTTTCCAACGAAGGCCTCAAAGAGGTCCAAATATCCACTTGCAGATTCTGCAAAAAGAGTGTTTCAGAACCGCTCCATTAAAAGGAATGTTGAACTCTGTGAGTTGAATGCAAACATCACAACTCAGTTTCTGAGAATGCTTCTGACTAGATTTTATGGTAAGATATTTCCTTTTCTACCGTAGGCTTCAATGCCCTGTAAATACACCCTTGCAAATTCTACAAAGAGACTGTTTCATAACTGCTCTATAGGAGGAAAGGTTCAACTCTGTGAGTTGAATGCAGAGATCACAACGTGGTTTCTGCGAATGATTCTTTGTAGTTTTTACATGAAGATATTTCGTTGTCTACCGTAGGCTTCAAAGCACTCAAAGTATTCACTTGGAACTTTTACAAAAAGAGTGTTAGAAAACTGCTCTTTCCAAAGTAAGGTTCAACTCTGTGAGTTGAATGCACACATAACAAACAAGAAGTTTCTGAGAATTCTTCTGTCCTGGTTTATATGAAGAAATCCCGTTTCCAACGAAGGCCTCAAAGACGTTTAAATATCCACTTGCAGACTTCACAAACAGAGTGTTTCCAAACTGCTCTATGAAAAGAAAGGGTAAACACTGTGAGTTGAACGCACACCTCACAAAGTAGTTTCTGAGAATGATACTGTCTAGTTTTTATACGAAGATATTTCCTTTTGTACCATTGGCCTCATACTGCTAGAATTTTCCACTTGCAAATTCCACAAAAAGAATATTTCCAATCTGCTCTGTCTAAAGGAAGGTTCAACTCTGTGAGTTGAGTACACACACACAAAGAAGCTACTGAGAATTCTTTTGTCAAGAATTATAAGAAGAAATCCCGTTTCCAACGAAGGCCTCAAAGAGTTCCAAATATCCACTTGCACACTGTACAAACTAAGTCTTTCCAAACTGCTCTATGCAAAGAAATGTTCAACCCTGTGAGTTTAATGCACACATCAGAAAGCAGTTTCTGAGAATGATACTGTCTAGTTTTTATACGAAGATATTTCCTTTTGTACCATTGGCCTCATACTGCTAGAATTTTCCACTTGCAAATTCCACAAAAAGAGTGTTTCCAATCCGCTCTGTCTAAAGGAAGGTTCAACTCTCTGATTTGAATACATACATCCCAAAAGAATTTACTGAGAATTCTTCTGTCTAGCATTATGTGAAGAAATCCCGTTTCCAACGAAAGCCTCAAAGAGGTCCAAATATCCAGTTGCAGAATTTACAAACTGACTGTTTCCAAACTCATCTATGAAAAGAAAGGTTGAACTCTGGGAGTTGAATGCACATATCACAAAGTAGTTCCTGAGAATGATTCTGTCTAGTTTTCATACGAAGATATTTCCTTTTCCACCAATGGCCTCAAAGTGCTTGAAATCTCCCCTTGCAAATTCCACAGACAAGTGTTTCAAATCTGCACTGTCTGAAGGAAGGTTCATCCCTGTGAGTTGAATACACACACACAGAAAAAAATTCACTGAGAATTCTATTGTCTATCATTACACGAAGAAATCCCGTTTACTACGAAGGCCTCAAAGAGGTCCAAATATCCAGCTGCAGACATTACAAACTGAGTGTTTCCAAAGTGCTCTATGAAAAGAAGTGTTAAACACTGTGAGTTCAATGCACACATCCCAAAGCAGTTTCTGAGAATGATTCCGTCTATTTTTTCTACGAAGATATTTCCTTTTCTACCGTTGGCCTCAAAGCGCTTGAAATCTCCACTTGCAAATTCCACAAAAAGAGAGTTTCAAATCTGCTCTGTCTAAAGGAAGGTTCAACTCTGTGAGTTGAATACACACCACAAAAAGAAGTTACTGAGAATTCTTCTGTCTAGCATTATATGAAAAATCCCGTTTCCAACGAAGGCCACAAAGAGGTCCAAATATCCACTTGCAGATTCTGCAAAAAGAGTGTTTCCAAACTGCTCTATGAAAAGAAACGTTAAACTCTGTGAGTTGAACGCAAACATCACAAAGTAGTTTCTGAGAATGACTCCGTCTAGTTTTTATACGAAGATATTTCCTTTCCTACCATTCACTTCAAAGCGCTTGAAGTCTCCCCCTGAAAATTCCACAAAAAGTGTTTCCAATCTGCTCCGCCTAAAGGAAGCTTCAACTCTGTGACTTGAATACCCACAACCCAAAGAAGTTACTGAGAATTCTTCTGTCTAGCATTATATGAAGAAATCCCGTTTCCAACGAAGGCCTCAAATACATCCAAATATCCAGTTGCTGACTTTACAAACTGAGTGTTTCCAAACTGCTCTATGAAAAGAAAGGTTAAACACTGTGAGTTGAACACACACGTACCAAAGTAGTTTCTGAGAATGATTCTGTCTAGTTTGCATACGAAGATATTTCCTTTTCTACCATTGGCCTCAAAGCTTTGAAATCTCCACTTGCAAATTCCACAAAAAGAGAGTTTCAACTCTGCTGTTTCTAAAGGAAAGTTCAACTCTGAGAGTTGAATACACACCAGAAAAAGCAGTTACTGAGAAGTCTTCTGTCTAGCATTATATGAAGAAATCCCATTTCCAACGAAGACTTCAAAGAGGTCCAAATATCCACTTGCAGATTCTGCAAAAAGAGTGTTTCGAAACAACTGTATGAAAAGAAAGGTTAAACACTGTGAGTTGAACGCACACATTGCAAAGCAGTTTCTGAGAATGATTCCGTCTAATTATTATACGAAGGTATTTCCTTTTCTATCATTGGCCTCAAAGCACTTGATACCTCCACCTGAAAATTCCACAAAAAGAGTGTTTCCAATCTACTCTGTCTAAAGGAACGTTCAACTCTGTGAGTTGAATACACACACACAGAAAGAATTCACTGAGAATTCTTCTGTCTGGCATTACATGAAGAAATCCCGTTTCCAACGAAGGCCTCAAAGAGGTCCAAATATCCACTTGCAGATTCTGCAAAAAGAGTGTTTCAAAACCGCTCCATTAAAAGGAATGTTGAACTCTGTGAGTTGAATGCAAACATCACAACTCAGTTTCTGAGAATGCTTCTGACTAGATTTTATGGTAAGATATTTCCTTTTCTACCGTAGGCTTCAATGCCCTCTAAATACACCCTTGCAAATTCTACAAAGAGTCTGTTTCATAACTGCTCTATAGGAAGAAAGGTTCAACTCTGTGAGTTGAATACAGAGATCACAACGTGGTTTCTGCGAATGATTCTTTGTAGTTTTTACATGAAGATATTTCGTTGTCAACCGTAGGCTTCAAAGCACTCAAAGTATTCACTTGGAACTTTTACAAAAAGAGTGTTAGAAAACTGCTCTTTCCAAAGTAAGGTTCAACTCTGTGAGTTGAATGCACACATAACAATCAAGAAGTTTCTGAGAATTCTTCTGTCCTGGTTTATATGAAAAAATCCCGTTTCCAACGAAGGCCTCAAAGACGTTTAAATATCCACTTGCAGACTTCACAAACAGAGGGTTTCCAAACTGCTCTATGAAAAGAAAGGTTAAACTCTGTGAGTTGAACGCACACATCACAAAGTAGTTTTTGAGAATGATACTGTCTAGTTTTTATACGAAGATATTTCCTTTCTACCATTGGCGTCAAAGCGCTAGAATTCTCCACTTGCAAATTCCACAAAAAGAGTGTTTCCAATCTGCTCTGTCTAAAGGAAGGTTCAACTCTGTGAGTTGAATACACACACACAAAGAAGCTACTGAGAATTCTTTTGTCAAGAATTATAAGAAGAAATCCCGTTTCCAACGAAGGCCTCAAAGAGTTCCAAATATCCACTTGCACACTGCACAAACTAAGTCTTTCCAAACTGCTCTATGCAAAGAAATGTTGAACTCTGTGAGTTTAATACACACATCACAAAGCAGTTTCTGAGAATGATACTGTCTAGTTTTTATACGAAGATATTTCCTTTTGTACCATTGGCCTCATACTGCTAGAATTTTCCACTTGCAAATTCCACAAAAAGAGTGTTTCCAATCCGCTCTGTCTAAAGGAAGGTTCAACTCTCTGATTTGAATACATACATCCCAAAAGAAGTTACTGAGAATTCTTCTGTCTAGCATTATGTGAAGAAATCCCGTTTCCAACGAAAGCCTCAAAGAGGTCCAAATATCCAGTTGCAGAATTTACAAACTGACTGTTTCCAAACTCATCTATGAAAAGAAAGGTTAAACTCTGTGAGTTGAATGCACATATCACAAAGTAGTTCCTGAGAATGATTCTGTCTAGTTTTTATACGAAGATATTTCCTTTTCCACCAATGGCCTCAAAGTGCTTGAAATCTCCCCTTGCAAATTCCACAGAAAAGTGTTTCAAATCTGCACTGTCTGAAGGAAGGTTCAACCCTGTGAGTTGAATACACACACACAGAAAAAAATTCACTGAGAATTCTATTGTCTATCATTACACGAAGAAATCCCGTTTACCACGAAGGCCTCAAAGAGGTCCAAATATCCAGCTGCAGACATTACAAACTGAGTGTTTCCAAAGTGCTCTATGAAAAGAAGTGTTAAACACTGTGAGTTCAATGCACACATCCCAAAGCAGATTCTGAGAATGATTCCGTCTATTTTTTCTACGAAGATATTTCCTTTTCTGCCGTTGGCCTCAAAGCGCTTGAAATCTCCACTTGCAAATTCCACAAAAAGAGAGTTTCAAATCTGCTCTGTCTAAAGGAAGGTTCAACTCTGTGAGTTGAATACACACCACAAAAAGAAGTTACTGAGAATTCTTCTGTCTAGCATTATATGAAAAATCCCGTTTCCAACGAAGGCCACAAAGGAGGTCCAAATATCCACTTGCAGATTCTGCAAAAAGAGTGTTTCCAAACTGCTCTATGAAAAGAAACGTTAAACTCTGTGAGTTGAACGCAAACATCACAAAGTAGTTTCTGAGAATGACTCCGTCTAGTTTTTATACGAAGATATTTCCTTTTCTACCATTCACTTCAAAGCGCTTGAAGTCTCCCCCTGAAAATTCCACAAAAAGTGTTTCCAATCTGCTCCGCCTAAAGGAAGCTTCAACTCTGTGAGTTGAATACCCACAACCCAAAGAAGTTACTGAGAATTCTTCTGTCTAGCATTATATGAAGAAATCCCGTTTCCAACGAAGGCCTCAAATACATCCAAATATCCAGTTGCTGACTTTACAAACTGAGTGTTTCCAAACTGCTCTATGAAAAGAAAGGTTAAACACTGTGAGTTGAACACACACGTACCAAAGTAGTTTCTGAGAATGATTCTGTCTAGTTTGCATACGAAGATATTTCCTTTTCTACCATTGGCCTCAAAGCTTTGAAATCTCCACTTGCAAATTCCACAAAAAGAGAGTTTCAACTCTGCTGTTTCTAAAGGAAAGTTCAACTCTGAGAGTTGAATACACACCAGAAAAAGCAGTTACTGAGAAGTCTTCTGTCTAGCATTATATGAAGATATCCCATTTCCAACGAAGACTTCAAAGAGGTCCAAATATCCACTTGCAGATTCTGCAAAAAGAGTGTTTCGAAACAACTGTATGAAAAGAAAGGTTAAACACTGTGAGTTGAACGCACACATTGCAAAGCAGTTTCTGAGAATGATTCCGTCTAATTATTATACGAAGGTATTTCCTTTTCTATCATTGGCCTCAAAGCGCTTGATACCTCCACCTGAAAATTCCACAAAAAGAGTGTTTCCAATCTACTCTGTCTAAAGGAACGTTCAACTCTGTGAGTTGAATACACACACACAGAAAGAATTCACTGAGAATTCTTCTGTCTGGCATTACATGAAGAAATCCCGTTTCCAACGAAGGCCTCAAAGAGGTCCAAATATCCACTTGCAGATTCTGCAAAAAGAGTGTTTCAAAACCGCTCCATTAAAAGGAATGTTGAACTCTGTGAGTTGAATGCAAACATCACAACTCAGTTTCTGAGAATGCTTCTGACTAGATTTTATGGTAAGATATTTCCTTTTCTACCGTAGGCTTCAATGCCCTCTAAATACACCCTTGCAAATTCTACAAAGAGACTGTTTCATAACTGCTCTATAGGAAGAAAGGTTGAACTCTGTGAGTTGAATGCAGAGATCACAACGTGGTTTCTGCGAATGATTCTTTGTAGTTTTTACAGGAAGATATTTCATTGTCAACCGTAGGCTTCAAAGCACTCAAAGTATTCACTTGGAACTTTTACAAAAAGAGTGTTAGAAAACTGCTCTTTCCAAAGTAAGGTTCAACTCTGTGAGTTGAATGCACACATAAGAATGAAGAAGTTTCTGAGAATTCTTCTGTCCTGGTTTATATGAAAAAATCCCGTTTCCAACGAAGGCCTCAAAGACGTTTAAATATCCACTTGCAGACTTCACAAACAGAGGGTTTCCAAACTGCTCTATGAAAAGAAAGGTTAAACTCTGTGAGTTGAACGCACACATCACAAAGTAGCTTCTGAGAATGATTACTGTCTAGTTTTTATACGAAGATATTTCCTTTCTACCATTGGCGTCAAAGCGCTAGAATTCTCCACTTGCAAATTCCACAAAAAGAGTGTTTCCAATCTGCTCTGTCTAAAGGAAGGTTCAACTCTGTGAGTTGAATACACACACACAAAGAAGCTACTGAGAATTCTTTTGTCAAGAATTATAAGAAGAAATCCCGTTTCCAAAGAAGGCCTCAAAGAGTTCCAAATATCCACTTGCACACTGCACAAACTAAGTCTTTCCAAACTGCTCTATGCAAAGAAATGTTCAACTCTGTGAGTTTAATACACACATCACAAAGCAGTTTCTGAGAATGATACTGTCTAGTTTTTATACGAAGATATTTCCTTTTGTACCATTGGCCTCATACTGCTAGAATTTTCCACTTGCAAATTCCACAAAAAGAGTGTTTCCAATCCGCTCTGTCTAAAGGAAGGTTCAACTCTCTGATTTGAATACATACATCCCAAAAGAAGTTACTGAGAATTCTTCTGTCTAGCATTATGTGAAGAAATCCCGTTTCCAACGAAAGCCTCCAAGAGGTCCAAATATCCAGTTGCAGAATTTACAAACTGACTGTTTCCAAACTCATCTATGAAAAGAAAGGTTAAACTCTGTGAGTTGAATGCACATATCACAAAGTAGTTCCTGAGAATGATTCTGTCTAGTTTTTATTCGAAGATATTTCCTTTTCCACCAATGGCCTCAAAGTGCTTGAAATCTCCCCTTGCAAATTCCACAGAAAAGTGTTTCAAATCTGCACTGTCTAAAGGAAGGTTCAACCCTGTGAGTTGAATACACACACACAGAAAAAAATTCACTGAGAATTCTATTGTCTATCATTACACGAAGAAATCCCGTTTACTACGAAGGCCTCAAAGAGGTCCAAATATCCAGCTGCAGACATTACAAACTGAGTGTTTCCAAAGTGCTCTATGAAAAGAAGTGTTAAACACTGTGAGTTCAATGCACACATCCCAAAGCAGTTTCTGAGAATGATTCCGTCTATTTTTTCTACGAAGATATTTCCTTTTCTACCGTTGGCCTCAAAGCGCTTGAAGTCTCCACTTGCAAATTCCACAAAAAGAGAGTTTCAAATCTGCTCTGTCTAAAGGAAGGTTCAACTCTGTGAGTTGAATACACACCACAAAAAGAAGTTACTGAGAATTCTTCTGTCTAGCATTATATGAAAAATCCCGTTTCCAACGAAGGCCACAAAGAGGTCCAAATATCCACTTGCAGATTCTGCAAAAAGAGTGTTTCCAAACTGCTCTATGAAAAGAAACGTTAAACTCTGTGAGTTGAACGCAAACATCACAAAGTAGTTTCTGAGAATGACTCCGTCTAGTTTTTATACGAAGATATTTCCTTTCCTACCATTCACTTCAAAGCGCTTGAAGTCTCCCCCTGAAAATTCCACAAAAAGTGTTTCCAATCTGCTCCGCCTAAAGGAAGCTTCAACTCTGTGAGTTGAATCCCCACAACCCAAAGAAGTTACTGAGAATTCTTCTGTCTAGCATTATATGAAGAAATCCCGTTTCCAACGAAGGCCTCAAATACATCCAAATATCCAGTGGCTGACTTTACAAACTGAGTGTTTCCAAACTGCTCTATGAAAAGAAAGGTTAAACACTGTGAGTTGAACACACACGTACCAAAGTAGTTTCTGAGAATGATTCTGTCTAGTTTGCATACGAAGATATTTCCTTTTCTACCATTGGCCTCAAAGCTCTGAAATCTCCACTTGCAAATTCCACAAAAAGAGAGTTTCAAATCTGCTGTTTCTAAAGGAAAGTTCAACTCTGAGAGTTGAATACACACCAGAAAAAGCAGTTACTGAGAAGTCTTCTGTCTAGCATTATATGAAGAAATCCCATTTCCAACGAAGACTTCAAAGAAGTCCAAATATCCACTTGCAGATTCTGCAAAAAGAGTGTTTCGAAACAACTGTATGAAAAGAAAGGTTAAACACTGTGAGTTGAACGCACACATTGCAAAGCAGTTTCTGAGAATGATTCCGTCTAATTATTATACGAAGGTATTTCCTTTTCTATCATTGGCCTCAAAGCGCTTGATACCTCCACCTGAAAATTCCACAAAAAGAGTGTTTCCAATCTACTCTGTCTAAAGGAACGTTCAACTCTGTGAGTTGAATACACACACACAGAAAGAATTCACTGAGAATTCTTCTGTCTGGCATTACATGAAGAAATCCCGTTTCCAACGAAGGCCTCAAAGAGGTCCAAATATCCACTTGCAGATTCTGCAAAAAGAGTGTTTCAAAACCGCTCCATTAAAAGGAATGTTGAACTCTGTGAGTTGAATGCAAACATCACAACTCAGTTTCTGAGAATGCTTCTGACTAGATTTTATGGTAAGATATTTCCTTTTCTACCGTAGGCTTCAATGCCCTCTAAATACACCCTTGCAAATTCTACAAAGAGACTGTTTCATAACTGCTCTATAGGAAGAAAGGTTCAACTCTGTGAGTTGAATGCAGAGATCACAACGTGGTTTCTGCGAATGATTCTTTGTAGTTTTTACATGAAGATATTTCGTTGTCAACCGTAGGCTTCAAAGCACTCAAAGTATTCACTTGGAACTTTTACAAAAAGAGTGTTAGAAAACTGCTCTTTCCAAAGTAAGGTTCAACTCTGTGAGTTGAATGCACACATAACAATCAAGAAGTTTCTGAGAATTCTTCTGTCCTGGTTTATATGAAAAAATCCCGTTTCCAACGAAGGCCTCAAAGACGTTTAAATATCCACTTGCAGACTTCACAAACAGAGGGTTTCCAAACTGCTCTATGAAAAGAAAGGTTAAACTCTGTGAGTTGAACGCACACATCACAAAGTAGCTTCTGAGAATGATACAGTCTAGTTTTTATACGAAGATATTTCCTTTCTACCATTGGCGTCAAAGCGCTAGAATTCTCCACTTGCAAATTCCACAAAAAGAGTGTTTCCAATCTGCTCTGTCTAAAGGAAGGTTCAACTCTGTGAGTTGAATACACACACACAAAGAAGCTACTGAGAATTCTTTTGTCAAGAATTATAAGAAGAAATCCCATTTCCAACGAAGGCCTCAAAGAGTTCCAAATATCCACTTGCACACTGCACAAACTAAGTCTTTCCAAACTGCTCTATGCAAAGAAATGTTCAACTCTGTGAGTTTAATACGCACATCACAAAGCAGTTTCTGAGAATGATACTGTCTAGTTTTTATACGAAGATATTTCCTTTTGTACCATTGGCCTCATACTGCTAGAATTTTCCACTTGCAAATTCCACAAAAAGAGTGTTTCCAATCCGCTCTGTCTAAAGGAAGGTTCAACTCTCTGATTTGAATACATACATCCCAAAAGAAGTTACTGAGAATTCTTCTGTCTAGCATTATGTGAAGAAATCCCGTTTCCAACGAAAGCCTCAAAGAGGTCCAAATATCCCAGTTGCAGAATTTACAAACTGACTGTTTCCAAACTCATCTATGAAAAGAAAGGTTAAACTCTGTGAGTTGAATGCACATATCACAAAGTAGTTCCTGAGAATGATTCTGTCTAGTTTTCATACGAAGATATTTCCTTTTCCACCAATGGCCTCAAAGTGCTTGAAATCTCCCCTTGCAAATTCCACAGACAAGTGTTTCAAATCTGCACTGTCTAAAGGATGGTTCAACCCTGTGAGTTGAATACACACACACAGAAAAAAATTCACTGAGAATTCTATTGTCTATCATTACACGAAGAAATCCCGTTTACTACGAAGGCCTCAAAGAGGTCCAAATATCCAGCTGCAGACATTATAAACTGAGTGTTTCCAAAGTGCTCTATGAAAAGAAGTGTTAAACACTGTGAGTTCAATGCACACATCCCAAAGCAGTTTCTGAGAATGATCCGTCTATTTTTTCTACGAAGATATTTCCTTTTCTGCCGTTGGCCTCAAAGCGCTTGAAATCTCCACTTGCAAATTCCACAAAAAGAGAGTTTCAAATCTGCTCTGTCTAAAGGAAGGTTCAACTCTGTGAGTTGAATACACACCACAAAAAGAAGTTACTGAGAATTCTTCTGTCTAGCATTATATGAAAAATCCCGTTTCCAACGAAGGCCACAAAGAGGTCCAAATATCCACTTGCAGATTCTGCAAAAAGAGTGTTTCCAAACTGCTCTATGAAAAGAAACGTTAAACTCTGTGAGTTGAACGCAAACATCACAAAGTAGTTTCTGAGAATGACTCCGTCTAGTTTTTATACGAAGATATTTCCTTTTCTACCATTCACTTCAAAGCGCTTGAAGTCTCCCCCTGAAAATTCCACAAAAAGTGTTTCCAATCTGCTCCGCCTAAAGGAAGCTTCAACTCTGTGAGTTGAATACCCACAACCCAAAGAAGTTACTGAGAATTCTTCTGTCTAGCATTATATGAAGAAATCCCGTTTCCAACGAAGGCCTCAAATACATCCAAATATCCAGTTGCTGACTTTACAAACTGAGTGTTTCCAAACTGCTCTATGAAAAGAAAGGTTAAACACTGTGAGTTGAACACACACGTACCAAAGTAGTTTCTGAGAATGATTCTGTCTAGTTTGCATACGAAGATATTTCCTTTTCTACCATTGGCCTCAAAGCTTTGAAATCTCCACTTGCAAATTCCACAAAAAGAGAGTTTCAACTCTGCTGTTTCTAAAGGAAAGTTCAACTCTGAGAGTTGAATACACACCAGAAAAAGCAGTTACTGAGAAGTCTTCTGTCTAGCATTATATGAAGAAATCCCATTTCCAACGAAGACTTCAAAGAGGTCCAAATATCCACTTGCAGATTCTGCAAAAAGAGTGTTTCGAGACAACTGTATGAAAAGAAAGGTTAAACACTGTGAGTTGAACGCACACATTGCAAAGCAGTTTCTGAGAATGATTCCGTCTAATTATTATACGAAGGTATTTCCTTTTCTATCATTGGCCTCAAAGCGCTTGATACCTCCACCTGAAAATTCCACAAAAAGAGTGTTTCCAATCTACTCTGTCTAAAGGAACGTTCAACTCTGTGAGTTGAATACACACACACAGAAAGAATTCACTGAGAATTCTTCTGTCTGGCATTACATGAAGAAATCCCGTTTCCAACGAAGGCCTCAAAGAGGTCCAAATATCCACTTGCAGATTCTGCAAAAAGAGTGTTTCAAAACCGCTCCATTAAAAGGAATGTTGAACTCTGTGAGTTGAATGCAAACATCACAACTCAGTTTCTGAGAATGCTTCTGACTAGATTTTATGGTAAGATATTTCCTTTTCTACCGTAGGCTTCAATGCCCTGTAAATACACCCTTGCAAATTCTACAAAGAGACTGTTTCATAACTGCTCTATAGGAGGAAAGGTTCAACTCTGTGAGTTGAATGCAGAGATCACAACGTGGTTTCTGCGAATGATTCTTTGTAGTTTTTACATGAAGATATTTCGTTGTCTACCGTAGGCTTCAAAGCACTCAAAGTATTCACTTGGAACTTTCACAAAAAGAGTGTTAGAAAACTGCTCTTTCCAAAGTAAGGTTCAACTCTGTGAGTTGAATGCACACATAACAAACAAGAAGTTTCTGAGAATTCTTCTGTCCTGGTTTATAGGAAAAAATCCCGTTTCCAACGAAGGCCTCAAAGACGTTTAAATATCCACTTGCAGACTTCACAAACAGAGTGTTTCCAAACTGCTCTATGAAAAGAAAGGTTAAACTCTGTGAGTTGAACGCACACATCACAAAGTAGTTTCTGAGAATGATACTGTCTAGTTTTTATACGAAGATATTTCCTTTTGTACCATTGGCCTCATACTGCTAGAATTTTCCACTTGCAAATTCCACAAAAAGAGTGTTTCCAATCTGCTCTGTCTAAAGGAAGGTTCAACTCTGTGAGTTGAGTACACACACACAAAGAAGCTACTGAGAATTCTTTTGTCAAGAATTATAAGAAGAAATCCCGTTTCCAACGAAGGCCTCAAAGAGTTCCAAATATCCACTTGCACACTGCACAAACTCTTTCCACACTGCTCTATGCAAAGAAATGTTCAACTCTGTGAGTTTAATACACACATCACAAAGCAGTTTCTGAGAATGATACTGTCTAGTTTTTATACGAAGATATTTCCTTTTGTACCATTGGCCTCATACTGCTAGAATTTTCCACTTGCAAATTCCACAAAAAGAGTGTTTCCAATCCGCTCTGTCTAAAGGAAGGTTCAAATCTCTGATTTGAATACATACATCCCAAAAGAAGTTACTGAGAATTCTTCTGTCTAGCATTATGTGAAGAAATCCCGTTTCCAACGAAAGCCTCAAAGAGGCCCAAATATCCA
Organism: Homo sapiens; assembly: GCF_000001405.40. Taxonomy (NCBI): domain Eukaryota; kingdom Metazoa; phylum Chordata; class Mammalia; order Primates; family Hominidae; genus Homo; species Homo sapiens. The sequence goes on along the minus strand of NC_000003.12, from coordinate 93,171,996 downwards.
GTTGCAGCATTTACAAACTGACTGTTTACAAACTCATCTATGAAAAGAAAGGTTAAACTCTGTGAGTTGAATGCACATATCACAAAGTAGTTCCTGAGAATGATTCTGTCTAGTTTTTATACGAAGATATTTCCTTTTCCACCAATGGCCTCAAAGTGCTTGAAATCTCCCCTTGCAAATTCCACAGACAAGTGTCTCAAATCTGCACTGTCTAAAGGAAGGTTCAACCCTGTGAGTTGAATACACACACACAGAAAAAAATTCACTGAGAATTCTATTGTCTATCATTACACGAAGAAATCCCGTTTACTACGAAGGCCTCAAAGAGGTCCAAATATCCAGCTGCAGACATTACAAACTGAGTGTTTCCAAAGTGCTCTATGAAAAGAAGTGTTAAACACTGTGAGTTCAATGCACACATCCCAAAGCAGTTTCTGAGAATGATTCCATCTATTTTTTCTACGAAGATATTTCCTTTTCTACCGTTGGCCTCAAAGCGCTTGAAATCTCCACTTGCAAATTCCACAAAAAGAGAGTTTCAAATCTGCTCTGTCTAAAGGAAGGTTCAACTCTGTGAGTTGAATACACACCACAAAAAGAAGTTACTGAGAATTCTTCTGTCTAGCATTATATGAAAAATCCCGTTTCCAACGAAGGCCACAAAGAGGTCCAAATATCCACTTGCAGATTCTGCAAAAAGAGTGTTTCCAAACTGCTCTATGAAAAGAAACGTTAAACTCTGTGAGTTGAACGCAAACATCACAAAGTAGTTTCTGAGAATGACTCCGTCTAGTTTTTATACGAAGATATTTCCTTTTCTACCGTTGGCCTCAAAGCGCTTGAAGTCTCCCCCTGAAAATTCCACAAAAAGTGTTTCCAATCTGCTCCGCCTAAAGGAAGCTTCAACTCTGTGAGTTGAATACCAACAACACAAAGAAGATACTGAGAATTCTTCTGTCTAGCATTATATGAAGAAATCCCGTTTCCAACGAAGGCCTCAAATACATCCAAATATCCAGTGGCTGAATTTACAAACTGAGTGTTTCCAAACTGCTCTATGAAAGGAAAGGTTAAACACTGTGAGTTGAACACACACGTACCAAAGTAGTTTCTGAGAATGATTCTGTCTAGTTTGCATACGAAGATATTTCCTTTTCTACCATTGGTCTCAAAGCTTTGAAATCTCCACTTGCAAATTCCACAAAAAGAGAGTTTCAAATCTGCTGTTTCTAAAGGAAAGTTCAACTCTGAGAGTTGAATACACACCAGAAAAAGCAGTTACTGAGAATTCTTCTGTCTAGCGTTATATGAAGAAATCCCATTTCCAACGAAGACTTCAAAGAGGTCCAAATATCCACTTGCAGATTCTGCAAAAAGAGTGTTTCGAAACAACTGTATGAAAAGAAAGGTTAAACGCTGTGAGTTGAAGGCACACATTGCAAAGCAGTTTCTGAGAATGATTCCGTCTAATTATTATACGAAAGTATTTCCTTTTCTATCATGGGCCTCAAAGCGCTTGATACCTCCACCTGAAAATTCCACAAAAAGAGTGTTTCCAATCTACTCTGTCTAAAGGAACGTTCAACTCTGTGAGTTGAATACACACACACAGAAGGAATTCACTGAGAGTTCTTCTGTCTGGCATTACATGAAGAAATCCCGTTTCCAACGAAGGCCTCAAAGAGGTCCAAATATCCACTTGCAGATTCTGCAAAAAGAGTGTTTCAAAACCGCTCCATTAAAAGGAATGTTGAACTCTGTGAGTTGAATGCAAACATCACAACTCAGTTTCTGAGAATGCTTCTGACTAGATTTTATGGTAAGATATTTCCTTTTCTACCGTAGGCTTCAATGCCCTCTAAATACACCCTTGCAAATTCTACAAAGAGACTGTTTCATAACTGCTCTATAGGAAGAAAGGTTCAACTCTGTGAGCTGAATGCAGAGATCACAACGTGGTTTCTGCGAATGATTCTTTGTAGTTTTTACATGAAGATATTTCGTTGTCAACCGTAGGCTTCAAAGCACTCAAAGTATTCACTTGGAACTTTTACAAAAAGAGTGTTAGAAAACTGCTCTTTCCAAAGTAAGGTTCAACTCTGTGAGTTGAATGCACACATAACAAAGAAGAAGTTTCTGAGAATTCTTCTGTCCTGGTTTATATGAAAAAATCCCGTTTCCAACGAAGGCCTCAAAGACGTTTAAATATCCACTTGCAGACTTCACAAACAGAGGGTTTCCAAACTGCTCTATGAAAAGAAAGGTTAAACTCTGTGAGTTGAACGCACACATCACAAAGTAGCTTCTGAGAATGATTACTGTCTAGTTTTTATACGAAGCATATTTCCTTTCTACCATTGGCGTCAAAGCGCTAGAATTCTCCACTTGCAAATTCCACAAAAAGAGTGTTTCCAATCTGCTCTGTCTAAAGGAAGGTTCAACTCTGTGAGTTGAATACACACACACAAAGAAGCTACTGAGAATTCTTTTGTCAAGAATTATAAGAAGAAATCCCGTTTCCAACGAAGGCCTCAAAGAGTTCCAAATATCCACTTGCACACTGCAAAAACTAAGTCTTTCCAAACTGCTCTATGCAAAGAAATGTTCAACTCTGTGAGTTTAATACACACATCACAAAGCAGTTTCTGAGAATGATACTGTCTAGTTTTTATACGAAGATATTTCCTTTTGTACCATTGGCCTCATACTGCTAGAATTTTCCACTTGCAAATTCCACAAAAAGAGTGTTTCCAATCCGCTCTGTCTAAAGGAAGGTTCAACTCTCTGATTTGAATACATACATCCCAAAAGAAGTTACTGAGAATTCTTGTCTAGCATTATGTGAAGAAATCCCGTTTCCAACGAAAGCCTCAAAGAGGTCCAAATATCCAGTTGCAGAATTTACAAACTGACTGTTTCCAAACTCATCTATGAAAAGAAAGGTTAAACTCTGTGAGTTGAATGCACATATCACAAAGTAGTTCCTGAGAATGATTCTGTCTAGTTTTTATACGAAGATATTTCCTTTTCCACCAATGGCCTCAAAGTGCTTGAAATCTCCCCTTGCAAATTCCACAGACAAGTGTCTCAAATCTGCACTGTCTAAAGGAAGGTTCAACCCTGTGAGTTGAATACACACACACAGAAAAAAATTCACTGAGAATTCTATTGTCTATCATTACACGAAGAAATCCCGTTTACTACGAAGCCTCAAAGAGGTCCAAATATCCAGCTGCAGACATTACAAACTGAGTGTTTCCAAAGTGCTCTATGAAAAGAAGTGTTAAACACTGTGAGTTCAATGCACACATCCCAAAGCAGTTTCTGAGAATGATTCCGTCTATTTTTTCTACGAAGATATTTCCTTTTCTGCCGTTGGCCTCAAAGCGCTTGAAATCTCCACTTGCAAATTCCACAAAAAGAGAGTTTCAAATCTGCTCTGTCTAAAGGAAGGTTCAACTCTGTGAGTTGAATACACACCACAAAAAGAAGTTACTGAGAATTCTTCTGTCTAGCATTATATGAAAAATCCCGTTTCCAACGAAGGCCACAAAGGAGGTCCAAATATCCACTTGCAGATTCTGCAAAAAGAGTGTTTCCAAACTGCTCTATGAAAAGAAACGTTAAACTCTGTGAGTTGAACGCAAACATCACAAAGTAGTTTCTGAGAATGACTCCGTCTAGTTTTTATACGAAGATATTTCCTTTTCTACCATTCACTTCAAAGCGCCTTGAAGTCTCCCCCTGAAAATTCCACAAAAAGTGTTTCCAATCTGCTCCGCCTAAAGGAAGCTTCAACTCTGTGACTTGAATGCCCACAACCCAAAGAAGTTACTGAGAATTCTTCTGTCTAGCATTATATGAAGAAATCCCGTTTCCAACGAAGGCCTCAAATACATCCAAATATCCAGTTGCTGACTTTACAAACTGAGTGTTTCCAAACTGCTCTATGAAAAGAAAGGTTAAACACTGTGAGTTGAACACACACGTACCAAAGTAGTTTCTGAGAATGATTCTGTCTAGTTTGCATACGAAGATATTTCCTTTTCTACCATTGGCCTCAAAGCTCTGAAATCTCCACTTGCAAATTCCACAAAAAGAGAGTTTCAAATCTGCTGTTTCTAAAGGAAAGTTCAACTCTGAGAGTTGAATACACACCAGAAAAAGCAGTTACTGAGAAGTCTTCTGTCTAGCATTATATGAAGAAATCCCATTTCCAACGAAGACTTCAAAGAGGTCCAAATATCCACTTGCAGATTCTGCAAAAAGAGTGTTTCGAAACAACTGTATGAAAAGAAAGGTTAAACACTGTGAGTTGAACGCACACATTGCAAAGCAGTTTCTGAGAATGATTCCGTCTAATTATTATACGAAGGTATTTCCTTTTCTATCATTGGCCTCAAAGCGCTTGATACCTCCACCTGAAAATTCCACAAAAAGAGTGTTTCCAATCTACTCTGTCTAAAGGAACGTTCAACTCTGTGAGTTGAATACACACACAGAGAAAGAATTCACTGAGAATTCTTCTGTCTGGCATTACATGAAGAAATCCCGTTTCCAACGAAGGCCTCAAAGAGGTCCAAATATCCACTTGCAGATTCTGCAAAAAGAGTGTTTCAAAACCGCTCCATTAAAAGGAATGTTGAACTCTGTGAGTTGAATGGAAACATCACAACTCAGTTGCTGAGAATGCTTCTGACTAGATTTTATGGTAAGATATTTCCTTTTCTACCGTAGGCTTCAATGCCCTCTAAATACACCCTTGCAAATTCTACAAAGAGACTGTTTCATAACTGCTCTATAGGAAGAAAGGTTCAACTCTGTGAGTTGAATGCAGAGATCACAACGTGGTTTCTGCGAATGATTCTTTGTAGTTTTTACAGGAAGATATTTCGTTGTCAACCGTAGGGTTCAAAGCACTCAAAGTATTCACTTGGAACTTTTACAAAAAGAGTGTTAGAAAACTGCTCTTTCCAAAGTAAGGTTCAACTCTGTGAGTTGAATGCACACATAACAATCAAGAAGTTTCTGAGAATTCTTCTGTCCTGGTTTATATGAAAAAATCCCGTTTCCAACGAAGGCCTCAAAGACGTTTAAATATCCACTTGCAGACTTCACAAACAGAGTGTTTCCAAACTGCTCTATGAAAAGAAAGGTTAAACTCTGTGAGTTGAACGCACACATCACAAAGTAGCTTCTGAGAATGATACTGTCTAGTTTTTATACGAAGATATTTCCTTTCTACCATTGGCGTCAAAGCGCTAGAATTCTCCACTTGCAAATTCCACAAAAAGAGTGTTTCCAATCTGCTCTGTCTAAAGGAAGGTTCAACTCTGTGAGTTGAATACACACACACAAAGAAGCTACTGAGAATTCTTTTGTCAAGAATTATAAGAAGAAATCCCATTTCCAACGAAGGCCTCAAAGAGTTCCAAATATCCACTTGCACACTGCACAAACTAAGTCTTTCCAAACTGCTCTATGCAAAGAAATGTTCAACTCTGTGAGTTTAATACACACATCACAAAGCAGTTTCTGAGAATGATACTGTCTAGTTTTTATACGAAGATATTTCCTTTTGTACCATTGGCCTCATACTGCTAGAATTTTCCACTTGCAAATTCCACAAAAAGAGTGTTTCCAATCCGCTCTGTCTAAAGGAAGGTTCAACTCTCTGATTTGAATACATACATCCCAAAAGAAGTTACTGAGAATTCTTCTGTCTAGCATTATGTGAAGAAATCCCGTTTCCAACGAAAGCCTCAAAGAGGTCCAAATATCCAGTTGCAGAATTTACCAACTGACTGTTTCCAAACTCATCTATGAAAAGAAAGGTTAAACCCTGTGAGTTGAACGCACATATCACAAAGTAGTTCCTGAGAATGATTCTGTCTAGTTTTTATACGAAGATATTTCCTTTTCCACCAATGGCCTCAAAGTGCTGGAAATCTCCCCTTGCAAATTCCACAGAAAAGTGTTTCAAATCTGCACTGTCTGATGGAAGGTTCAACCCTGTGAGTTGAATACACACACACAGAAAAAAATTCACTGAGAATTCTATTGTCTATCATTACACGAAGAAATCCCGTTTACTACGAAGGCCTCAAAGAGGTCCAAATATCCAGCTGCAGACATTACAAACTGAGTGTTTCCAAAGTGCTCTATGAAAAGAAGTGTTAAACACTGTGAGTTCAATGCACACATCCCAAAGCAGTTTCTGAGAATGATTCCGTCTATTTTTTCTACGAAGATATTTCCTTTTCTGCCGTTGGCCTCAAAGCGCTTGAAATCTCCACTTGCAAATTCCACAAAAAGAGAGTTTCAAATCTGCTCTGTCTAAAGGAAGGTTCCACTCTGTGAGTTGAATACACACCACAAAAAGAAGTTACTGAGAATTCTTCTGTCTAGCATTATATGAAAAATCCCGTTTCCAACGAAGGCCACAAAGAGGTCCAAATATCCACTTGCAGATTCTGCAAAAAGAGTGTTTCCAAACTGCTCTATGAAAAGAAACGTTAAACTCTGTGAGTTGAACGCAAACATCACAAAGTAGTTTCTGAGAATGACTCCGTCTAGTTTTTATACGAAGATATTTCCTTTCCTACCATTCACTTCAAAGCGCTTGAAGTCTCCCCCTGAAAATTCCACAAAAAGTGTTTCCAATCTGCTCCGCCTAAAGGAAGCTTCAACTCTGTGACTTGAATACCCACAACCCAAAGAAGTTACTGAGAATTCTTCTGTCTAGCATTATATGAAGAAATCCCGTTTCCAACGAAGGCCTCAAATACATCCAAATATCCAGTTGCTGACTTTACAAACTGAGTGTTTCCAAACTGCTCTATGAAAAGAAAGGTTAAACACTGTGAGTTGAACACACACGTACCAAAGTAGTTTCTGAGAATGATTCTGTCTAGTTTGCATACGAAGATATTTCCTTTTCTACCATTGGCCTCAAAGCTCTGAAATCTCCACTTGCAAATTCCACAAAAAGAGAGTTTCAAATCTGCTGTTTCTAAAGGAAAGTTCAACTCTGAGAGTTGAATACACACCAGAAAAAGCAGTTACTGAGAAGTCTTCTGTCTAGCATTATATGAAGAAATCCCATTTCCAACGAAGACTTCAAAGAGGTCCAAATATCCACTTGCAGATTCTGCAAAAAGAGTGTTTCGAAACAACTGTATGAAAAGAAAGGTTAAACACTGTGAGTTGAACGCACACATTGCAAAGCGGTTTCTGAGAATGATTCCGTCTAATTATTATACGAAGGTATTTCCTTTTCTATCATTGGCCTCAAAGCGCTTGATACCTCCACCTGAAAATTCCACAAAAAGAGTGTTTCCAATCTACTCTGTCTAAAGGAACGTTCAACTCTGTGAGTTGAATACACACACACAGAAAGAATTCACTGAGAATTCTTCTGTCTGGCATTACATGAAGAAATCCCGTTTCCAACGAAGGCCTCAAAGAGGTCCAAATATCCACTTGCAGATTCTGCAAAAAGAGTGTTTCAAAACCGCTCCATTAAAAGGAATGTTGAACTCTGTGAGTTGAATGCAAACATCACAACTCAGTTGCTGAGAATGCTTCTGACTAGATTTTATGGTAAGATATTTCCTTTTCTACCGTAGGCTTCAATGCCCTGTAAATACACCCTTGCAAATTCTACAAAGAGACTGTTTCATAACTGCTCTATAGGAAGAAAGGTTCAACTCTGTGAGTTGAATGCAGAGATCACAACGTGGTTTCTGCGAATGATTCTTTGTAGTTTTTACATGAAGATATTTCGTTGTCAACCGTAGGCTTCAAAGAACTCAAAGTATTCACTTGGAACTTTTACAAAAAGAGTGTTAGAAAACTGCTCTTTCCAAAGTAAGGTTGAACTCTGTGAGTTGAATGCACACATAACAATCAAGAAGTTTCTGAGAATTCTTCTGTCCTGGTTTATATGAAAAAATCCCGTTTCCAACGAAGGCCTCAAAGACGTTTAAATATCCACTTGCAGACTTCACAAACAGAGGGTTTCCAAACTGCTCTATGAAAAGAAAGGTTAAACTCTGTGAGTTGAACGCACACATCACAAAGTAGTTTCTGAGAATGATACCGTCTAGTTTTTATACGAAGATATTTCCTTTCTACCATTGGCGTCAAAGCGCTAGAATTCTCCACTTGCAAATTCCACAAAAAGAGTGTTTCCAATCTGCTCTGTCTAAAGGAAGGTTCAACTCTGTGAGTTGAATACACACACACAAAGAAGCTACTGAGAATTCTTTTGTCAAGAATTATAAGAAGAAATCCCGTTTCCAACGAAGGCCTCAAAGAGTTCCAAATATCCACTTGCAGACTGCACAAACTAAGTCTTTCCAAACTGCTCTATGCAAAGAAATGTTCAACTCTGTGAGTTTAATACACACATCACAAAGCAGTTTCTGAGAATGATACTGTCTAGTTTTTATACGAAGATATTTCCTTTTGTACCATTGGCCTCATACTGCTAGAATTTTCCACTTGCAAATTCCACAAAAAGAGTGTTTCCAATCCGCTCTGTCTAAAGGAAGGTTCAACTCTCTGATTTGAATACATACATCCCAAAAGAAGTTACTGAGAATTCTTCTGTCTAGCATTATGTGAAGAAATCCCGTTTCCAACGAAAGCCTCCAAGAGGTCCAAATATCCAGTTGCAGAATTTACAAACTGACTGTTTCCAAACTCATCTATGAAAAGGAAGGTTAAACTCTGTGAGTTGAATGCACATATCACAAAGTAGTTCCTGAGAATGATTCTGTCTAGTTTTTATACGAAGATATTTCCTTTTCCACCAATGGCCTCAAAGTGCTTGAAATCTCCCCTTGCAAATTCCACAGAAAAGTGTTTCAAATCTGCACTGTCTAAAGGAAGGTTCAACCCTGTGAGTTGAATACACACACACAGAAAAAAATTCACTGAGAATTCTATTGTCTATCATTACACGAAGAAATCCCGTTTACTACGAAGGCCTCAAAGAGGTCCAAATATCCAGCTGCAGACATTTCAAACTGAGTGTTTCCAAAGTGCTCTATGAAAAGAAGTGTTAAACACTGTGAGTTCAATGCACACATCCCAAAGCAGTTTCTGAGAATGATTCCGTCTATTTTTTCTACGAAGATATTTCCTTTTCTACCGTTGGCCTCAAAGCGCTTGAAATCTCCACTTGCAAATTCCACGAAAAGAGAGTTTCAAATCTGCTCTGTCTAAAGGAAGGTTCCACTCTGTGAGTTGAATACACACCACAAAAAGAAGTTACTGAGAATTCTTCTGTCTAGCATTATATGAAAAATCCCGTTTCCAACGAAGGCCACAAAGAGGTCCAAATATCCACTTGCAGATTCTGCAAAAAGAGTGTTTCCAAACTGCTCTATGAAAAGAAACGTTAAACTCTGTGAGTTGAACGCAAACATCACAAAGTAGTTTCTGAGAATGACTCCGTCTAGTTTTTATACGAAGATATTTCCTTTCCTACCATTCACTTCAAAGCGCTTGAAGTCTCCCCCTGAAAATTCCACAAAAAGTGTTTCCAATCTGCTCCGCCTAAAGGAAGCTTCAACTCTGTGACTTGAATACCCACAACCCAAAGAAGTTACTGAGAATTCTTCTGTCTAGCATTATATGAAGAAATCCCGTTTCCAACGAAGGCCTCAAATACATCCAAATATCCAGTTGCTGACTTTACAAACTGAGTGTTTCCAAACTGCTCTATGAAAAGAAAGGTTAAACACTGTGAGTTGAACACACACGTACCAAAGTAGTTTCTGAGAATGATTCTGTCTAGTTTGCATACGAAGATATTTCCTTTTCTACCATTGGCCTCAAAGCTATGAAATCTCCACTTGCAAATTCCACAAAAAGAGAGTTTCAAATCTGCTGTTTCTAAAGGAAAGTTCAACTCTGAGAGTTGAATACACACCAGAAAAAGCAGTTACTGAGAAGTCTTCTGTCTAGCATTATATGAAGAAATCCCATTTCCAACCGAAGACTTCAAAGAGGTCCAAATATCCACTTGCAGATTCTGCAAAAAGAGTGTTTCGAAACAACTCTATGAAAAGAAAGGTTAAACACTGTGAGTTGAACGCACACATTGCAAAGCGGTTTCTGAGAATGATTCCGTCTAATTATTATACGAAGGTATTTCCTTTTCTATCATTGGCCTCAAAGCGCTTGATACCTCCACCTGAAAATTCCACAAAAAGAGTGTTTCCAATCTACTCTGTCTAAAGGAACGTTCAACTCTGTGAGTTGAATACACACACACAGAAAGAATTCACTGAGAATTCTTCTGTCTGGCATTACATGAAGAAATCCCGTTTCCAACGAAGGCCTCAAAGAGGTCCAAATATCCACTTGCAGATTCTGCAAAAAGAGTGTTTCAAAACCGCTCCATTAAAAGGAATGTTGAACTCTGTGAGTTGAATGCAAACATCACAACTCAGTTGCTGAGAATGCTTCTGACTAGATTTTATGGTAAGATATTTCCTTTTCTGCCGTAGGCTTCAATGCCCTCTAAATACACCCTTGCAAATTCTACAAAGAGACTGTTTCATAACTGCTCTATAGGAAGAAAGGTTCAACTCTGTGAGTTGAATGCAGAGATCACAACGTGGTTTCTGCGAATGATTCTTTGTAGTTTTTACATGAAGATATTTCGTTGTCTACCGTAGGCTTCAAAGCACTCAAAGTATTCACTTGGAACTTTTACAAAAAGAGTGTTAGAAAACTGCTCTTTCCAAAGTAAGGTTCAACTCTGTGAGTTGAATGCACCCATAGCAATCAAGAAGTTTGTGAGAATTCTTCTGCTTTGGTTTATATGAAGAAATCCCGTTTCCAACGAAGGCCTCAAAGACGTTTAAATATCCACTTGCAGACTTCACAAACAGAGTGTTTCCAAACTGCTCTATGAAACGAAAGGTTAAACTCTGTGAGTTGAACGCACACATCACAAAGTAGTTTCTGAGAATGATACTGTCTAGTTTATATAGGAAGATATTTCCTTTCTACCATTGGCGTCAAAGCGCTAGAATTCTCCACTTGCAAATTCCACAAAAAGAGTGTTTCCAATCTGCTCTGTCTAAAGGAAGGTTCAACTCTGTGAGTTGAATACACACACACAAAGAAGCTACTGAGAATTCTTTTGTCAAGAATTATAAGAAGAAATCCCGTTTCCAACGAAGGCCTCAAAGAGTTCCAAATATCCACTTGCACACTGTACAAACTAAGTCTTTCCAAACTGCTCTATGCAAAGAAATGTTCAACTCTGTGAGTTTAATGCACACATCACAAAGCAGTTTCTGAGAATGATTCCCTCTAGTTTTTATACGAAGATAGCCTTTTCTACCATTGGCCTCAAGGCTCTTGGAATCTCCACCTGAAAATTCCGCAAAAAGCGTGTTTCCAATCCGCTCTGTCTAAAGGAAGGTTCAACTCTCTGAGTTGAATACATACATCCCAAAAGAAGTTACTGAGAATTCTTCTGTCTAGCATTATGTGAAGAAATCCCGTTTCCAACGAAAGCCTCAAAGAGGTCCAAATATCCAGTTGCAGAATTTACAAACTGACTGTTTCCAAACTCATCTATGAAAAGAAAGGTTAAACCCTGTGAGTTGAATGCACATATCACAAAGTAGTTCCTGACAATAACTCTGTCTAGTTTTTATACGAAGATATTCCCTTTTCCACCAATGGCCACAAAGTGCTTGAAATCTCCCCTTGCAAATTCCACAGAAAAGTGTTTCAAATCTGTACTGTCTGAAGGAAGGTTCAACCCTGTGAGTTGAATACACACACACAGAAAAAAATTCACTGAGAATTCTATTGTCTATCATTACCCGAAGAAATCCCGTTTACTACGAAGGCCTCAAAGAGGTCCAAATATCCAGCTGCAGACATTCCAAACTGACTGTTTCCAAAGTGCTCTATGAAAAGAAGTGTTAAACACTGTGAGTTCAATGCACACATCCCAAAGCAGTTTCTGAGAATGATTCCGTCTATTTTTTCTACGAAGATATTTCCTTTTCTGCCGTTGGCCTCAAAGCGCTTGAAATCTCCACTTGCAAATTCCACAAAAAGAGAGTTTCAAATCTGCTCTGTCTAAAGGAAGGTTCAACTCTGTGAGTTGAATACACACCACAAAAAGAAGTTACTGAGAATTCTTCTGTCTAGCATTATATGAAAAATCCCGTTTCCAACGAAGGCCACAAAGAGGTCCAAATATCCACTTGCAGATTCTGCAAAAAGAGTGTCTCCAAACTGCTCTATGAAAAGAAACGTTAAACTCTGTGAGTTGAACGCAAACATCACAAAGTAGTTTCTGAGAATGACTCCGTCTAGTTTTTATACGAAGATATTTCCTTTTCTACCGTTGGCCTCAAAGCGCTTGAAGTCTCCCCCTGAAAATTCCACAAAAAGTGTTTCCAATCTGCTCCGCCTAAAGGAAGCTTCAGCTCTGTGAGTTGAATACCCACAACCCAAAGAAGTTACTGAGAATTCTTCTGTCTAGCACTACATGAAGAAATCCCGTTTCCAACGAAGGCCTCAAATACATCCAGATATCCAGTTGCTGACTTTACAAACTGAGTGTTTCCAAACTGCTCTATGAAAGGAAAGGTTAAACACTGTGAGTTGAACACACACGTACCAAAGTAGTTTCTGAGAATGATTCTGTCTAGTTTGCATACGAAGATATTTCCTTTTCTACCATTGGCCTCAAAGCTCTGAAATCTCCACTTGCAAATTCCACAAAAAGAGAGTTTCAAATCTGCTGTTTCTAAAGGAAAGTTCAACTCTGAGAGTTGAATACACACCAGAAAAAAGCAGTTACTGAGAAGTCTTCTGTCTAGCATTATATGAAGAAATCCCATTTCCAACGAAGACTTCAAAGAGGTCCAAATATCCACTTGCAGATTCTGCAAAAAGAGTGTTTCGAAACAACTGTATGAAAAGAAAGGTTAAACACTGTGAGTTGAACGCACACATTGCAAAGCAGTTTCTGAGAATGATTCCGTCTAATTATTATACGAAGGTATTTCCTTTTCTATCATTGGCCTCAAAGCGCTTGATACCTCCAACTGAAAATTCCACAAAAAGAGTGTTTCCAATCTACTCTGTCTAAAGGAAGGTTCAACTCTGTGAGTTGAATACACACACACAGAAAGAATTCACTGAGAATTCTTCTGTCTGGCATTACATGAAGAAATCCCGTTTCCAACGAAGGCCTCAAAGAGGTCCAAATATCCACTTGCAGATTCTGCAAAAAGAGTGTTTCAAAACCGCTCCATTAAAAGGAATGTTGAACTCTGTGAGTTGAATGCAAACATCACAACTCAGTTTCTGAGAATGCTTCTGACTAGATTTTATGGTAAGATATTTCCTTTTCTACCGTAGGCTTCAATGCCCTCTAAATACACCCTTGCAAATTCTACAAAGAGACTGTTTCATAACTGCTCTATAGGAAGAAAGGTTCAACTCTGTGAGTTGAATGCAGAGATCACAACGTGGTTTCTGCAAATGATTCTTTGTAGTTTTTACATGAAGATATTTCGTTGTCAACCGTAGGCTTCAAAGCACTCAAAGTATTCACTTGGAACTTTTACAAAAAGAGTGTTAGAAAACTGCTCTTTCCAAAGTAAGGTTCAACTCTGTGAGTTGAATGCACACATAACAATCAAGAAGTTTCTGAGAATTCTTCTGTCCTGGTTTATATGAAAAAATCCCGTTTCCAACGAAGGCCTCAAAGACGTTTAAATATCCACTTGCAGACTTCACAAACAGAGTGTTTCCAAACTGCTCTATGAAAAGAAAGGATAAACTCTGTGAGTTGAACGCACACATCACAAAGTAGTTTCTGAGAATGATACTGTCCAATTTTTATACGAAGATATTTCCTTTCCTACCATTGGCGTCAAAGCGCTAGAATTCTCCACTTGCAAATTCCACAAAAAGAGGGTTTCCAATCTGCTCTGCCTGAAGGCAGGTTCAACTCTGTGAGTTGAATACACACACACAAAGAAGCTACTGAGAATTCTTTTGTCAAGAATTATAAGAAGAAATCCCGTTTCCAACGAAGGCCTCAAAGAGTTCCAAATATCCACTTGCACACTGCACAAACTAAGTCTTTCCAAACTGCTCTATGCAAAGAAATGTTCAACTCTGTGAGTTTAATACACACATCACAAAGCAGTTTCTGAGAATGATACTGTCTAGTTTTTATACGAACATATTTCCTTTTGTACCATTGGCCTCATACTGCTAGAATTTTCCACTTGCAAATTCCACAAAAAGAGTGTTTCCAATCCGCTCTGTCTAAAGGAAGGTTCAACTCTCTGATTTGAATACATACATCCCAAAAGAAGTTACTGAGAATTCTTCTGTCTAGCATTATGTGAAGAAATCCCGTTTCCAACGAAAGCCTCAAAGAGGCCCAAATATCCAGTTGCAGCATTTACAAACTGACTGTTTCCAAACTCATCTATGAAAAGAAAGGTTAAACTCTGTGAGTTGAATGCACATATCACAAAGTAGTTCCTGAGAATGATTCTGTCTAGTTTTTATACGAAGATATTTCCTTTTCCACCAATGGCCTCAAAGTGCTTGAAATCTCCCCTTGCAAATTCCACAGACAAGTGTCTCAAATCTGCACTGTCTAAAGGAAGGTTCAACCCTGTGAGTTGAATACACACACACAGAAAAAAATTCACTGAGAATTCTATTGTCTATCATTACACGAAGAAATCCCGTTTACTACGAAGGCCTCAAAGAGGTCCAAATATCCAGCTGCAGACATTACAAACTGAGTGTTTCCAAAGTGCTCTATGAAAAGAAGTGTTAAACACTGTGAGTTCAATGCACACATCCCAAAGCAGTTTCTGAGAATGATTCCGTCTATTTTTTCTACGAAGATATTTCCTTTTCTGCCGTTGGCCTCAAAGCGCTTGAAATCTCCACTTGCAAATTCCACAAAAAGAGAGTTTCAAATCTGCTCTGTCTAAAGGAAGGTTCAACTCTGTGAGTTGAATACACACCACAAAAAGAAGTTACTGAGAATTCTTCTGTCTAGCATTATATGAAAAATCCCGTTTCCAACGAAGGCCACAAAGAGGTCCAAATATCCACTTGCAGATTCTGCAAAAAGAGTGTTTCCAAACTGCTCTATGAAAAGAAACGTTAAACTCTGTGAGTTGAACGCAAACATCACAAAGTAGTTTCTGAGAATGACTCCGTCTAGTTTTTATACGAAGATATTTCCTTTCCTACCATTCACTTCAAAGCGCTTGAAGTCTCCCCCTGAAAATTCCACAAAAAGTGTTTCCAATCTGCTCCGCCTAAAGGAAGCTTCAACTCTGTGACTTGAATACCCACAACCCAAAGAAGTTACTGAGAATTCTTCTGTCTAGCATTATATGAAGAAATCCCGTTTCCAACGAAGGCCTCAAATACATCCAAATATCCAGTTGCTGACTTTACAAACTGAGTGTTTCCAAACTGCTCTATGAAAAGAAAGGTTAAACACTGTGAGTTGAACACACACGTACCAAAGTAGTTTCTGAGAATGATTCTGTCTAGTTTGCATACGAAGATATTTCCTTTTCTACCATTGGCCTCAAAGCTCTGAAATCTCCACTTGCAAATTCCACAAAAAGAGAGTTTCAAATCTGCTGTTTCTAAAGGAAAGTTCAACTCTGAGAGTTGAATACACACCAGAAAAAGCAGTTACTGAGAAGTCTTCTGTCTAGCATTATATGAAGAAATCCCATTTCCAACGAAGACTTCAAAGAGGTCCAAATATCCACTTGCAGATTCTGCAAAAAGAGTGTTTCGAAACAACTGTATGAAAAGAAAGGTTAAACACTGTGAGTTGAACGCACACATTGCAAAGCGGTTTCTGAGAATGATTCCGTCTAATTATTATACGAAGGTATTTCCTTTTCTATCATTGGCCTCAAAGCGCTTGATACCTCCACCTGAAAATTCCACAAAAAGAGTGTTTCCAATCTACTCTGTCTAAAGGAACGTTCAACTCTGTGAGTTGAATACACACACACAGAAAGAATTCACTGAGAATTCTTCTGTCTGGCATTACATGAAGAAATCCCGTTTCCAACGAAGGCCTCAAAGAGGTCCAAATATCCACTTGCAGATTCTGCAAAAAGAGTGTTTCAAAACCGCTCCATTAAAAGGAATGTTGAACTCTGTGAGTTGAATGCAAACATCACAACTCAGTTGCTGAGAATGCTTCTGACTAGATTTTATGGTAAGATATTTCCTTTTCTACCGTAGGCTTCAATGCCCTCTAAATACACCCTTGCAAATTCTACAAAGAGACTGTTTCATAACTGCTCTATAGGAAGAAAGGTTCAACTCTGTGAGTTGAATGCAGAGATCACAACGTGGTTTCTGCGAATGATTCTTTGTAGTTTTTACATGAAGATATTTCGTTGTCAACCGTAGGCTTCAAAGCACTCAAAGTATTCACTTGGAACTTTTACAAAAAGAGTGTTAGAAAACCGCTCTTTCCAAAGTAAGGTTCAACTCTGTGAGTTGAATGCACCCATAACAATCAAGAAGTTTCTGAGAATTCTTCTGTCCTGGTTTATATGAAGAAATCCCGTTTCCAACGAAGGCCTCAAAGACGTTTAAATATCCACTTGCAGACTTCACAAACAGAGGGTTTCCAAACTGCTCTATGAAAAGAAAGGTTAAACTCTGTGAGTTGAACGCACACATCACAAAGTAGCTTCTGAGAATGATACTGTCTAGTTTTTATACGAAGATATTTCCTTTCTACCATTGGCGTCAAAGCGCTAGAATTCTCCGCTTGCAAATTCCACAAAAAGAGTGTTTCCAATCTGCTCTGTCTAAAGGAAGGTTCAACTCTGTGAGTTGAATACACACACACAAAGAAGCTACTGAGAATTCTTTTGTCAAGAATTATAAGAAGAAATCCCGTTTCCAACGAAGGCCTCAAAGAGTTCCAAATATCCACTTGCACACTGCACAAACTAAGTCTTTCCAAACTGCTCTATGCAAAGAAATGTTCAACTCTGTGAGTTTAATACACACATCACAAAGCAGTTTCTGAGAATGATACTGTCTAGTTTTTATACGAAGATATTTCCTTTTGTACCATTGGCCTCATACTGCTAGAATTTTCCACTTGCAAATTCCACAAAAAGAGTGTTTCCAATCCGCTCTGTCTAAAGGAAGGTTCAACTCTCTGATTTGAATACATACATCCCAAAAGAAGTTACTGAGAATTCTTCTGTCTAGCATTATGTGAAGAAATCCCGTTTCCAACGAAAGCCTCAAAGAGGTCCAAATATCCAGTGGCAGAATTTACAAACTGACTGTTTCCAAACTCATCTATGAAAAGAAAGGTTAAACTCTGTGAGTTGAATGCACATATCACAAAGTAGTTCCTGAGAATGATT